>NC_000003.12:158251028-158554058 GCF_000001405.40 Homo sapiens
GAGCCTAGTTTCATTCTTCTGCATATGGATATCCAGTTTTCCCAGCACTGTCCTTTCTCCAGTCTATGTTCATGACACCTTTGTTGAAAATGAGTTCGCTGTAGGTGTGTGGATTTGTTTCTGGGCTCTCTATTCTGTTCCATTGGTCTGTGTCTGTTTGTCTGCAAGTACCATGCTGTTTTGGTTACTATAGCTCTGTAGTTTTATTAAAGTAAGGTTATATGATTCCTCCAGTTTTGTTCTTTTTATTCAGGATGGCTTTGGGTGTTCTGGATCTTTTGTGGTTTTATATAAATTTTAGGATTTTTTTTCTATTTCTTCAAAAAATTTCATTGGTATTTTAAGAGAGATTGCATTAAATCTGTAGATTGCTTTGGGTAGTATGGACATTTTAACAATATTGATTTTTCCAATCCATAAACATGAAATATCTTTCCATTTTGTTATGTCCTCTTCAATTTCTTTCACCAATATTTTATAGTGTTCATTATAGAGATCTTTGTTTTTTGGTTAAATTAATTCTTAAGAATTTAATTTTATTTGTGGCTATTGTAAATTGGATTACTTTCTTGATTTCTTTTTCAGAATGTTCACTTTTGGCATGTAGAAATGCTACTGGTTTTTGTATGTTGGTTTTGTATCTTGCAGCTTTACTGAATTTGTTCATCAGTTATTATAGTTTTTTGGTGGAGTCTTTAGGTTATTCCAAATACAAGATCATATCATCTGCAAACAAGGATAATTTGACTTTTCTCATTCCAGTTTAGATGCCCTTCATTTTCTTTTCTTGTTTGATTGCTCTAGCTAAGACTTCTATAATTCTGTTGAGTAACAGTGGTGAATGTGTGCATCCTTGTCTTCTTCCAGATGTTAGAGGAAAGGCTTTCAGTTTGTCCCCATTCAGTATGATGCTAGCTGTGGGTCTGTCATATATGGCTTTTATTACATTGAGATATTTTCCTTCTGTACCCAGCTTTTTGAGGGTTTTTGTTATGAAGGGATGTTAAATTTTATCAAATGTTTTTTCAGCATTAATTGATTCTGTTGGTATGATGTATCCTATTGATTGATTTGCATATGTTGAACCATTCTTGCCTCTCTGGGATAAATCTCACTTGGTCATGATGAATGATTTTTTTTTTTTTTTCTTAGAGAAGGAGTCTCGCTCTGTTGCCTAGACTGGAGTGCAGTGGCATGATCTCGGCTCACCGCAAGCTCCACCTCCCGGGTTCACGCCATTCTCCTGCCTCAGCCTCCCAAGTAGCTGGGACTACAGGCACCCGCCACCACGCCCGGCTAATTTTTTGTATTTTTTTTAAGTAGAGATGGGGTTTCACTGTGTTAGCCAGGATGGTCTCGATCTCCTGACCTTGTGATCTGCCCACCTCAGCCTCCCAAAGTGCTGGGATTACAGGCGTAAGCCACCACGCCCGGCCGATGAATGTGTTCTTGAATTCAGTTTGCTAGTATTTTGTTGAGGATTTTTGCATCAATGTTCATCAGGGATATTGGTCTGTAGTCTTCTTTTGATGTGTCTTTGTCTGGTTTTGGTATCAGGGTAATACTGGCCTCATAAAATGGGTTTGGAAGTATTCCTTCTTTCTCTAGTTTTTGGAAAAATTTGAGTAGGATTGGAATAAGTTCTTTACATGTTTGGTAAATTCAGCATTGAAGCCATTGAGTCATGGGCTTTTCTTTACCGGGAGACTTTTTATTATGATTTTGATCTCGTTACTTGATACTGGTCTATTCACGTTTTGTATTTTTTCATGGTTCAATCTTAGTAGACTGTATGTGTCTAGGAATATTTCTGTTTCTTCTAGGTTTTCCAATTTCTTGGCATATAGTTTCTCATAGTAGCCTTTATTGATCCTTTAAATGTCTGTGGTATCAGTTGTAGTGTCTCCTTTTTCATCTCTGATTTTATTGATTTGGTTCTTCTCTCTTTTTCTCTTAGACTGACTAAAGGTTTTCTTAATTTTCTTTCTTTTCAGAAAATGAACTTTTTCTTTCATTGATTTTTTTTGGCACTTATTGGCTTCAAATTCATTTATTTCTTCTCTAATCTTATTTCTTCTACTAATTTGGGGTTTGGTTTGGTCTTCTATTTTCTTTTGCTTTATGATGTATCGCTGGCTTGTTAAAGCTTTTCTGCTTTTTTTGATGTAGATTCTTATTCCTGTAAACTTTCCTCTTCATACTACTTTTGCTGTATCCCATAGATTTTTGGTGTGTTGTGTTTCCATTTTTATTTGTTTCTTGAAATTTTTTTATTTTTCTCCTTAATTTCTTCATCGAGCCACTCATCATTCAGAAGCATATCATCTAATTTCCATGGTTTGTATAGTTTACAAAATTCCTCTTCTTTTTGATTTTTAATTTTATTCCACTGTAGTAAGAGAAGATACTTGATATCATTCTAATGTCTTTGAAGTTTTTACAACTTGTTTTATGGCTTCATATATGGTGTGTCCTTGAGATAATCCATGAGCTGAGGAGAAGAGTGTTCTGCAGCCATTAGATTAAATTTTCTGTGAATATCAATTAGGTCCGTTTCCTGGATAGTGCACATAAGTTCAAATTTTCTTTGTTGATTTTCTCTCTACATAATCTGTCCAGTGCTGAAATTGGGGTGTTAAAATCTCCGGCTATTGTACTGAAATCTGTTTCTCTCTTTAGGTCTAATAAAACTTGCTTTATATATGTGGGTGTTCCATTGGTTGGTATATATTTATATATTTATTTATTTAATTATACTTTAAGTTCCAGGGTACTTGTGCAGAATATGCAAGTTTGATACATAGGTATACGTGTGTCATGTTGGTTTACTGCACCCATCAACTCATCATTTACATTAGGTATTTCTCCTAATGCTATCCCTCCCCACTCTCTCCACCCCACAACAGGCCCTGGTGTGTGATGTTCCCCGCCCTGTGTCCAAGTGTTCTCATTGTTCAATTCCCAACTGTAAGTGAGAACGTGCAGTGTTTGGTTTTCTGTCCTTGTGTTAGTTTGCTGAAAATGATGGTTTCCAGCTTCATCCATGTCCCTGCAAAGGACATGAACTCATCCTTTTTTATGGCTGCATAGTATTCCATGGTGTATATGTGCCACATTTTCTTAATCCAGTCTATCATTGATGGACATTTGGGTTGGTTCCACGTCTTTGCTATTGTGAATAGTGCCAGAATAAACATACGTGTGCCTGTGTTTTTATAGTAGCATGATTTATAATCCTTTGGGTATATACCCAGTAATGGGATTGCTGGGTCAAATGGCATTTCTGGTTCTAGATCCTTGAGGAAATGACACACTGTCTTCCACAATGGTTGAACTAATTTACACTCCTACCAACAGTGTAAAAGCGTTTCTATTTCTCCACATCCTCTCCAGCATCCATTGTTTCCTGACTTTTTTTTTTGAGACGGAGTCTCGCTCTGTCGCTCAGGCTGGAGTGCAGTGGTGCGATCTCGGTGCACTGCAAGCCCTGCCTCCTGGGTTCACGCCATTCTCCTGCCTCACCCTCCCGAGTAGCTGGGACTACAGGCGGCCGCCAGCACGCCTGGCTAATTTTTTGTATTTTTTAGTAGAGATGGGGTTTCACCATGTTACCCAGGGTGTTCTTGATCTTCTGATCTCATGATCCACCCACCTCGGCCTCTCAAAGTGCTGGGATTACAGGTGTGAGTGACCGCACCTGGCCGTTTCCTGACTTTTTAATGATCGCCATTCTAACTGGTGTGAAATGGTATCTCATGGTGGTTTTGATTTGCATTTCTCTGATGACCAGTGATGGTGAGCATTTTTTCATGTGTCTGTTGGCTGCATAAATGTCTTCTTTTGAGAAGTGTCTATTCATATCCTCTACCCACTTTTTGATGGGGTTGTTTGTTTTTTTCTTGTAAATTTGTTTATGTGCTTTGTAGATTCTGGATATTAGCCCTTTGTCAGATGGGTAGATTGCAAAAATTTTCTCCCATTCTGTAGGTTGCCTGTTCACTCTGATGGTAGTTTTCTTTTGCTGTGCAGAAGCTCTTTGATTAGATCTCATTTGTCTATTTTGGCTTTTGTTGCCATTGCTTTTGGTGTTTTAGTCATGAAGTCCTTGCCCATGCCTGTGTCCTTAATGGTATTCCCTCTGTTTTTTTCTAGGGTTTTTATGGTTTTAGGTCTACCATTTAAGTCTTCAATCCATCTTGAATTAATTTTTGTATAAGGTGTAAGGAAGGGAACCAGTTTCAGCTTTCTACATATGGCTAGCCAGTTTTCCCAGCACCATTTATTAAATAGGGAATCCTTTCCCCATTGCTTGTTTTTCTCAGGTTTGTCAAAGATCAGATCATTGTAGATGTGTTGTGTTATTTCTGAGGCCTCTGTTCTGTTCCATTGGTCTATATCTCTGTTTTGGTACCAGTACCATGCTGTTTTGTTTACTGTAGCCTTGTAGTATAGTTTGAAGTCAGGTAGCATGATGCCTCCAGCTTTGTTCTTTTGGCTTAGGATTGACTTGGAGATGCGGGCTCTTTTTTGGTTCCATATGGACTTAAAGGTAGTTTTTTCCAATTCTGTGAAGAAAGTCATTGGTAGCTTGATGGGGATGGCATTGAATCTATAAATTACCTTGGGCAGTATGGCCATTTTGATTCTTCCTGTCCATGAGCATGGAATATTCTTCCATTTGTTTGTGTCCTCTTTTATTTCGTTGAGCAGTGGTTTATAGTTCTCCTTGAAGAGGTCCTTCACATCCCTTGTAAATTGGATTCCTAGGTATTTTACTCTCTTTGTAGCAATTGTGAATGGGAGTTCACTTGTGATTTGGCTGTCTGTTATTGGTGTCTGTTATTGGTGTATAGGAATGCTTGTGATTTTTGCAAATTGATTTTGTATCCTGAGGCCTTGCTGAAGTTGCTTATCAGCTTGAGGAGATTTTGGGCTGAGACAATGGGGATTTCTAAGTGTACAATCATGTCATCTACGAACAGGGACAGTTTGACTTCCTCTTTTCCTATTTGAATACCCTTTATTTCTTTGTCTTGTTTGATTGCCCTGGCCAGAACCTCCAACACTGTGTTGAATCCGAGTGGTGAGAGAGGGCATCCTTGTCTTGTGCCGGTTTTCAGAGGGAATGCTTCCAGTTTTTGCCCATTCAGTATGATATTGGCTGTGGGTTTATCATAAATAGCTCTTATTGTTTTGAGATACGTTCCTCAATACCTAGTTTATTGAGAGTTTTTAGCATGAAGGGCTGTTGAATTTTGTCGATGGCCTTTTCAGCACCTCTCGAGATAATAATGTGGTTTTTGTCGTTGGTTCTGTTCATGTGATGGATTACATTTATGATTTGCGTATGTTGAACTAGCCTTGCATCCCAGAGATGAAGCCTACTTGATCGTGGTGGAAAAGCTTTTTGATGTGCTGCTGGATTTGGTTTGCCAGTATTTTATTGAGGATTTTTGCATGGATGTTCATCAGGGGTATTGGTCTAAAATTCTCTCTTTGTTGTTGTTGTTGTTGTGTCTCTGCTAGGTTTTGGTATCAGGATGATGCTGGCCTCATAAAATGAGTTAGGGAGGATTCCCTCTTTTTCTATTGATTGGAATGGTTTCATAAGGAATGGTACCAGCTACTCTTTGTACCTCTAGTAGAATTCGGCTGTGAATCCATCTGTTCCTGGACTTTTTTTGGTTGGTAGGCTATTAATTATTACCTCAATTTCAGAGCCTGTTACTTGTCTATTCAGAGATTCAAGTTCGTCCTGGTTTAGTCTTGGGAGGGTGTATGTGTCCAGGAATTTATCCATTTCTTCTAGATTTTATAGTTTATTTGTGTAGAGGTGTTTATAGTATTCTCTGATGGTAGTTTGTACTTCTGTGGGATCCATGGTGGTATCTCCTTTATCATTTTTTATTGCACCTATTTAATTCTTCTCTCTTTTCTTCTTTAATAGTCTTGCTAGTGGTCTGTCAATTTTGTTGATCTTCTCAAAAAACCAGCTCCTGGTTTCATTGATTTTTTTTGAAGGGTTTTTTGTGTCTCTATCTCCTTTGGTTCTGCTCTGATCTTAGTTATTTCTTGCCTTCTGCTAGCTTTTGAATGTGTTTGCTCTTGCTTCTCTAGTTCTTTTAATTGTGATGTTAGGGTGTCGATTTTAGACCTTTCCTGCTTTCTCTTGTGGGCATTTAGTACTATAAATTTCCCTCTACACACTGCTTTCAATGTGTCCCAGAGGTTCTGGTACACTGGTGTCTTTGTTCTTATTTGTTTCAAAGATCATCTTTATTTCTGCCTTCATTTTATTATTTACTGGTATATGTTTATTTATAATTGCTTTATCCTTTTGCGGTATTGACCTCTTCATTATATAATGACTTTGCCTCTTGTTTTAGGTTTTGTTTAGAAATCGATTTTGTCTGATATACATATGGTTATTCCTGCTCTTTTTTGTTTTTTATTAGCATAGAATATCTTTTTTCCTCCCTTTATTTTCAGTCTGGCTGTCTTTTTAAGTGATGTATGTTTCTTGTAGGCAGCAGATCATTGTGTGTTGTTTTTCTATCCATTCAGGCACTTTATGCCTTTTGATTGGAGAGTTTGGTTAATTTACATTCAGGGTTTTTATTGATAAATAGATACTTACTCTGGCCATTTTGTTATTTGTGTTCTAGGTGTTTTGTGTCCTCTCTTCCATCTTTTCTTCTTTCCTGTCTTTCTTTTAGCAAAGATGATTTTCTTTGGTGGTTTATTTTCTTGCTTTTATTTTTGGTGTGTTTCTTATATGTTTTTTGATTTGAGGTTACCATGAGGCTTGAAAATAATATAACTCATTATTTTAAACTGATGTCAACTTAACATCGATTGCATAAACAAAGAAACAAGCAAAGTGAAAACTAATACAAACTCTATGCCTTAACTTCGTCCCCTTTCTTGCTTTTTAACCTTGTCCTGTCTCTATTGATAGCTTATTTTACTGTCTGTGAGTTGGAAGGTTGTTAGTATTTTTGATAGGTTCATCTTTTAGTGTTTGTACTCAAGATATGAGTAGTTTACACACCACAGTTACATGTTATAATATTCTGTGTTTTTCTGTTTACTTACTATTACCAGTGAGTTTTAAACCTTCAGATGATTTCTTATGCTCATTAATGCCCTTTTCTTTCAAATTGAAGAACTCCTTTTAACCTTTTTTTTTTTTTTTTTTTTTTTTTTTGGTGTTGATGAAGTCCCTTAGCATTTGTTTGTCTGGGAAAGTCTTTATTTCTCCATCATATTTATACAATATTTTTGCTGGATATACTAATCTAGGATAAAAGTTTTTTTTTTGTTGTTGTTGTTTTTCAGAACTTCATATATGTGATGCCACTCTCTTCTGGCCTGTAAGGTTTCCACCAGATGTATTGGAGCTCCTTTTCCTGTTATTTGTTTCTTTTCTCTTGCTGCCTTTAGGATCCTTTTCTTTCTTTACTTTGGGAGTTTGATTATTAAATGTCTTGAGGTAGTCTATGGGTTAAATCTGCTTGGTGTTCTATAACCTTCTTGTTCTTGAATACTGGTGTCTTTCTCTAGGTTTGGGAAATTCTCTGTTTTTATCCCTTTGAACAAACTTTCTACCTCTGTCTCTTTCTCTACCTCCTCTTTAAGGCCAATAACGCTTAGATTTGCCCTTTTGGGGCTATTTTCTGGATCTTGTAGGTGTGCTTCATGTTTTTTTATTCTTTTTTCTTTTGTCTCCTCTGACCGTGTATTTTCAAATAGCCTGTCTCCAAGCTCAGTAGTTCTTTCTTCTGCTTGATCGGTTCTGCTAAGAGACTCTGGTGCATTTCTCAGTATGTCAGTTTCATTTTTCAATTCTAGATTTTCTGCTGGATTCTTTTAAATTATTGCAGTCTTTTTATTAAATTTAGCTGATAGGATTCTGAATTTCTTCTTGGTATTTGTTATCTTGGATTTTGTTCACCTTCCTTACAACAGCTATTTTGAATTCTGTCTGAAAGGTTATGTATGTCTATCTTTCCAGGATTGGCTGGTGGTACCTTGTTGAGTTTCTTTGGTGAGGCCATCTTTTTCTGGAATGTTTTGATTCTTCTGCGTGTTCATCGGTGTCTGGGCATTGAAATGTTTATAGGTGTCTGGGCATTATTATTGTAGCCTTCACAGTCTGGACTTGTTTGTATTCATCCTTCTTGGGGAGGCTTTCCGAGTATTCATAGGGACTTGGGTGTTGCACTCTATGTCTTTGGTCATGGCATCTATATCTGCATTAGGGAGCACTCCAAGCCCAGTAATGCTGTGGCTCTTGTAGCCTCGTAGAGATACTACTTTGGTGGTCTTTGGTAAGATGCAGGAGAATTTTTTGGATTACCACACAGAGACTCTTGTTCCCTTCCCTTTCTTTTCCCCAAACAGAGTGTCTCACTCTGTGCTGAACTGCCTGGAACTGGGGTAAGGGTGACAAACACCCTTCTGGCCACCATTACAGGGACTGTGCTTGATCAGACCCGTACTCAGCACAGCACTGGGTCTTGTGCATGGCCTGCGGTGATCACTGTCTGGCTACTGCGTATGTTCACTCAAAGTCCAGTGGCTCTACAATCCACAGGTGGTGAGTCTAGCCTGGCTTGTGTCCTTCTTTTCAGGGCAGCGAGTTCCCCCCAGCCCCAGGCAGGTCCAGAGATGCTGTCCATGAGCCAGGGCCTGGAGCGAGGAACCTTAGTAATCTACTTAGTTCTCTGTTCTAGTGCAGCTGAGCTATCACCTAAGCTGCAAGGCAAAGTCCTTTCTGCTCTTCCTTCCCCTTTTCTCAAGCTAAGGAGTCTCTCCCTATGGCCTCACTGCCGCAGGGCTGTGGTGAGTATTGCCTGGCTATCATCAATGCTCACCCAAGGTTAAGGGGTTCTTTCAATAGCTTGTGGTTAATGTTGCCATGTCTGGGTGTCTCTCTTCAGGTAAGTTGGGTCCCCTGTGGCCCAAGGCAGGTCCAGAAATGCCATCCAGGATTCAAGGCCTGGAATTGAGGACCCCAGGTGTCCACTTGGTGCTCTACCCCAGTGTGTCTGAGTTGGTAGCCAAGCTGCAAGACAAAGTCCTCTTTACTCCTTTTCTTCTCCTTTTCTGAAGGAGGAGTCTCTTCCAATAGCCACCACAGCTTGGAATGTGCGGGGTTACACCGCAAGCCAGCTTGGCTCTGAGTCTCACCCAAGACCTGTAGTACATACTATTCAGGGCTCAAAGGCTCTTTAGTTAACAGTTGATGAATCTTGCCAGGACTAGGTCTTCCCCTTCAAGGCAGCACATTCTCTTCTTCCCCAGGGTATGTCTAGAAATGTCATCTGTGAGCTATGGCCTGGAATGGGGGCCTCAGGATTCTGCCTGGTGGCCTATTCTGCTGTGGCCGAGTTGGTATCCCAGTTGCAAGACAAGGAACTCTTTACTTTCCCATCTCCTCTCCTCAAGCAGAAAGAAGGAATCTCTTCCAGAGCTGCACCTGTTCTGCCTGGGATTAGGGGAGGAGTGACACAAGCACTTCCTTGGGCATCCTGGCTTGTGTCTCACCAGGTTGCGCGCATTTCAAGTACTCTGGCTCTGAGCCAAGCATAGCATTGAGGCTTGCCCAGGAATTACAGTTCTTGTGGCCTAGACTGCTTTTCAAGTTTATTTAGGACCCCAGGCTACTTTAGCCCATATTGACAGAGCTTGCCAGCACTCTAATTCCAACGACTGGGATGGACAGTTCACCTCTCACTATGGCTGGTCCAAATGTTCTCTGTCTGGGCCCTGGCTGAATTCTATCCCATTTTGCTTTTTGCTGCTACAGGGCAGCTCTGAGTTCCAACATAAAGTCCCACAATCACTGTACTTTCCCTCCCCCAAGTGCACAGATTCTGTCTCTGCACCACATGGCTGCTGCTGGGGGTTCAGGGAAAGGTGGTGTAGGTGATTCAAGATGATTTTCCTATTCTCTTCAGTGTCTCTTTCCTTAATGTGGTGTTAAAACTGGGTACTGTTATATTGCTTACCTGATTTGGGCTTTTCAAAGATGCATTTTTGTGTGGATAGTTGTTTAATTTGCTGTTCCTGCCAGGGGGATGATCACTGCAGGCTCCTATTTGGCCATCTTGCTCCGCCTTCCCTCTATGCTTTACTTTTTAACAGATTGCCAAATTATTTTCCAAAGTGGTTGTGCCATATTACAATTCTGCTAGCTGTGTATGTGTGTTCTAATTATTCCACATCCTCAGCAAAACTGTGCGTGGTCAGTCTTTTTAATTTTAGACATTCTAATAGGTATATAGTGGTGCATCATTGTGGCTTTAATTTACATTTCTCTGATAGCTAATGATGTTTCACATGTTTCCATCTTCTTATTTTTCACCTATATATATATTCCTTGGTGAAGTGTGTGTTTAAATCTTTTGGTTGTTTTGTATTGGGTTATTTTTCCCTTATGACTAAGTTTTTAGAGTTCTTTATATATTCTGGATTCAAGTACTTTAACACAGAGGTCCCCAGCTGGCTCATGGCCTGTTAGTAATTGGGATGCACAGCAGGAGGTGAGTTGTGGAGTAGCAAGCGAAGCTTCATCTGTATTTACAGCCACTCACCATCGCTTGCATTACTGCCTGAGCTCTGCCTTGTGTCAGATCAGCAGCAGTATTAGATTCTCATAGGAGCATGAACCCTATTGTGAACTATGCATGTGAAGGATCTAGGTTGCATGCTCCTATGAGAATCTAATGCCTGATGATCTGTCATTGTCTCCCATCACCACCAGATGGAACTGTCTAGTTTCAGGAAAACAAACTCAGGGCTCCCATTAATTCTACATTATGGTGAGTTGTGTAATTATTTCATTATATATGACAATGTAATAGTAATAGAAATATAGTGCACGGTAATTGTAATGCACTT
The DNA here is from genome assembly GCF_000001405.40 of Homo sapiens. Classification (NCBI taxonomy): domain Eukaryota; kingdom Metazoa; phylum Chordata; class Mammalia; order Primates; family Hominidae; genus Homo; species Homo sapiens. The sequence goes on from NC_000003.12 coordinate 158,261,934, forward strand.
GAATCATCTTGAAACCGTATCTTCTGCCACTCTGCAACACCTGCCCTCTGCACCACCCCTACCCAGCCCCATCCATGGAAAAATCGTCTTTCATGAAACCTGGTTCTTGGTGCCAAAAAGGTTGGGAACTGTTGCTTTAACAAATATATGCCATAGCTTTTCTTTCATTTATTAGTAGTTTTTGAGTTTTTTTATTTTGAGGAAGTCTAGTTTATTTCTTTGTTCTTTTATAGGTCATGTGTTTCGTGTTGATCTAAGATTTCTTTGCCTAATTTAAGGTCCAAAGATTTTCTTCTGTTTACTTCTACCAGTTTTATCATTTTAAGTTTGACATTTAGGTCTATGGTTTATTTGAGGTAGTTTTGAGTATGGTATAAGATATGGTTAATGTTCATTTTTTGTTTTTTGCATATTTAAAATTTAGTATTTTATGCATCATTTGTTGACAAGAGTATATTGAATTGCCTTTGTATCTTCGTAAAAAAAATCAGTTGTTCACAAATGTGTGGGTTCATTTCTAGACATTTTGTTGTTTTACACTGAAGTACTTGGAATCATGTGGTCTTAGCTCTCCAACTTAATTCTCTTCAAAGTTGTTTTGACTGTCTTAAGTTCTTTGTTATTACTACACAAATTTTATAATCATCTTGTCAGTTCTATAAAATATCCTGCTTTGATTTTTATTAGGATTGAATTGAGTCTGTAGATCAGTTTGGGGAGAATTGACATGTTAATAATATTGACTCTTTTAGCGCAGTAACAAGGTATATGTCTTTATTTATTGAGGTCTTTAAAATTTTTTTCACCAATATTTTGTAGCATATACTTTAGAAGGTCTCTGACATTAAAAAAATTTCCTGAAGTATTTCTTTTTGAAATTATTTATATATATTTAATATCAATTTCAGATTACTTATTGCTGATATACATAAATGCTGTTGAATTTTGTGTGTTCACCTTGTATCCTGCAGTCTCATTAAATTCACTTATACTTTTAGTAGCTTTTTTGTAAATTGAGGTTTTTACATATATGCTCATGTTGCCTGTAATAAAGACAGTTTTAATTCTTTCCAGTCTTGATGCCTTTTGTTTTTTCCTTGCCTGATTGCTCAGGCTAAGATCTCCAGCACAGCATTGAATAGAAGCAGTAAGCATGCCTATCTATGTCTTACTTATGATCTTAGGTAATATTCAGTCTTTTTCCATTATTTTGATGTTATCAAGATAATTTTAGTAGATTCCTTTTGACAGGTTGGGGAAGTGCCCTTTTAGTCCTAGTGTGCTGAGAATTTTTTAAGAAATGGTTGTTTTATTTTGTCAAATGCTTTCTCTGTGACTACTGAAACGATTATACTGCTTTTCTTTTTAAATTATTAATATGGGGAACTACATTGATTGAGTTTTGAATGTGAAACAACATTACATTTCTAGTATAAAACTCTACTTGGTCATGATATATTATTCTCTTTATATATTGTTGCATTTGCTTTGCTAATATTATGTTTAGAATTTTTGCTTCTGTTTTTATTTAGAACGTTGTTTTGCAGTCTTATTTTCTTATAATTCCTTTGTCTGTGTTTGGTGACAGGGTAATGCTGGCCCAAAGAATGAGTTGGGAAATATTTCCTTTTCAGTTTTTTGGAAGAGTGTGTAGAGAATTTGTATTATTTGATTATTAAATGTTTGGTAAAACTTAGGCATGAAGCCATTTGGGCCTGGATTTTTCTTTGTGGAAAGGTTTTTAGCTACAAATCCACTTTCTTCAGTAGATTAGTTGCTACTCAGTTTCTTATCAAATTGCTTACAAAAGTTCTTCTTGAGTGAGTTTTGATAGTTTGTGTCTTTCCAGGAGTTGGTTCATGTTACCTAAGGTGTTGAATTTATAAACATAAAGCTGTTTAGGATGTTCTCTTTTTATCCTTTTAGCGTCTGTAGAGTCTACACCGATGTCACTTCGTTTATTTCTTATATTAGTAATTTGTTGTTACTGCTTTTTTCTCATTAGTTTGGCTAGAAATTTGTCAGTTTTATTGATGTGCTTAAAGAACCAGCTTTTGTTTTCATCGATTTTTCTCTGTAATGTTTCTGCATTCTATTTCATTTCTTTCCACTTTGAACTGTTTTATTTTTCTTTTTACTGCTTACTTTGGGTTTAATTCTCCTCTTCTTCTAGTTTCTTAAGGTATAAGCTGAAACCTTGATTTCCAGCCTTTCAGCTTTTCTCATGTAGGCGTTTAGTATTATACATGTATTTCTTTAGCAGCATCCCACAAATTCTGATATTATGTTTTTGTTTCATTGAATTTAAATAATGTCTAATTTTCCTTTGATTTGTTCTTTCTCCATGGGTTATTTAGAAGCATGGCATATAGTTTCCAAATTTTGGAAGAGTTTCTAGATATCTTTTTGTAACCTATTTCTAATTTGATTTCATTGTGCCAAAAAGCATACTTTGTATAACTCGAATCCTTTTAAATGTATTTAGACTTCTTTTATGGCTCAGAATAGCTCTATTTTGATGAATGGTTTGAATAAGTTTTGTATTCTGCTGTTCTTATGTGGACTGTTCTCTAAGTGTCAATTGGGTCACGCAGGTTGATGGTGAAGTTCACATCTACTATGTCCTTTCTGATTATCCACTTGTTCTATCAAATATTGAGAGAATATTGGAAATCTCCAACCATTATACTGGATTTGTCTGGATAGTTTTTCAATCCTATGAACATTCTTAAGCTTTGTTCTGAGATGCAGCTAAGTTCCTTGGAAACAGTTTTGTGCCCTTAAGTCTTGCTTTTATGATTTGTTTGGTGGGTGTCGAGTAGTGCTCAGTGTAGTGCTAACCATTCCCCACAACTGAGGAATGAACGTCCTGGGTATTTTAACCTATGCCTTATGAGTTATGAGTTTTTCCTGTCTGGCTTGTTGGAATGGGCACTATTTCTCACTTTGTATGACCACCAGGCAGTAATCTCCAATTCTTTGAAATTGTGTTTTCTTTTGCCTTTACAGGCATGTGCTAATTAGTACTTTGCTGACTATTTGAAGATTGCCCTGATCTGTCTCTGTGCTGCTCTCTGGTCTGCCATACACACTCTGTCTTGTGAACTCTTAACTGCCTTGGTCTGCCTGGACTGCCAGCTCTGACTCTGCAAATCCAGGAGTTTGCCAAGCTCTACTTGAGTTCTCCTCTGTTGCACTGGGACCTGTAATTACAGGCCTTCATACTTTGTTTCTTAACTCTCAGTAGTTACTATTTTTTGTTGCCTAATTTCCAGGGTTTTGCACAACATTAAAAAATACATTTTGGAATTTTTTTCTTGTTGTTGCTGGTTTTGGTTGTTCCAGGCAGAAGTATAAATGTGTTCTGTTTACTTATCTTGAACCAAATCTTTTGCCCATTTAAAATTTTACTCCAGGCTGGGTACAGTGGCTCATGCCTGTAATCCCAGCACTTTTGGAGGCCGAGGTGGGTGGATCACCTGAGGTCAGGAGTTTGAGACCAGCCTGGCCAAGATGGTGAACCTCTGTCTCTACTAAAAATACAAAAATTAGCCGGGCGTGGTAACGGACACCTGTAATCCCAGCTACTCAGGAAGCTGAGACAGGAGAATTGCTTGAAACCGGGAGGCAGAGGTTACAGTGAGCTGAGATCATGCCATTGCTCTCTAGCCTGGGTGACAACAGTGAAACTCAGTCTCAAAAAAAAAAAATTTTACTCCAATCTTAAATATGCTTTTTGAGGAACAAAAGCTATGACTTTTTTTCCGCCACTTGTAAGCTAACAATTTAAAAAGCTATTACTTTTGATAAATTGCAATTTATCAGCTTTTTTCATTCTTAATGTTTGCTAAAACCTGTCTACCTCAAGGTCACGAAGATTTTCTTCTAGTAGTTTCATAGGATTAGTTTCTATATTTATGTCTGTGATCATTTTGACTTATGATGTGAGGTAGGGATGATTTTTTTTGTCATATACAGATGCCATTTATTTCAGTGCCACCTTTAAAACACTTTGCCATGTTGATTGAATTCCCACTGAAGCCTTGATAATTTAGCAAAAATAAATTTCCTATATATATGGGTCCTTTTCTGGTCTTTGCATTCTGTTTTATTTATCTATATATCTCTTATTTCATCCATACCAACAGTATAGTACAGTATGATTATTATGCTATGAAGCAGTTGATTTTTAAAGGTGGTTTATCAAAATTAATAGTGTTTGTTCTTGGAAAAACACAGAATCTTATTGTTTCTCTGTAGTCCATTTGTTTTCTTTTTCATCATTTTTTCTCTTTAATTTTTTCCCTTACTCTCTACTCATTTTAGGTTTACTTTGATCTTTTTGTAGCTACTTAAGGAGGAAACTTGATTATTAATGTAGATCTCTTTTTCTAGTAAAGACATTTAAGGCTATAAATTTTCTGTAAGCACTACTTTTAATTGTTATATATTTTGAGCTTATGTAGATGTTTTATTGTTGATGAATTATAATTTCATTCTGTTGTATTCAGAAAGTATGCTTTGTAAGACAGTCTTTTGAAATATATTTATTTATTTTAGTGTTCTACACTTGGTTTACTTGAAAAGAGTGAGCTTCTTGGCGGTTGTTGGGTGTAGTTTATACTTTTTATCATTACATTTTAATTTTTTTATTGGTTTTAAAGCTGTATCACCTTGTTTTATTTTTAGTTGTTCCTCTACAAATTACACCTTAAACTTAACTTGTTAAAATGCATCTTTAGTTTATTCCATTCTACTTTAACTTATCCCATTATATTTATCCTAAGCAAAAGTGTCTTCATTTCACCTTCTTTTTTTTCCCCCTCTTTTTGATACAGGGTTTCACTCCTGTTGCCCAGGCTGGAGTGCAATGGTATGATCTCGGCTCCTCCAAGATCATATGATCTGCAGCCTCCGCCTCCTGGGCTCAAATGATTCTCCTGCCTCAGCGTCCTGAGTATCTGAGACTACAGGAACACACCATTGTACCCAGCTAATTTTTGTATTTTTTGTAGAGACACTGTTTCGCTGTGTTGCGCAGGCTGGTCTCAAACCCCTGAGCTCAAGTGATCCATCTGCCTTGGCCTCCCAAAGTACTGGGATTACAGACATGAGACAGCATGCCTGGCCTATTTCACCTTCAGTTTTGAATGATAGATTTTACTGTCATTCAAATATGGATGTATTATTGATTGACAATTTTTTTCTTTCCTCATCACTTTGTATTGGTTGTTCCAATGCCTTCTGGCTTTCATAGTTTCTGAGGAAAAGTTAGCTGTAATCTTATAATTGTTCCAGTATATACTGCATCTTTGTTCTCTGGCCTCTTTCCAGGTTTTCTTTTTATCTTTGGCTTTCAGAAGTTTGACTATCATGCGTGAGAGTGATTTTTGTTCATGTTTAGCCAAACTGAAAAGCTCACTTTTCAGTGAGCTTTTTGTCTGTGTAAATAAATGTTTTCCCCCAAATTTGAGAACTTTTATGCTATTATTTCTTCAGATATTCTGTTTGTTCATTTGTTCTTTTTCTCTTGGTGGACCTTACACATATGTTGGACCACTTGCTATTGTCCTACAGATCTCTTGAGGTCCTCTTCATTTAAAAAAATTTTTTTTTCTTGTACTCCAAATTGAGTAACTTATGGTGGTCTTTCTTTAAGTTCACTGATTTTATTTTTCTGTTTTCTTTCTTGAGCCCATTTCATGAATTTTTTTAAATTTTGCTTTTACCTTTAGAATTTTCTTTTTGAAAAAATATAGTTTCCATATCTCTGATGAGATTTCCCATCCATTCATTGACACTATTTTTCCTTCAATATTTAAACAATTTATAATAGCTGCCAATAAATATTTATGTGATAAAACTAATATCTGGTTCACTAATAGTTTTGATTTACTCTTTTCTTATGCTGTTTGTTTCCATATCTATTTTTTTTTTTTTTTTTTGGCTTAAAAAACATTATAGCCACTCTGGATTCAGCTGTATTCTCCTGGGGATTATTGTTTTGTTTTATTTTTGTACTTTTCTCACCTGAAACTATAAAGATCCTCTTCCTTCCTATAGGTACTGTCTAATATTTCTGTACTGTTAGGACTTCCCATTGTTACATTTTTAGACTGGCTCTGTGGCATAGTCTTTTCTGTTTCTATGTAATTTTATTGTCAGCTAAGAATTTAAGTAGAGATAGAGCTCACTCTGTCTGTTTTGCTTCTGTGGTTGATTGCTTCATTTTCAGCTGCTCTGCCAGCTTTACAATGTGTCCTCAGATACTTCAAGTTCATTCTTCTTCACCTTTCTACCACCAGAGATGCACATATTTGGTTAATACACTTAATTTAAAAACGCATCAAAGGTATATTTCTCTCTAATCTCTGGCTACTTTTTGCTGGATTCCCTGAAAATTTCCCCTGAGTATGTGTAATTTAGCTGTTAGTCAAGGGTTTTGACTTAATTTATATTCAGATTTGGATCATACTGTTGCTGTGGTTCTCTTCCTGCCTGCATTTCCGTTTTACATTTTTTCTGTTCTTTTAGCCCTGAACTCTGATTCTGGAACCTTGAACCCAAAGGCTGGGGTCTTCTACTATTGTGTTTCTGCAGCCATAGCCATAGGAGTGTCCCAACACCAGAAAATAATAAAACAATAAATATAACAGTAACTCTTCACTTCTAAGTGAGATTTTTGTGATTAGACTATTTGTGGCGGCTTTTTGGATTCTGTTTGGTGTCCATAAATACATTTTTTACCATGTTACTTAGTTATTATAATTGTTTTCTGTCAGCAGTTTTGTTCTGCCACTCCTTCACTATTAGTCTTAATTTTAATTTTAAGTTACATTAAAACAAAACCTTTAAAGATACTGTGACTTGAGATAATTTTTATACTAAAGTTTAAATTTATATCTCTATTGCAGATCATTTATAAATGCATAGAATTCTTGAACACTTTTGTTAATCATAGTAGACTTTCTCTGTTATCTTAAACATTGAAAATATATTATTTGAGGTATTTACCTTTCATTGAAAATACATAATTATATGAGACTGTCATCTCCCCATAACCAGATTGAAAAAGGTTATAACCTTAAAGTTTTGCTACTTAAGTAGGCAGCAAATAAAGGATATTGTTTTGATTTTTATTTCTTAAATATCATTAAGGTTGAGAATCTTTTTATAGAATAATAGATCATTTATTTTTTTTCTTGCTGAATTGCCAGTTAATTTCCAGTTTTAATTATTCTGTTGTTCACCTTTTTAAATACTACTTTGGTTTTTAGGACCTCTTCATGAATATGGGCATTCGTTTCAGATATGTTTAAAATATCCAAGTATGTGCCTAAATGATATTTACAAAATTATTTCATTCGTTTACTTCATTTAAATTTTTGTGGTAAGCCTAATGTTAGTTTATGGTGTATGATATATGAGAATCTTCTTGAAGTTTTATCATATTCTCAAATTTTGAAGGCATTTTAAATATTTCATTCCTACATGCTAATTAAGTTTATCTCCCTTCTACCTTACTCATTTGACGATGAAGTTTATTTTCCCCACTACCATGCTTTTAGTATTTTCAGAAAACAGATTTTTTTTTTTTGGAGTCAGAGTCTTGCTCTATCACCAGGCTGAAGTGCAGTGGCACAATCTCGGCTTACTGCAACCTCTGCCTCCCGGGTTGAAGTGACTCTCCTGCCTCAGCCTCCCGAGTAGCTGGGACTACAGGCATGTGCCACCATGCCCAGCTAATTTTTGTATTTTTAGTAGAGACAGGGTTTCACCATGTTGGCCAGGATGGTCTTGATCTCTTGACCTCGTGATCTGCCTGCCTTGGCCTCCCAAAGTGCTGGGATTATAGGTGCCTGGCCCAGAAAACAGATTTCTTATTTTACCTGTTCTTAAGGAGTTATTCCCTTATTTTTTTTCTTTTGATATCTTGAAGATATCAGAACAAGAACAACAAGAAAACATTTCTTGGCTTCTAATGTAATTTATGAAGAACTTCTTTTAACTGAAGAAATTGAAAGCAAATATTTACTATGTTAGTAGATATCCCTGTAAGTTAGAAGCTGTATTTCTGTAGACAGAAGATTTTGTTTCCTGGTATCAGTGTGAGTAATGGATAGGAGCAACTGCATACATGATTCAAGACACCAGGTTGCTTGTTGGAACCCGCTTGTGACTCTCGGTAAAGCTTTTGTCCAAGGCTTGTGCTATTCCTCAAACACTCTTCATTGCTGTTCCAATGGTTGACGTGTAGGAGATCCATCATACTCCCTGCTGCCTTTGCTGCTGTGTTTGCTTAAAGCTAACCCCAGGGATCTAATAAGGGAAGGAGGCTGCAGCAGGGCAGCTTGAAGTTGAAAGATCAAACATTTCTACCTCCCGAGTTAACCATGATCTTGGAACCCGACAAAAGGATAGGGTACCCCAATGATAGGGTGACTTTAGTGTCCTCACCCTGTATGGGGACTGATTCACAATACTAAGCTCTAATGGAATTGCGCTGTGCCAGTAGCTTTGTGTTTGTAGGGTTCTTTAGGAATTTGTAATGTCACAGATTGGTTTTACATATTGTAGTCATGTATTTCAATTGTAATTTATTGAGCATACCATAATATGCTCACTGTTTACTTGCTGTGTTAACATGTTTGGTACTAAGGGTTTAAAATTTGGAATAATAAGGTTTCCTTAACATTATTGTCATTTTATAATATCATGCAAGCTTTTTAGAAATTTAATAGATTTAAGCATGGCATTTATGTTTTAAGTTTCCTGGTTTTCTGCTATAGCTTAAATTTTATAAGGACTTTAAAATATACAGATTCATTATAATTTATTTGCAATGACAAAGTTTAGACTACTAATCTAAAATTTAAATATTAGTGATCAAGTCTATCTGATAATGTAAAACTTTCTGAACTATTTTCCTATACATTTTTTCCTCCATCTTTTTACAATTTATTTTAAGAATAGGGATAATTTTTACCTTTTAGAGGATAAATGATTAGTCATACTGGAACTTGAAAGAATTGGGTGAACTTAGGCTGCTCCAGAAAGACTTCTCCCTTTTATAAAAGGATTATCCCCGTGTCATATTGAATTCATGAAATCATCTGAATTTTAAAATTTAAGTATGTAGCCTTTGTAGTCATAAACATGAATGTTCTAACTTCTTAAAGCTTTTGGATACAAAATACACTAATTTTTTTGAAGTAATGATTTTAGAAGGACTTTAAGTCCTTCATAGACATTTGTACTATGAGTTTTACAAATCCACATTTTCCTCTAATAAGGGATTATAAAAGGATTAAAAGTCTTGGCTGGAGATTATGATTTACATAGGCAATATATAGCAATATTGTTTCCTGAATTGAGGGAGTAGGTGGGGAAAGATTAATTGTTGTTATTGTTAAATAGACTTGAATAATAAGTTGTGATTCATACACAGATGGTTCTTATAAATTTACACTGATGTTGGATGGATTTGATGGATACAGGCCTGCATGAGCAGTCAGAGTAGAGATTTTAATATTCTTTTACTCTCATAGACTATAGTTTAAAGATGGCCTAATTGTCTATTACTAGTAGATGCATGTAAGTCTTTGCACCATATATTTTTTTGTATGAAGCAAAAATATATTTGCTTTTTTAAATATATAGTTTCAATATTTTTGCAAAAATAATTATATAGCTATCTTACCTACATTTGTTTGTAAAATTAAGTTACATCATGAAATAGTAAAAACTTTTATAATGCTTTTTGATAAATGCATTATAAAGATAACATCTAGCTAAAATTCATTTTCATTGAACTAGGAATAATTTGGAAAGGTATTTTAACCTTTTTAGGTGTACAAGTCATTATGAACACAACAAGAATTAAATATGAAATTTTAAGCACCTGCATTTCACCCAGAATATAGGTGAGTAATCTAAGAAAGTGACATGAGTTACCATGAGATAAGGAGGAGATTGGTTAATATTAGTCTTTTGAGTATAATAGCATTGTATTTGCATATAATCATTTTAATAATTTTTGTTTAATGTGCATTGATAATTTAAAACATGAAACTGCTTTTGCACTTTTCTCATATGCCAATTTGTTGTTTTTTTTTCCAAAGGATTAAGGGCCTAAAGGAATAGAGGAAGTGAATGGACACTGATGTTTCAAAATATCTCATTTTGCCTAAAAGCAAGTACCGGCAGATAAATGCCCATAAAGGGATTTCTTTCTTAAGCCCCGTGGATTTTTTCCCTGCACAACTTTTTGTGTGAGTTAGAAATGAAAACCATTCATCTAGTGCCCCAAAGAACGGCCTTATTGAATGGAATAACAGTGTAATGTACCATTGAAGGCAGGATTGAAAGTGATTATCTTGTTAACTCTTGACAGTTACCGCCAGCTTGAAATGGAACCGGCAGGCTTGATTTGCAAATGAATTAGAGCTTTTTCATTTTGTGCCAGGATCATCTTTTTATATTCTGATATGACAGATGCTATGTTCCAGGCTTTTGTTTTTCTTCCGATTTATACTTGCAAATAAAAAACAAAAGATTATTATAGTCATTTTATTTGCATCTTTTCTTTTGGAGTTTATTCTTTGTGTAGAAGTTTTTAATCTTATGTTTTTCAAAAAAATTTTTAATACTAGTATTGTTTTTTCCAGAATTAAATTTGATTAATTTAAGTACAGTAGTAACTGGGGGAAAAGGAAGATTATATGGGCTTTCAAGAAATAGAAAATAGTTGCAAAACAGAATATTATAGTTAGTAAAAACTGAAACTTTTGGCTAAATTTAATAGCTTTTATTTCCCTTGATAACTATTGATGTAAATTCAAACTCTGGAGATGTTTGAAGAACAGTACAAGAAACTCCCATATACCCTTTACATAGATTTATCAGTTATTTACATTTTCTACCCATTTATTTTATTATCCTTTCCTCCCTCTCCTCATCCAACTGTTATAAATGTGTTTTTTCTGAACTAAAGGAGAATATATTGGAAACATTGTTCCCCTTTACTAAAAAATGGTATATATAAGAATAAAAGCATTGTCTTATATAACTATGAGTACTAGCTTTTGAGAGGTTAAAAAAAAGAACCTGTTTTTGTGTTTTTATCTTCTGATATTAGTGGAAATTAATTTGCAGGTTTTAATCCCCTCTGTCATTATGCTTCTATTTATATTCAGGAATCATCTCAATGACGTATAGCAATTTCAATGCATTGTTAATGTATAACTTATAAACCTGGAACTTCGTTTTATTAGTTCAGATAGTTTTTATTATTGGAGGGTTAATATAGTTAAAACTTGCATATTCCATTTAGTATTAAATGTTCAAGGTAGTAAACATACCTGGCCCTAGTCTAAGTCATACACATTTTCCATTCATAAAGGTCTTTACACATACATATACACACACAGATTCATCTTCTTGTGGAAATAAGCTAAATATCTTTTATTTGTTATTTATGGATTCAAAATGTAAGGTCCTGTAAGTCTATTTTCTTTTTTCTTGTAAACAGTCATATTTTCTTCTGTTGTATAAATCTTAATAAAATATGGAACTCACGGATAAATTATCCCCCATTCTATCGCAATGGCTTTTCAGTATGAATGTTAGCACTGAGGCCTATTTCCTGTAATACGAAGTCTAGCCATTCAGAACATGTATTATATTGATATGATATATTGAGAACCTTTATGAAAATGTCAGTGTGTTTATAAGGTCTGATTAATTGGATTGGTAAGCATCCCCATACTGAATAAGTATTACCCTAAGTCTACTTTCTTTGAGTTAAAACATGATAATAATCTTGGAGGGAAAATATGTAGAACCAGTTGAGAAGTAAGCAGGGACATTTCTTAATATTCAATCTTTGGATTCCATTCATTCTCTCTCCCTCTGTCTTTCTCTCACTCTTACTCTCTCAGGCTCTCTTTCTCATCGTAGTTGCTTGAGTCATGTTTGCTAACTGTATCTTTGTGAAATGTATAGTTGTTTTTACAGTGTAACACTACACAGATTTAAGTGTTAAAAATTTTATCATAAACATGGTAATGACCCTATAAAATAACTTAAAACTGAAACATTCAGAGTGCTTCCTCAGTGTTGCCCATTTGGAAACCGAAGCCATTTGGCATTGTTTATGTATTTTAAGAATTCTGTTTATGTATTCTTTAATAGATAAAGAGTATCCATATAATGAATGAGATTTAAACAGTGTTTTTAATGTTTAGAAATATGAATTTTAGGGGTATGCTGAAGTGCTGAGAACATGTTTGGGATTTCATATAACCTGTTCTATAAAAATTCAATGCCTGTAAAACTGATTATTCAACATTATGTTAAATTATCTTTAATTAATGAAGAAAAAGCCATTTTTCTCCAGTGTACTGGAATGTTTCTTTCTGATTTTGCCAAGGTTAGTCTTTTTTTTTTTCTTTTTAGTTTAATAGACATTTATTCCTTTAGTTGAACAACCTCTACACAATCAAAATGTATGACTTAGGATCTTTTCTTTTTTTTAAGAAGAAATTTAGGTCTCAAGAACTTTTATGAACTTGCTATGAGTACTTTCTGGAAATCAATTAACTAAGCCTTTTGAAACCCCTAGAGAAGATAGGAGAAAATCGGTTCAGAGAAGCAAGCATTTAAATTAAGTCAGCAAAGTCAGAATTGAGAATTGGACAATTCCTTGTCTACATTTCCTTTACACTCAAACTCAACCTGGAAAACAGTAGCCTAGTCTCCTGGAAGCCGTGATGGAAACAGAAATGCAATGTGGTGGTATACTTTCACTGAAAGTGGACACACAAGTGATGGCCCAACTTTGTGGAATGGTAAGGATTTTTAGGGTAGTTTGGCCAGGAACAAGAGAAATAACTGCAGAAAACACATATGGTTGGAAACCATGCACTTGTATGACTTTTTCTGTAGCCTATGGGAATACACACAGTGGGTAACCCAAGATGTTTTTAAAACTGAATAGACTAAGAATGATGTACTTACAGTCAACTACTCCCCACCCCCCAGCAATGTGACTGAAGGGTTTCATAATGATCACAAATTAGTGTTATTGTTACATATTTTAAGATTGACTTCTAAGCTCACACTTGAAAGGTATTTATCTAATGGCCACTGGCTCACCAGCTTCCCACCCTAGCATATTGATTGCTAGCTTACCAACCTTAAGGCTAATAATTTTATCTAACATTCAATTTCAAAACATACCAGTGTTAATACCACTACCATTAACCATTGAATGCCATGAAGCCATGGCACTGAACCAGGAGCTTTCACCTTTTATGTGAACTTAAAATGGTACTGTGGAGACAGAGGCAGTTTTCCTCAGGCTAACCCAGATTTGTCCCCATAATTTTCTAAATATAATCATGACATAGTTAAGATGTCCTCCTCCCACCCTACAATTTTTAAAGCGAAGCCCAATTTAAAAAGTCTGTACCTGCCAAAATGAAAAACCCAGCTACTTGAAAGTAAACCAGCAGAGCATTGCCATCATCCCAGTAAAGCTGCAGGTTTCATCACATGCACCAGACAAATCTACAGAGCTAGTTTCAGTACTCCTCTTTTAAAGAATTTATTTTAAACCTATTATACTACACAGTATGTCTTATATACTGACATATAATTCCCTAATAAGATAAAGCAAAGACAAAAAAGTTTATCCTATTAGAAACAAGACACACCATCACTTATTGTCTTCAAACATTATTGCACTTTAACTTTCTTAATTTGATATTCATGAAATAATCTGCAGACTAGTTTTAACAGACAAATAACACCTGTAAGCAGACATGACTGCCCTAAATAGTTTATTAGGTATGAATTTTACAAACTTTACCTATATTAGTGATAACAGTGGAGCTGGAGAGTATTGCGCCTTCTCCAAGCTGCCTGGCTAGAACCACTAATTGTGTGGTGGAACTTATGGCCCTTTCAAAGGCCACGGCTCTTTTGGCCTGCAGATGTGAGCCCACACATTTCCCTGTGCTTGTGGACTGGTTCGGTGATCCATGGGTGTCAGGATTTCTTCTGATAGTATTATGGAATGGATTAATGAGGATAGCCTCAAAAAATTTCTATGTGGGATCTTCACCAACCCAGTAAGAATTCAGGACTCTTAGAGCCCCACAGTGGCGTCCAGCTCACTCCTCTGCAACGGACTGAAGCTGTGAGCAAACTTTAGCTGGTTAACACCATGATGGACAGGCTTGCCATATGTTGCACCCTTAGGAACTGGGCATTTTCGGCCACCATGGCGAATACGAATCCTATATATAATGTAACCTTTCTTGGCCTTGCAGCCCAGTCTGCACAATTTATCAGGCCAGATGGGGTGGGGAGCCCTGTGGAGAGCAGAGAGCTGGCGGTACTGCCAGCAGCAGACCCTCAGAAGAAAGCGCATGATGACATCAGGCTGCTTTCTCCATAGCTCCTGGATGTGCTTGTATGCACCCATCTTGGCTTACTTGATGGCTGCCGCCAGACAGAAAGGCGCCAAGGTTAGCCTTTAGATAGAATAATTAACATTTGTCTTTTTTTCATGTTACCCCTCTTTTCTCAAACTCTCAGTTTGTAAAGAGTTGAATTGATGTTGTGGAAGACAAAATTTGTCTCCTTCAGTATTTGTCTTATTGGTCCTATACTTTATTTATTTTTTTAAATAATCATTTTCTTTAGTTTTTCGACCAGTATTTTTATTACCTAAAATTAATACAATATTACCTTTTTTGATAGCAGACTAAAAGCAGATGGAAGAAGTTGATGATGTTCTCAACTTTTAGATTTAGCTCTCCTTGTATTTTGTTGCATGTTATTTCTTAACTTATATCTGTCATTTGGATTTTGAAATGCTATCAATATTTATCTTAGTGATTGTCATGCAAATATCAAAATGAGAAGAATACAACACATCTCTTTTTGCCTCTGGCTTCCTATCCCCCCATTTCCTAAAGTCAAAATAACCTCATATGGATATATAGTTTGAACACAATTAGAATTTAAATGATTTAGACCAGAGATCAGTAAACTTTTTCAGCAAAGGGCTAAACAGTATATATATATTTAGGTTTTGTGGGCTAAGAGGCAAAATTGAAGGTATCCTGTAAACATAAATCTATAACAAGAGAGAAAATATATGTCCACAGTTTTTGGACAAAATTCAAAGTATAATAATAATTATTGAGCACAACTTTGTGTAATTAAAATGCATGAATTTAAAAAATGGAATTCCTTTTGGGGAGCTAGCACTTTACTTGATTAGGGTTCTAAATTAATGTTCATTGTTATCAGAATTGATTACAAACATTTATCTTTTAATGCTGATCTGTAATGAGATTTTAAACATTTCACCTTTGAAAATGTCTTCACACAGATAGGTATTGCCAAATTTGATTGCAATCTATGATCATATTCATTGCTTGAAAGGCATTTATAAAATTCTGTTAGATTCTTTTCTTGATTTTTGTCTTTTAGTTATTATACTGCAGATTAATCACTTCCAATTGAAGTAGAAGCTCCTCAATTGTGCAGTTAAGTGGACTTGTGAATATGGAAATTTTCTTTACACTTGCATTAAAGGCAGAAAAATACTGCTGGAAGTGTAATTTGAGGTCAAAAAACATACTCCTTGAAATGTGTGTTGGAATGAATATCTTCTTTAACTTTGACAGCATGGGAAGTATATAAAGCAGTTTGACATTACTTTGTGATTCAAGCAACATCAGTTGTTACTGAAATGGCTTTACTGTTGGATGAATTTTGCATATAAGCACCATTTTGCCTTGTAATTTTAGGTTGAGCTCATTAAAATTTATTTTTATTTATTTATTTTTTGTTTTAGAGACAGCATCTCACTCTGTGGCCAGGCTTATATACTGTGGCAGGATCATGGCTCACTGCAGCCTTTGGAACTCTTGGACTGAAGCAATCCTCTCACTCAGCCCCCACCTAGTAGTTGGGATTATAGGCATGAGCCCCTGTGCCCACCTAAGGAGCATTTTTATGTCTACTGCTGAAGCTAAAAGTGGTTTAGGATAAAAGTGGTTGAGGGGGTTCTTCTCAGTCAGAAAAATTTCAGTATTGATCCCTAATGTGAAACATCACAACTAGACTTTACCACTGTTAAGCCATCAAACTGCTGCCATGTGTTGGAATAATCAGGATATTCAGCATCTGTATCTGTCAAAAAAATCATACAACCAACAACGGACAAGTCCACAAGAGCAAGTGAGGTTCACTGTTGACACTTCTGATTAAATACCACATTTTACATTCAGATGTTTTTACAAAGTTTTTGCTGATGAATAATGCAGGGAATAACTGTAGGCTTTAAATTTTCGTAGACTTACATTTTCACAAGCTTTGTAGATTTGTCCAACTAAGCCTCTTTCCGCTCTCTGTTGTTAACTACCATGATATATAACACATCTTAGCAGATTCCACATCAGGTTGTACTGAATGAGTGTTTTCTCAATTTTGTTGAAAATATTCTCATGTTCTATGCATAATTTTCATGGAGGCTAATTCTTAAGTCATTCCACACTCAGCACTGACTCCTCAAATAAACAACTGAGCAGTATCTCTGACATCTGTGGACTCATGAAAAACCAAGCAAAACCGCTTGGACTCATTTGCCTTATCTCTTCACTGGACATGTTGATGATATTCCCTGTGTCTTCAACAGTTTGAACAACTGTTCTTGCTAAAAGTCTAATAGTTTTTAAGCAAGTTTATTTTCTCTGGACACATTTCTTTGACTGCATTCAAACACTAATTAAGTCATCTTTGGTAAATGGCTTTCATTGATTGGTTGACAAATACAACACTCAGAAACTCATTTTTATTTTTTTATTTTTGTGAAGAAATTCTGCTGTGATGAGATACTCCATTTTAAATGTTCTATTTTTTTGGACTATTGCTTTCCTGTGAGTTGGAAATACTATAAAGAGTGTTCAGTCAAGTATATATTATTTTTAAAAATCAACATATATGCTATTTTTCCAGCACAGCTGTAATGCCATTGTATAATAAGCACAATGAATTGCCATTTAATTTGATAAAATAGTCCACACTTCACTGCGCCTTAAAAATGACAGTTGAAGGCTCCTTTTCTATTCTTTTCTCATTTTGATATGATTCTTATACACTGGTATTAAAAATTAAATGTCACATTACAGCAATTCATAAGGCCCTTGAAACTGCGTTTAGTTATGCTATGTTACTGTGATTTTTTGTGTGCCTTGAGCAGCAATGCAACCTAATGAGAGTGCCATCCGTGATTTCTGTTGCAACGCCTCAGCTATTGTTAATCGCATTAAAGCAGCCATAGAAATACACAAAAGAATGAGTGTGGCTGTTTCCCAACAAACCTTTATATAGTGACACTAAAATATCAATTTCAGTAATTTTCATGTGTCAGGAAATGTTATTCTTTTGATTTTTTCCCAGACATTTAAGAATGTAAAAACTGTTTTAACTCATGTTCTGTACAAAAACAGGAAATAGGCTGGATTTGGCCTATGGGCCGTAGTTTACTGATCCCTGATTTGTACTTTCGGCTCAATAGAATAAGCTAGCGCACTTTTAAATTCTCCATTGGCCTTTAAATATTACTAATAAAAATTAGGTGAAAACTACCATAAATTGAATATAGGTTATTTTTTATTTTATGCAAGCAGATATAAAACCATTTATTGTGAGAAAGTAATTCCTAGAAGAATCTTCATTTGTACTGTCACTTTATGTGAACTAGAATAAAACAAAAGTCTTTCTTATATGCAGTGGTATTTCAAGCCTCTAGGACTTCCCCCATGCCACTTCCTCTTTCCTAGATGTAAGTTGTGCTTATTGAGCTTAGATTCTATTAGGAAGGATTGCAAGTAAATAAATAAATGTAGATTATGTGGAACTATTGGGTAGCTTATGTAATCAGTGGGACTCTGGGAAACCAGGTTGTGAAAACTGACAGGAAAAGAAGACTGGTCAGCTGGTGTTACTGCCTGTGTATACCATGGTATCAGTAGAGGTAGTATGCAGGCACTGACCACCAGCGCCTCTGACATTGCTGCCACTGGACTTAAGCTCTGTTGCCACTATCACAGAGAATAATCTTTTTATTCTTGTCTTTCATTAACTCTTTATTCAAATTTCCTAGTATAATTCATGTCATCCTATATTTGGAATACTTTGGATTCAAAGCTCACCGA
Organism: Homo sapiens; assembly: GCF_000001405.40. Lineage (NCBI taxonomy): Eukaryota > Metazoa > Chordata > Mammalia > Primates > Hominidae > Homo > Homo sapiens. The sequence continues at coordinate 158,280,170 of NC_000003.12, forward strand.
ATTTGGAATGGTATTCAGATTCTGGGTAGCTTAAGAAGTATAACAAATACACCCAAGAAGAAGGCTGTAGCGAGCGAGCATGACAGTGGAATAAAATGAGAGAAGAATTCCTTGAGCAATTCTTGTTTTCCTTTGATTCTGTCTTATAGGTCCCTGTATTAACTTCTGAAATATTTTTCATATCACATATTTACTAATTAATTAAACTATTAGTAACTAATGATTAGGTACTAATTATATATTTGTGCGTTGGTTTTTATACCTGTCTTTAAGCTCCACATGACCTGGTATATGTTGTTCATAATTGTATCCATAATTCCTATCACAGAATCTGGCCCAGAGATAGTACTCAGTAATAGTTGTTGAATGAATAAATAATGTTTATGTGTGTGTGTGGTGGGGGGCAAATCATGATGGCTATGGTGAAAAGGAATTGAAGGGTTTTGAGCTCAAGAATGAAGTGATTCCTTTTTTTTTTTTTTTTTTTTTTTTTTTGAGACGGAGTCTTGCTCTTTTTCCCAGGCTGGAGTGCAGTGGCGTGATCTCGGCTCACTGCAACCTCTGCCTCCTGGATTCAAACAATTCTCCTGCCTCAGCCTCCTGAGTAGCTGGGACTACAGGTGCATGCCACCACGCCCTGCCAATTTTTTGTATTTTAGTAGAGACGGGGTTTCACCCTTTTGCCCAGTCTGGTTGCGAACTCCTGAGCTCAGGCAATCCACCCACCTTAGCCTCCCAAAGTGCTGGGATTACAGGCATGAGCCACCGCGCCTGGCCCAAAGTGATTCATTTTTATAAGATTAGACTGGCTGTTTTGCAACAGGTGGATGAGAGTGAAACAACGGCAGAAGTGGTTAAAATAGCTATGACAGAATTAAGAAAGACTAGGATGGAGGTCATGGCAATTGAATTAGGATGGTGGCAGTTGATATAAATATAGATAGTTTTTGTGATTACTTAAGAGGTAGAATCAATAGGACTAACTGATAGATTGTATTTGTAGGGGGAAAAAGAAGAAAGTGAAGTGGTTGATTCCCAGGTTTTTGGCTTGAGCAGAAGGATGAATGATAAGATCCTTTTCTGAAATAGGAAATACTGAAAAGGATCAGTTTTGAAGGAGGAACTCAAGAATTTAGTTTTGGATCTATTGAGCATAAGCTTTTTTTTTTTTTTAGATATCCAAATAGAGATGTCAAATAGACAACAGGGTAAATGAATCTGGAGCTTATGAATGATATACATTTTTTGCACATGTACGTATAGGTTGCTATTAATGCTGTGTGTGAGGGTGAGATGGATTAAGAAGAAATTATAGCACAAGACTAGGGCCCAGGACTGATCCTTGGGGAGCTCTTACCTTTGGTGGCTAGAGAGAAGAGCATGGAACTACAAGAGACTTGAAGAGCCATTTTTTTGAGAAAATGTAGAAAACCTGAACGATATAATATTATAGAAGACAAGTGAGGAAAGGCTATGAAGTATTGAACATTAATTCAGCATGGGCTTATCAACATGAATATGAATGTTAGACAGTATCAAATGGTTCTAAGAATTGTATAAAGAGAAAGATGATAAAGTAGACTTTGGATTTGGTAACATGGGGGAACCACTGATGACTTTAGCCAAGAGTAATTTTTGGATGTAGTGGGAGGTAGGAGAGGGGAGATAGGGTATGTGTATAGTTCTCTCTTTCAAAAAGTCGAACTGAAAGGAAGCCTATGAGTAACATGGTAGCTGAGGAAACTGGTTCCAGGCCAAAATTCTATGTGTGACCAATCAGACATACCCATTGGCAATTACAGAGTTTTGCCTGGCAGGCCTCATGGAAGAAAGCTGCCCTCCTCATACTGGTACACATACTTGGTACACAGCCAGTGCTTTGCAGTTTTCTGGAGGGAGATGCAGCCATATCCACCTCCCCACCCCCAGCCCTGTCTGTGCTTATCAAAGAGCTTCATGTGGTAACAAAGCAGGTTTACCTAAGCAAATAATTAAGTTGGGAAATGGATATATACATAGAAGCCACATAAAATAATTACTGACAATCAAGTGCCAGACTATTGGGAGTTTTCTATAAGGGCAATGCATTTGACCTTGGTATCCACAGATTTAATATTCTGTCTATTCAAAGTGATGTGGCCTGTTTTATGTGACAATTTGTAACTTTTGTGTGGCATGACTTAAAGCCTATGTTCTGAGAGGATGCTGTGAAGGAGTCATGTAACTTAGCCAATGAATAAAGCCTACTAACTGCTCAGCACTGTATCTCACAGTGGCTTTGTTTTTTCTGATGTTAATGTATTGAACAATCCTCATCAAAGGTCTGTGTAGTAATGGTGATGTTGACAATAATTAGTAATATTTGCTAAATGCAGTATGCTGAGCACTTTACATGCATTATTGCATTTTCAACTTGGGACATTTGCAAAGATCTTAGCGCTTACCCATTAAATGTCAGGAAGGACTGTAAGTTTAGAGATTAAGAAATTGTTATGAACATAGTCATGGTGGGAGTTTAATTGGTTCTTGTACAATAAATATAAGAATTTGCAGATTTTGAGAAGAAGAGAATCTTGTTTTAGGTAGATGAATGGATGAGCAAAATTATGGAGGTGATAATGAACTGGTTTGAGAAGAGTTACATATTGGCAGAAAATTGTTAGCCAGGTAAGGTAGATTATAAAGCAGGCAATGACAAGAACTTGGGATATGAAGACATTGATGTTAGGGAGAAGGTATTGGAGGACTTTTGGTGGTTAGTGATAGGAGCCAAAACTAACATAGACAAAGTGGGGATACATTATTGAAGAGTTCACCATTTCTGTTTGCCTCGTGCATTGCAAACATAACTGTGTTCATTATCTCTATTTCACATTCTCCATCTCTAAATTGAATTCATCTGTAGCTTGGATAATCACATACCAAAATTAGGAAGATTCTATTTGTATTAAATTACGTAGATGGTATAAGGGTGAAAAAAAATGTAGACAAGGTTTTTAAAGTGAACACTAGAGGTAAAATCATGTACATAAATAATTTATGATTATAGACAACAGGAAAAATGTGAGCTGAATGTAGACCCAGAATAATATACTACTCAATAAAGCTGCTGTGAGGATTTTTTTAAAAATACTTTTTAAATTGGACTAATAATTTTTTTTCATGGAAGACACTTTAGAAAACATATAAACAATTAGAATGAACAAAAAAAGTACTCATAATCCCACTGTCAAATACTGTTTACTTTTCAGTTTATAACTTTTTAGATAAATGCACATGTACCACACTGTACACATGGATGTATAAAACTTACCCTCTTACATTTTGTAACATGATTTAAAAAAAAAACTTACTATAGCACAAGACCATTTCGTGAAAATACATAACTATGTCACAATTTTTAATGGTGATATCGTTTTCTGTTGTATGGTTATTATATTTTATTTGACAGTTTGCCATTATTGGGCATTTAGTTCTCAGTTTTTTGTATTAAATACAATGGAGTGATTAATATTTTGTGAATGTGTCATTGGGATAAACTTAGAGAAGTAGACTGTGAGGCAAGGCTTTACGTGTATTGTTGAGAATGTTGATACATTCTCCCAATTGCCCTCCAGAAAACCTGTGTTATTTTCTGCTTCCACTGGCAGTGCATGAGGATACCTGATTCTCAGCACCTTTGCCAACAATGGAAACGTTATCATTTGTTTTCTTTTTTTTTTTTTACTATTATTATTATACTCTAAGTTCTAGGGTACATGTGCACAATGTGCAGGTTAGTTACATATGTATACATGTGCCATGCTGGTGTGCTGCACCCATTAACTCCTCATTTAGCATTAGGTATATCTCCTAATGCTATCCCTCCCCCCTTCCCCCCACCCCACAACAGTCCCCAGAGTGTGATGTTCCCCTTCCTGTGTTCATGTGTTCTCATTGTTCAATTCCCACCTATGAGTGAGAATATGTGGTGTTTGGTTTTTTATTCTTGCGATAGTTTACTGAGAATGATGATTTCCAATTTCATCCATGTCCCTACAAAGGACATGAACTCATCATTTTTTATGGCTGCATAGTATTCCATGGTGTATATGTGCCACATTTTCTTAATCCAGTCTATCATTGTTGGACAGTTGGACTGGTTCCAAGTCTTTGCTATTGTGAATAGTGCCACAATAAACATATGTGTGCATGTGTCTTTATAGCGGCATGATTTATAGTCCTTTGGGTATATACCCAGTAATGGGATGGCTGGGTCAAATGGTATTTCTAGTTCTAGATCCCTGAGGAATCGCCACACTGACTTCCACCATGGTTGAACTAGTTTACAGTCCCACCAACAGTGTAAAAGTGTTCCTATTTCTCCACATCCTCTCCAGCACCTGTTGTTTCCTGACTTTTTAATGATTGCCATTCTAACTGGTGTGAGATGGTATCTCATTGTGGTTTTGATTTGCATTTCTCTGATGGCCAGTGATGGTGAGCATTTTTTCATGTGGTTTTTGGCTGCATAAATGCCTTCTTTTGAGAAGTGTCTGTTCACGTCCTTTGCCCACTTTTTGATGGGGTTGTTTGTTTTTTTCTTGTGAATTTGTTTGAGTTCATTGTAGATTCTGGATATTAGCCCTTTGTCAGATGAGTAGGTTGCGAAAATTTTCTCCCATTTTGTAGGTTGCCTCTTCACTCTGATGGTAGTTTCTTTTGCTGTGCAGAAGCTCTTTAGTTTAATTAAATCCCATTTGTCAATTTTGGCTTTTGTTGCCATTGCTTTTGGTGTTTTAGACATGAAGTCCTTACTCATGCCTATGTCCTGAATGGTATTGCCTAGGTTTTCTTCTAGGGTTTTTATGGTTTTAGGTCTGACGTTTAAGTCTTTAATCCATCTTGAATTAATTTTCGTATAAGGTGTAAGGAAGGGATCCAGTTTCAGCTTTCTACATATGGCTAGCCAGTTTTCCCAGCACCATTTATTAAATAGGGAATCCTTTCCCCATTGCTTGTTTTTGTCAGGTTTGTCAAAGATCAGATAGTTGTAGTTATTCGGCGTTATTTCTGAGGGCTCTGTTCTGTTCCATTGATCTATATCTCTGTTTTGGTAGCAGTACCATGCTGTTTTGGTTACTGTAGCCTTGTCGTATAGTTTGAAGTCAGGTAGCGTGATGCCTCCAGCTTTGTTCTTTTGGCCTAGGATTGACTTGGCAATGCGGGCTCTTTTTTGGTTCCATATGAACTTTAAAGTAGTTTTTGCCAATTCTGTGAAGAAAGTCATTGGTAGCTTGATAGGGATGGCATTGAATCTATAAATTTCCTTGGGCTATGGCCATTTTCACGATATTGATTCTTCCTACCCATGAGCATGGAATGTTCTTCCATTTCTTTGTATCCTCTTTTATTTCATTGAGCAGTGGTTTGTAGTTCTCTTTGAAGAGGTCCTTCACATCCCTTGTAAGTTGGATTCCTAGGTATTTTATTCTCTTTGAAGCAATTGTGAATGGGAGTTCACTCATGATTTGGCTCTCTGTTTGTCTGTTATTGGTGTATAAGAATGCTTGTGATTTTTGTACATTGATTTTGTATCCTGAGACTTTGCTGAAGTTGCTTATCAGCTTAAGGATATTTTGGGCTGAGACAGTGGGGTTTTCTAGATATACAATCATGTCATCTGCAAACAGGGACAATTTGACTTCCTCTTTTCCTAATTGAATACTCTTTATTTCCCTCTCCTGCCTAATTGCCCTGGCCAGAACTTCCAACACTATGTTGAATAGGAGTGGTGTTTTCACCTTTGCTTGTTTGCTGGGTGAAAAATGGCATTTCCTTTTATTTTATAGATCTTTACTGTGCACTATAAAATTTTCCTAACTGTTTAAATGTGTTAGCTATTTGTACAGTATTTGTTTTGTGAATATTGTAAGAATTGAATGAGAATGCAAGTATAAATGACCAGGTTCAGCTAGTGTTTATTTTTACTTAAATCCTCATCGCTTTGCTGCCTCCTCCCTAATCATGTTTCCAATTAAGGAGTAAAGGAATGTTGTAAAATCTTGTTTTATTCTTGAGGTTATTGTTTTTTAGAGTTGAAAGTAATAAATTCTCCCTTGACTAAAGTTTGGGAATTTAATTCAAGTTTCTAGCTGAGCGGTATAGTGTGATCTACTGAATCTCTCTGATCCTCATTTATCTCATCTATAAAATAGGTATAATAATTACATGTCTTTATGATAAAATCATAAGTGTTAAATGAGCAGATTATGTAAAGCACTTGTTACCGTGCCTGGCAAACTCTGTTCAGTATTTCCTCACAGGTGGAATCTCTGAGAAGGTCAGTTCACTTAGACAAATACTATGAAAATTTAAGTGCTGGGAAGTGCAAAGAGGTCTTTAGGAAATGGCAAATCTTTTGACTTGAGCAAGAATCTTGAATTCTAGGCTGAGGAATTTGATTCATTAAACAAGGAAAGACTTCATTATTATTTCCTAGCACTATTAGATGCTTACCTGATTAAAATTACACCTTAGTTTTCAGTTTCCTGTTGAGTTAAATAGGAGAACAGAAGTTAAACAGAACAACAACGGAAGGAAGAGAAAATAATAAAAAGACTTTAATAATTGAAAACTTGGATAATCAATTTCTGAGTTATTCAAACTTTGCTGTTTTCAGGAAAGATATACACATGTTGCACTTTTCGCTCTGTCACCCAGGCTGGAGTGCAGTGGCACGATCTCAGCTCACTGCAACCTCTGCCTCCTGGGTTCAAGTGATTCTCCTGCCTCAGCCTTCCGAGTATCTGGGACTACAGCTGCGTGCCACCACACCCGGCCAATTTTTTGTATTTTTAGTAGAGACAGGGTTTCACTGTGTTAGCCAGGATGGTCTCCATCTCCTGACCTCGTGATCCACCTGTCTCAGCCTCCCAAAGTGCTGGGATTACAGGCGTGAGTCACTGCGCCTAGCCTTTTCCCTCAGTTTTAACAGCTAAAGACTTAATAGGATATATTTATGACCTTCTATTTGGGATTGTTGACTGTGTTACATATGGGAATATATTGCTTTTATGAAATTATTGGGACATAATTTTATAGTAGAATTTTTGGAAGTAGAAATTGTATTTTAAAATTACATTTAGATTATTTATAATTGTAATGTGAATTTAATTGACATTTAAATATTTGTATTTATATAGAAGTAATAGAATGCATGAATTTATTTATGATTAAATAGTGGAGATGAAATATACTAGGTTTATTTCTGCTTATAAAAATTATTTAACCTCAGTTCTCCAAGTGAAATAAACATTACATAAAATCATCAATGATTTTTAAATCTAATGATTATTCTTTTCTTATACCCCAGTTTTATTTATAAGGATAAATCAGAAAGAACCTAAATGTCCAAAAATAAGGGATAAGTTAGCTTATTGTTCATCTGTATGCAGGATAGTATGCAAACATTAAAATATTATATGCAAGTATATTATTGACAACCGGAAGCTATTTACAATATATAGTAGTGAAAAAATTTAAGCTATATAACAAGTCAACCATGGTCCCATTTTTATAAGAAAAATAATTGTATTTGTGTGTATTCATAAGAATTTCTGGAGGAAAAAACAAGGACATATTGAAGCTATTATCTTTGGCTAGTGGAATTTCAGGTGACTTTTATTTTTTCTTCATTAGAACCAGATGTGATTTTGAATTTTTCTACAATAAGCATTTATTATTTGAAGGGTCACTTGTAGCCCATATGGCAACTTTGTGCATATTATGCAAGATGTCCCTTTTTCCTGTGGATGCATACCAGGATATACTGTTTGGCCGGGGCATATGGCTTTTAGCTTCCACTTGCCCCCTTGATTTTTTTGTTTTTTCGTAATGAACAACATGCACAACTGTATGTGATGGACCTAAAAACTTACATTATAAAAATTATTTTAAATTAATTAAAGTTGTATGACCTTTTAATACATCTTCTCTGGGCAGGGTACTCTCCATACTTGAACACTGCCAGGTCATGCTGGACCTTTGAGCTCACTCTTCGCGCCTCCTCTTTTCTATGTACTCAGTCTACCCAAATACAATGAATCCTTCAGGATCTAGCTATACCCTTCTCTTTGAAATCTTTTCCAACCACTCTAACACATCTGATCATTTTTCCTTTTTATGAACTTTCCTTGAACAAGGTCAAGAGCATGGGTTGAAGTGGGGGGTGACGGTGAATAGCTTGCATCTCACCTGCTAACTCCAAACAACTGGCCATGACTCCTTACTAAAATGTGTTGAGTTGCACCTGGCCTCAGTTGGAAAGAGAGTTGTCATTGATTATGAATGTTTGTCCTGCGTGTGGGAAGTACCAGATAGGTAGCATGTATCACATGCCCTTTCCCTGCCTGGATTGGACAGTTACTATTTTATATACCATCTTCCCCCGGTATCTGTGGGATATTGATTCCAGGACCTACTGCACATACCAAAGTCTATGGATTCTTAAGTCCCTCATATAAAATGGCATAGTATTTGTCTATAATTTATGTATTATATCTAGATTGCTTATAATACCTATTACAACTTAAATGTTATGTGAGTGGTTGTTTTACAGTATTGTTTAGGGAATAATGTCAAGAATAAAAAATCTGCACATGTTCAATACAGATGCACGTTCCCCGCCCCCCCCCCCCCCAAATATTTTTGATCTGTGGTTGGTTGACTTCATTGTTGTGGATTCACAGATGGGGAGGACTGACTGTACTAGCCTTGGTTTGACAACACAGTTTTTAACATCTAAGGCATAGATACCATATTTTTTCTTGCTTTTTTTCTGTTGATGATGTTTATGTTGTTATTGTTTTTATTATCCCCTCAGAATTTATCATGGAGCTAAGGGAGCTCAGCAAATAACATTTCTGTTGTACTTCTTTCACCTTGACATTTCAAGTCTGTTTCTGCTATAATTTCTCTTATGTCTAAAAGACCTCTTTTATTGGTTCTTTTACATCAGATCTACTGATGACAAAATTTTAGTTTTCCTCTGTTTGCAACTGTTATCTAGAGCATGACTTCAGAAATATTGAACTCTCTTCTCTTTCCCCTGTAGACCCTTTCTGTGAACTCTGTTTACTTGACTGGTTTTAAGTGGCATAACTGATCCATACCAGCTTAAGTGTTCAGCTTCCCATTGGAATAAGCCAAGTGTGTATCATAAGTCCTTGGCTGTTTAATATATTTAATTTGAACTTGTCCTGACATAGTGGATGCTCACTAATATTTGTCTATAAAACTAAAGGATCTTAAAAAGATAACAAAACACTTAAATTTTGTTACTATGGTAGACTTACCTGTGCAAATGATTTATAAGTTCTAGAGCTTTATTTATTACCGATAATAATCAGTCAGATCAAAACTACTTGTAAAATGCAAACATCTGAAAACCATCATTCTGAACTATAGTAACATAAGAATATTCATTTAGAGCCACTAATTTGCAAGGTGTTCGCCAATCAAGAGAAAAGTGCTAAGAATTCTAACCAAACCTGAGAAGCAGAAACTGAGAATTTCAGGAAGATCTTTGTAGATCAGAGTACTGACATTAAGCATTTTTAAAAATTGAGTTAAAATGCAAAAATAGAAATTATTTTTGCTTGCTTTTCCCAACACTGTACCTTCTTGCAAATAGAACATAAGAATGTCCTTATATCAGGATATCTGTAGTGTTCTATTGGATACTAGCCAAAATTTATCTGTCTTTCTATCTTTCTATCCATCCATCCATCCATCCATCCATCCATCCATCCAAGATTTGATGTTTGAAAATGAGACTGACTTTCATTTATAGGTATTACAGTTGAAATGGATTTCAAGGCAATTAAGAAAGCTGAAAATTATATGAAGATTTTTTTTTTTATTTTGAAAGTGAAGTGCAGTCAATTGGTCCATTATTAGGCTGTTGTATTGAACCAGTATTTACTGAGTGACTTCTATATTGTATGCTGATTATCTTGTTAATCTGATTTTGAATGTAAGGCGAGAAAAATTTGAGAAATATATAACTGAACAAAGACCATTAGTAAATAGTAGAGCTGAAATTAGAACTCAGCTTTTTTTGTTGTGTTTTGTTTTGTTTTGAGATGGAGTCTTGCTCTGTCTCCCAGGCTGGAGTGCAGTGGCGCGATTTCGGCTCACTGCAAGCTCCGCCTCCCAGGTTCACGCCATTCTCCTGCCTCAGCCTCCCAAGTAGCTGGGACTACAGGCGCCCGCCACCACGCCCAGCTAATTTTTTGTATTTTTTTTAGTAGAGATGGGGTTTCATCGTGTTAGCCAGGATGGTCTCGATTTCCTGACCTCGTGATCCGCCCACCTTGGCCTCCCAAAGTGTTGGGATTACAGGCGTCAGCCACCACGCCTGGCAGAACTCAGCTTTTTCTTAAATTTATATTTTGCCAAACTTTTATTCATCAATAACATTTGATATATAACAAAATCTAATACATGTAAAAATGTTTTCATTATTGTTTGAGATGGAAAATGTAGATATGTAATAATGTATGTAGTCAGGCTTTTATAAGCGTTCAGTGACATCATGTAAAAATCCAACTCCTGTAGATTTTGCTTTATGAAAGAAAAAAATACAAAATTAACTATGATCTTAGCTCTTATATCCATAGAAAACTGCAGCATACTAGTCTTTTAAAAGTAAATAATATGTTTAGTTCATGACAAAAAAATCTACTGTACATTTTTATTTTGGCCAGGTGCGGTGGCTCACACCTGTAATTCCAGTTCTTTGGGTGGCTGAGATGGGAGGACCACTTGAGTCTAGAAGTTCAAGACCAACTTGGACAACATAGTGAGGCCCTACCTATCTCTACAAAAAATAAGAAAAAAATTAGCTGAGTGTGGTGGCACATGCCTGTGGTCATAGCTACTTGGGAGCCTGAGGATGGAGGGCCACTTGGGCCCAGGAGTTAGAGTCTAACTAGATGTTGCTACTGCATTCCAGCCTGGGTGACAGAATGTCTCTTAAAAAAATTATTTTTAATAGTTAACTCAATTTTTCATAATTACTATATATGTACATATTTTTACATAGGATAATACATTAGTGATTATAATTATATTTAATCTTTTATTTACCAAGGACTTGTTCAGTGGAATGACACTTTCATGCTACTCCAATTAGTTATGTGATTTATGGTTTATGAGTATTTTATAATTAAACCCTCACTGGAATTTTGGCTTGCTCTTTGAAATGGTTTTGGTTATATTTATTTTGTTAAGTTTCTGCTCATCCCACCAAAAAAGTCACTTTTCTTTTAGATCTCTTTTGTTTCTTAAATTTGTTTTTAAGTAATCACTTTTATAAGTAAATCCATAATAGATTTTGGATTGAGGTGATAGGGAATGATGAGAAAAATTGTCATTACTTTACTGGGAGAATCAAGTAATTTAAGTTATTTTCCTAAGCTAATATTTTGACAAATGTAGATGCAAAATATTGATAGTAAGGGAAATTGCCATCATCAGAAAGAATAGTATTTTTTCAAAATAAATATCATTATTAAGTGTGGCTCCTTAACCCGATTCCTCTAGACTACTAAAAAACCTGAATATTCATTGGTATGATTGATACTGTTCTTCTGTTTTAAGAAAAGGTAAGAAAAGTCAATGACTTTCTGGTAAGACGAGATCTAAAAAATCTTAGTGTTTTTGTTTACAAATTTCTTAAGAGGACATAAGCTTTATTATAGCAATAGTTTTTAGACGTAGAGTATATTTCTTTTGGAAAAATAATGAAATTTGTTTGTAACAAAGGGAAAGTAATACCTACTTTTAATTTTTTTCTTGCCTACCATGGCATAATTGATACATGGCATCTTCTCACGCCTAAGATTAAAACTATCAGGTGCTACCTGGTTTATTTTGGACAACCTCAGTCTTGTCCCAGTTAGTTTTAAAATGTCTGCTTCATACGTGTTGAGCCACTGCATTTCCTGCTTTAGAGCCTTGTGTTATGCCAACATCACTATCTGTGCTGCCTCAACTACAAATTGGATGAACAGCCTGTGACACTTTTTCAATATTATTACATTAAACCAAGTGGATTTTGATTGATAACCTAATATTCAACTAATGCAGAACATCAATCATGGCAAGTATATTAATTATTTAATATTGCAGTCTAATTCAGAAATCGATGTGCTGCATGAGGGGAAGGGAAACTCATGGTTCCCAGAAGATTTAAGACAGGGAATGATTAAAAAAAGACCTGCTGTACTCCTGTGTGTTAGTTCGATACAAATCTTTATTCATTTGCCAATAATCTCTTCCCATTTTCCACTTCAGGACCATTTTATCAGTTTTGAGACCTATAATTGAATTAAGTCTGCTTTCAGCACAGGGCAAAAGGAGTTGCACAAATATTGATGAAGTCATGACAGGGACAACCCAAGAGACAGACCACTAAAGAGGACAGGTTTTATACCATTTGTTGTAAGATCCTTCTGTCAATGTCTTGGATGTTGCCTCTCTATTTTTTCAAATTCATTAAAACTCTTAGAATCACTTTTAAGACTTTTGTGTTTAAATATCCTCCATCATAATAACATTTCTATAGTTTATTTTTTATCTTCATGTACATTATCCTTCTTACTCTTTCACAGCAACCTTGTGTGTTAGGTAAGGCAAGTAAGCCTCACATCATAGGTGGACAATCTGAGATTGAGAAAAGTTGGATTATTACTCAAGCTCACAGGACTATTTTGTAGTAGTGTTTAAATTTGAGTGTAGGCACTCTGCTTCTAAAACGAGTATTATATGTCATACTGTTTTGTGTTGTATTTATGTACTCATGATACTTTACCTGTGTTGTTTTGAGGTGGTCATTCTTCCTTATCTTTCTGACCAAAGTAAAAGTAAAGAAAACTGATTTTCATGGAGAACTTGCTTAAACTTAGGTGTCCCAATGTGATATGTGTTAAGCTTTATGTATATGCAAACCTTCCAGATATAAATGAAAACTTCTTGGTTTATCTTTCCCTAGACTAGAATATACTTAAGTCCCTGACTCTCATATATGTATATATTACCTAAAATTACCTTCTTTTCATAATATATACATACATACATATGTGTACGTACGTACATATGTATGTATGTATGGGAGTAGGGGACTTAAATGTATTTTGTCATTAAAGCATTAAACTTGCTGCCCCAGCTTTCTTTTGGTCCATATTTGCCTGGTTTTATGGGAAACCTTTTTTTGGGAAACCCTTCTGAATCATTTTGTATTATGTGTCTTTTGTAAATAATACATTGCTGGATTTTGGTTTTTTATCCAATCTGAAAATCTTTTCTGGGATTTCAATTCCAGATGATTATGGGTGAACTTTCTCTAGTTTTCTTTTTAGTTACTGATTACTTAGATTACAATAATTGCTCAATTCTAGGCCATCCTTTACTTGCCTTACCTTGTTGATTCTTCCTGAATTTATTTATCTTCTTACCTGCATTATATTCTTCAAGACTTCTTTTAAATGATGTCTTTGTGTGGTGAATTTTCTGAAACCTTGTATGCTGAGAATTTCTTTATATTTCTTTGTATTTAAATAATAGTTTATTAGCTATGTGTTAATTCTTGGTTCACAGTTCTTTTCCTGTAACACTTTATCTTGAGAGTTGTTATTACTCCATTGTCTTCTTGTCTTCACTTTAGTGTCGGGAAATCTAATATCAGTGATATTCTTCCTTTGTGTAGGGGTCTCCTTTTTCATTCCGGAAGCTTTTTGACTTTTCTCTTAATCCATTATAGTCTTAAATGTCCGTATAATATGCTTTGCTGCAGATTTTTAAACATCCTTTCAGCACTCTATGTGCCCTTTGAACCTGAGATTTGAATATTTTTATATCTGGGAAATCTCTGTCATTATTTCTTCAAATATTTCTTCTCTTCCATTTTTTTTAACCCTCCTTCTAGGATTCTTATTATATAGATGTTAACACTTCTACTCCTGTTCTTAATTCTATCAGTTGTTTGTCTTGTCTTTTTGCCCCCTCCCTATGCCTTCTGCAATAGTTCTTCTACCCAGTTTTCCAGCTTATTAATTCATCCTCTGTCTGTATCTATTGTATTTTCAATCCATCCTCTGAATTCTTTATTTCAAATGATTATGTTTGTAATACCCACTATCATATATTGGTTCTTTTTCATAACTTCATTTTCATACTTATATTTCTAAAAATCATCTCTTTGAAGATGTTATTATGTTTACATTCTTGTTTAGTTTATTCTCTTTTCTCTGGATAAGATTATTATTTTTTAAAATTCTGGTTTATACATCTTACAGTTTTCCTTGTGGGTTCATCTTTTTTTTTCCTAACAGCATTTAGCTGCCTTGGATAGCAATTTTAATCTAAAAGGAGGGGTAAAAACCTAAGATCTGACTTGTGCTTCTCCAGGCTAATTTAAAAACTAGAGTGGACAATCTCTAGTGTTCTAGTTTAGCCTCAACTACTTTCCCCGTGGCTCCCACACCCTCAAAAACAGTAAAAAAAATAAATAAATAACCACCCACACCCTACACATGTTCATGCACATACAGGCACCTGTGCCTTCCTCCTAATACTACTGTTTTATCTCAGGCAGCCACTCAGTGTTGCAAATTGCCTTGCTCTTTACATGGGTTGGAGATAGAGTGGGGCTGAATAGTACTGCTCAGAGACCTGAGCTGGTTGCTACTGACTCTGTACCCAAGCTTGTCTTGTGATTCAGATGTCATATCCTTAAATATATTGATTCAGTCATTGTATTGGGTGCTGGAATATAAAAATTAAAAAGACGTAATGCATATCGCCAAGGAGTTTTCACTTCACTGGTGTAAGTAGGAAAGTAAATAGGCATTTATAAAATACTGTGATCAGTTCTGTGATGGGACATGCCCCGAGTGTTAATGGAAATATATAGGAAGAATTCATCACATAATTTGTGGGACAAGGAGAAGGTTTCCCCAATTGAAGAATGGTTTAGGATGAGTCCTGAAGGATGGATTTTTGTTAGATAGGGAAGATTAGAGGAGGCTGGGAGAAAAGGAGCATTTTAGGTAGGGGTGAAAGTGGTTCATTGGTGAGTGAAACCAGGTTAGTAGTTTGTTGTGGCTGCTGTTGTTACTTTTCATGTAATGTAGCTTTGACAAGATAACAGAGGGAATAGGTAAACTGCAGTATGGTAGGATACTGTAGATTTTAAGAAGAGAATTGACATGATTAAGTTTACATTTTATAAAGATTTTGTTGTGTTAATGGAAAATGAATTGACATGAGACAAGGCAGCAACTACTGGCATTCAATAAGAGACTATTGCAGCAATTTAGGGAGAAAAGATGATGGACTGAAATAACATAAAAGCTGTGGAGATAGAAAGAAATAGTTAGATCTAATGATAATGAAGGTTGTTGGATAGCCAGGGCCCTATGGTTGATTACATTTGGTTACATTTGATAGTGAAGGAAAGGGAATGTGCCAAGAATGATGACTAGTTTTCTCTCAGCCATGCCATTCAAAACATTTTATAAATATCTTTTAATTTAAAGAATTACTTAGAAACATGGCAAAGCAATAGCCTACATTGTCTTTTTGTTTTAAAGAGCAGTTTCTTGTCCTCATTCTCAAATACAGGTATCTCAGAAAATTAAGTGATTTTCCCTAAGATTGTGGCAGACACAGTTGACAGCAAACCTACCCTGAAATGAAGCTATTTACAGTCTTTGTTTATCCCATTTTGTGTGAACATTAATATCTTTCTTTCAGAATTACTAACGTGTATGATGATGAGATGCTGCATCAGACCCTGCTGGCACCATTGTATGACATACCTTAACCTTTCTAAAATCTGAAATATTCTGATAAAGCATGTCTAGCCCCAGCTATTTCAGATAATAAAGTATGGACTTATACTTTGAATCTGATCATTTTCGTTCTTTATATATTGCAATATTATTTTCTAATAAGAACCATTTTGTGACAATGTAGCTGTGCGAGAAAGCGAAGTAGATGTGTATTATATAGCACAGACTCTAAGATAGATTGCCAAGTGAAGGTACAAAACAGAGTGTATAATATGCTTCTATTGTGGATTTCAACAAACATAGAAGGGAGAAAGACACACACACACACATACACACATACACACACACGAGTGCATATCTTCAGAAGGATTAACCAAGATTGAGAACTGGGAGTCAGTGATGGGAGGAAGACTTAATTTTATTTTGTGTGTGTGTGTGTGTGTGCATGCATGTGCACACATACATATATGTTGCCCTGTTCAGATGTTTCACTATATGTTAATACTTTTTGGTTTAAATTTTAAGTTATACAAATAACTATATTTGAATGTTCTTGTGAAAATGTAAAGATTCATTTGACTTCCAGCTCCGATAAATGCATTAATTTTGTAATGATAAAGTATAAAATAATTATTTATATAGATAGTAGCCTTCTCTCACACCTTGCAGTAATTTATTCTTATCATTTGTCAGTAGGACTGCAGACATTAGAGATTAAATAATGAGTTTCAGAAACCATTAAATATCTAAACATTGAATATATAGTTTTGCTAAGATTGCCAGAAGCAGGAAATACAGAAGAGAATGGCTGAAAATTAGTACTAATCAGTAGAAGTGGGAATTTACTCTAATATGTCAGACTGGGCAGTGAGAGCAAAGGTTGGAAGCCATGAGTACAGTTTTCCAGCAGCAAATCTGAAGGGAATAAAAATGGAGAAATTTGGAAGCAAGACAAAGGAAACAGGTAAGTATATCTTTGGCAAAGAAAAAATAGAAGACAGAAATAGAAAAGAAAGTTGAGACCCCTCAGAGAAGTGAGATGTGGGGAGAAGATTAAACATCATGAATATAATAATGTTGTTTATTGTTGGAGGATTTATATTAATAATTACTTTCTGCAATGTGGTAGGATTATAATTTCTTGTTTAAAAA
The DNA here is from genome assembly GCF_000001405.40 of Homo sapiens. NCBI lineage: Eukaryota > Metazoa > Chordata > Mammalia > Primates > Hominidae > Homo > Homo sapiens. The sequence goes on from NC_000003.12 coordinate 158,297,158, forward strand.
GGTAATGCTTGGTACTTACAATGGAACTAAAATATTGCTTGATCAGAATGAGAAAAGCCAAAGTTCATTTGTCACAAATAAATTAGTACAGATTGAAATCAGAAAAAATTTAACTATTTGCCACATTTCAACAAATCTGTATTTAAATTATGTTTGCTAGATGTACAGATACTTGTATTTTCAGTTCCATAAGCAGTCTCTTCTACAGTAAAAAGCAGGAAATTTAATACTTAAAATATATCATGATATTTGATGTTTATGTTTTCTTTGGTGATATTTTCTTTTTTGATATTAAAATGATCATAGGTCCTGATTTGTAGTGTGCATTAAATTCATAAAATTAATGACAGGAGAAAATAGGATAAGATTTAGTTATTTAGCTGTGTACTCACTAATGTATTCTTTATGTGTACATTCTTTTTATAAAAACGCAACCATTGGTGGATGGATATTTGAGAAACCAAATATAATAAGATGTGAGTTATAGAATCTGGGTGGTGGATAGAATCTGTAAATTTGAACATTTTCATAATAAATGTTGGAAATAAACAATAATATAATAAAATTTCTAATAGAAAAGCTAGTGTGAAAGGAATAGATATTGTGTGAAGAATAAAATGATGTTTGTGAGTTCTTTACATTTTTCATTGACTTTGAAAAATCTGAAACTTTTTTTAGTGAAATACCAATTTAGTGGTAAATCTGATATAAATTATCTGTTCACTTTTGATAAAAATTGTTTTGTCCTTAAAAACAGTGTTATGAACATAAGTAAATACATATGAAAAAATTACAAGGGTTTATAAAACATTTTTGAGGTAAACAAATTAGAGCAGACAAGGATTTAGCAACTATTTAGAACTTTTACTCTTCTATTTTAGGGAATCTGGAAACATCAAAGCTGGATTAGAACATCTGGTAAGTTCTCATTTTCTCTTGAACATTTGCATCATCTTTGATATCTGCATTCTAAATGAACACTTTTGAATGAGCTTTGAATACTTTGTATTGAGAAAGTCAACCATTTCCCAAAGGGTCAGCTTACTGTTATTATGTGAAGGCACTTACATTTTCATTTCTCTTATCATTTCAAGGGAATTTAAAAATTTTTTAAATTACTTTTTTTTGATGTAGAGATGAAATAAAATGGATGACAATCCTTGGATTGATGCTTGCTTTAATTATAAACAAAAATTGTTTGGTGTAGAATTTTTGGCATATCTTGATCTGATGAAAACAAGCTTGTGTTTTAAGAAAAACACAATCAAATATTGCATGCATAAATATGGTATGTTTTAGCAATTTAGCAGCTTTGAAAGAAGTGCACAGCTTTGTCTTTCCTGATGTCTTTGCTTTATGAATAATGCATTGGTTTAAACTACATTCAGATTTAGAATATAAAATAATTGAGATGCAAAATTTTTGGTTTAAGTAAACATTTTAGAGAAAAGTGAAATTCAAACTGATTTAGCATTAAAATCTGTTATTGATCAAAAAATTGGAAAACCCTTACAATTGTAATATGTTTGAAATTCATTGAGCCCACTGTATTGAGTGTTTATTACAACATTAAGTAGTTCATTTAAACTGAGCGTTACAGAGTCATCCTCTGGTTTCTGGTCAGATCCAAATGTTGAATAATTAATGGTACATATTCTTTTGTAAATACAGTCTAAGTAGTTTTTTAATGCAAGACTTCATTCGTATATCATACTGTAGCTTTGTTAACTATTAATGTACTTTTGTTCTGCTTCCACAAAAGCAAACAGTAGCAAGAGACAGCTTCATTTTGACTTATAGCAGTTTTATAGTTGGAAGGAATTTTTGGTTTTTCTTTTATAGCTAATGGAAACTGAGGAAACCTAGACTTTTAAAAGTGATCCTAAAAATTAGAGATTAATTATTAAAAAGGAGGATATAATAGAAAATTTGAGCTATGTATTTGGGGATCAGAAGTTAGTAAATAACATGGTTATTTTCATCATTAAAAAATATTTCCTGAACCACTGTTTATAACTTCATAATAGCACATAGATTTAGGACATATGGATATCAGAATAAACATGTTAGTTTGTAACATCACATTCCAGTATCAGTTAGGGGCTTACAACAAGGAAGAACAGCTATCATAGTGCCAATATGAGGTGTCTTTTATTTTTTATTTTTATTTATTTATTTATTTATTTGTTTTTTTGAGATGGAGCCTCGCTCTTTCTCCCAGATTAGTGTGCAGTGGTGCGATCTCAGCTCATTGCAACCTCTGCCTCCCAGGTTCAAGTGATTCTTCTGCCTCAGCCTCCCAGTATTTGGACTTACAGGTGCCCGTCACCACACTCAGCTATTTTTTTGTGTGTTTTTAGTAGAGATGGGGTTTCACCATATTAGCCAGGCTGGTCTCAAACACCTGACCTCAGGTGATCCACCCGCCTCAGCCTCCCAAAATGCTGGAATTACAGGCGTGAGCCACCTGGCCTGAGGTGTCTTTTATACTTTTGTTGTAAATTATTATTTATTAAAAATACTTTATATTTACTTTGTTTGTGTTCTTCAGTAAATAAAAATGGCTTTGATGTTTTACTAGTTTAAATTTCGTATGTTTTATACTTACTAGTAGCATCTCATTTTCAGTGACTATTTCACACATTTATATTGTACTTATAATTTTATCCAGCAGTGGTTTTCTAGCTGTGCCTTCGGCTGCCCAGAAAGCTCTCCACAGCAGGTGGTACTCCAGACTTCCACTACTCACTTTAACCAAAATAGTTCCACTTTTACTTATTTTGTAAACTTTTGAACTTTTAAATAACATTTCATCTGAAGAAAGAGTACTCTGGCTAAAAATATTTTAAAACTTTTTATAAAACATAGCTACTCATTGAAGAATAATTGTATATTAATTATTCTTCCCTATTTTTGACACTAAGTTATATTTCATTTTTACTTATGTCATATACCTCAAATGTATTTCAAAGATAAGCATTTTGGGAATGAGAGAGCCAGGTCATATACCTCAAATATATTTCAAAGATAAGCATTTTGGGAATAAAGAGCCAGGACTAGCATACAGTTAGGTAGTAAGAAGCAGATGATTTGAATGCATTTTATCTTAGTTGTTTGAAAGACTGTAACTTTATGTTGTAATCGACCCACTAACTGTGAACTATTAACAATATATTCATCTATCCATCTGTCTGTTTATCCATCCATTCATCCATCTTGCATTGTACATTAATAATACTCATTAAAGTCAGTGATATTATGAAGAATATCTTTATAAACCTTTCTAAAAAGGTTCATGCCTAAAATGGAGCTAAACTCACAATTTATGGGTTGAGCATTAATGAAACCTGTTCTGTCTAGCATCTGTGGGCACCTGAGGTTTGTGTCTCTCCCTTTCACTGCTGAGCATATTGTTTAGAGCCTTCTAGCATAGATGTAGCTCTTCTTTGAATTGGCTGTATATCCAAATACAATTAGAAGTATATTTTTAAATAGATCAGTGTTAAAAAATATATGATAATATTAAAATAAGAAAAGCATCCTGTACATTTGGAATTAATCTCTTCTTTGTGTAGCTTTCTTCAGTCTTTGTTTTTAAAAAATTATTTACTTAGATTATCATAGAGAGCATTGTTCTAAGGGGGTAAAAGCCAATATACATTTTAATAAGTTAAGAAAAATTATATTTGTCGCTTGTTATACTTGCTACCAGGTAACATAGTTGCCCTGTTTTTGTGCTATATGTTTATATACTTTTCTTGGTATATAGTTATATGTAACCCTGAAAAGGGGAAAGCAAGTGTGGATCTGTGGAGAAAAGAGTGGGATAGGTGGACTCTTCCCCTGGAACCTCTTCAAGGACTGATTTCCTTTACTTAAGTTTTTTACAGTCTCTTAGACCACTGATTCAGCCTCTCTGTTTTTTTCTTTTTTAATCATTTCTTTCTCTCAATGTTGCCAAGTGATCCTGAGAACTGTCCTAGTATCTCATTCTCCTCAGCTTAATTTTTTAATAATGTACTGTCTAATACCATCTTATTTTTCTTTTCACAAACTTGTTCACTACCCATAAAGCCTATGCCTTTTTAAAGTTCTAGACTCAGACTTTGAAGGCTGTTGCTCTGTTATCCATTGATGATTCTTGTCTGATGATTGCAAAATATAGATTTTCCAATTCTACTGCTCCCTCCATGTTACAGCCAGCATTCTACAGTAAGGAAGAGCCCACCTTCCTTATTTTATTTATCTATTTATCAGGAGTAAGGACTCATGATTTTAATTTTATTAAATAGGTTATTGTTAGTTACTTCCCTTATTTATTTTGATGCTCAGATTGTCCCAGATTTATCAAGGGAGAATCTTTTCAAGATGGCTTCTGGGTTCTTATAACAAGTGAGAACTCTGACTCCTAATAACACCAATACTGTTACTCATTTGTTCAGTCATGTAATACACATAAAATAGTTTTAGAATTGCTACAAGCATACTTTGAGTAAAACAACCCTATTAAAAAGAGTTCAAGATTTATTTGCAGTTCCCTTTCTCCAATGAATATAGTTATGTTATTCATTTGAAATATAGTTGCATTTATTTGTTTCTGTTTGCATTCAATTTAGGTGTCTTTGTCCCCATTCCTATTGATTTAATTATCTTTGGACATGTATGATGTTAACATACTTCCAGAGGTCAAAATTATACACAGTGGTATTCTCAGAGAGATGTGTCACTCTCTTGCTTTCTAGCCTGTTCTCCTCCACCCCTTGTAAACAGCCAATTTTATTGACTTCTGGTTTATTATCAATCCTTTGTTTTTTTGTTTTTTGGGGTTTTTTTGTTTTTTTTTTTTGTTGTTGTTAAACTGTGTGTGTGTATGTGTGGTGTGTGTATTCTTTTGTTTTCCTTTTTTTTTGCTTAACATTATATCCTGGAAAAATTACTGTGTGTATCATTATATTTATTGTGTTTCTTTATTAAGGGTCTGAGATTTTAGCCTGCTTGCATGCCTTCCACAGTTGTATAGATGCTGGCAGAAGATATGAGATTCCTGGGTCAGAGGCAAAGTGGTTTATAGCTAACAGCACAACAGGTAGCACATGCTTCACGTGTGCATAGGTTTCTCTTGACCCTCAGGTTCCAAGAAGTGATGCTGCATACTCAGTGGATTTGTGTTATAGCTCAGTGCCTATAACATTTTTTAAGGCTTAAAGGAAATGAGTGAAAACACTGCTTATAATGTTGTGCTTAATTAGATTTTGTAATGAACTTAAGAAAATAATTTTTTTAATTTGATGAATAATCGCTTATAGATGAAAGGCCTTCTGATAATGACCCCGGGGTTATGTCTGTTATCACAGAAGGGTTGAAGGAGTGGAGGTGGGTGGTTATTAGATGTTGCTCCTGACTTTTTTTTTTTTTTTTTTAATGCTGCTCTAAAGTTGTAGAAAGTTGACTCTAAGTTCTTCTTGTTCTATCAAAGGGTGCTGACTCCATGTTTTTTTCTTTTTTCTTCCTTTTTTTTTTTGAGATGGGAGTCTTGCTCAGTCTCCCAGGCAGGAGAGCAGTGGTGCAATCTTGGCTCACTGCAGCCTCCACCTCGCAGGTTCAAGTGATTCTCCTGTCTCAGCCTCCTGAGTAGCTGGGACTGCAGGCACCGGCCACCATGCCTGGCTAATTTTTATATGTTTAGTAGAGACCAACATGATTTTACCATGTTGGCCAGGCTGGCCTCAAACTCCTGACCTCAGATGATCCGCCCTCCTCGGCCTCCAGAATGCTGGGATTACAGGCATGAGCAACCACGCCCAGTGACTCCATGTTTTTTCTTCCATTATGTTTTAAAGTTCTGGATAATGTAGTGAGTAGTGACACTTATTGGACTACTGAATGGGGATTAAAATGTTTACTTTCAGCTGGGGGGCTTAATGAAGTCAACATGTTTTTATTTTTCCAATTAAGGAAAAAATACAGGAGATAGAACCTTGCCATTTGATGACAATACAGCTATTATTATTTTATAAGCAAACTATAAAAATGATGCTATCCTTTTCTCTTGGGAGAAGGATTTAGATCAGAAAATATTAAGTCGAGCTGTATGAAAAATTACTTTTTTAGGTCAAAATAGTTTTGTGGGTTGTTTCTGGCTTGAAAGAAGGACAGCTGTGCTATGCCCCCTTTGGCAAGGAATGAAATGAATTATCCTGATCAGTATGATGTTTCTAAAGCTTCCTTTGTTCTCTTTTCTGAAAAGTCAAATAAATAGAAGTGGCTTGTAGTAACTGTACAGGGTGATCTGGGGCAGTGCTTCACCATCTTTAATGTACATATGAGTCACCTGGGATTCTTGCTTAAAGCACATTCTGATTCTTTGGGTCTGGGGCACGATTTGAAATTATGCATTTCAACAAGCTCCTAAGCAAGGTTAATGCTGCTGGTTCAGTGACCACCAGCAAGAAAAATACATTAAAAGGCCTTAAATTGAAAGACATGTGTCCAATGAAGAAGGCCTTCTGAATCTGGTGAAGAATCTAGATGTTTTCATTGTATTCATTGAGTATTATTCTGCAACCTATGAATGATTGGTTGGGTGTTCATAAACCCAGGGGAAGAGATACTCCAAAAAGTTTACAGAGGGGCAAAAAATTCATCTTATCTTGCAAGAGTAACAGACATTTGTTTTAAAATTTTTGGTTCAGATGTTAAGTTGTATTTTTCAGGACTGGAGTTGGACACTAGGACTAATAATACCTTGTTAAGCTTTAAGTGGGAAATTAAATGAATGATAATACATCTTTTAGTGAAAAGAATTACAAGTGTTTACAGCTTTAAGTGGGATTTGTTTTCTATTAATAGTTGAATAGCAAAAGAACTCTGGAGCCATACCTGTGGGTTTTGTCTCTCCACAGAAGTCTCATTTATGTTTCTTATATTGTATAACATTTGAGAGTGATGTCCTACTTGTCCTTGTGGTCAAGTAACACAGTCTGACCATTTTAAGTGTTGAAAAGCAACTGTCATTAATAGTTTGTTTAGCCCATCAGTGGTTTATAAGAATATAGTTCTGCTTGCCAGAAATGTAGGCAGGCCCATTGCTATTAGGTATTCATCAATAACTATCAGGTTCCAATAAAAGCCCTTTCCTTTCTGTTTTAGACTATTTTACATAGGACTTGAAAATCAAACTGCTGTATTTCGGTTTTCAGACTAATAGTTCTATTTAACACAAGCATAAACACAGTTAATGGATCATTATCATACTTTTGGGGATTCAGTTAATATACAACATGAGCTAGAAAATGCAAAAATAGATTGTAAACTCTAAACTTTCGTCTGTAGCATTTTAAATATTTCAGTTGTAGCTTCATATTTTCTTACTGTGTTCTGAAAATATGTTTTTGACATTTGTCTAAATGAGTTTAAGAATATATTATCTCAAAATGCACTGATGTTACCTATATACTCAATAAATTTATTAAACACTGATTAAAAATATTTATTAGCTCATGTCACCCTTTAAGGATGTCAGCATAATAGATACCTTTCTCCCAACATTTTAATATATTTTTCTCACCTAAGACAATATACATTTGAGGTTTAGGGTGAAACTGCGTATTAAAACAGACACTTTCCTCAAACTGTGATCATGAGATGAAACAGCATGAAGTTTTTCTTCTTTCTACAAGACCAATTCCATAAATCTTTCTCTTTCCTTTTAACACACAGTGCATCCTATGAATGTGTGCAAATTAAAATATCTTTAATGTGGATAAAATGTTAATGTCATGTTAATGTCATATTACTGTCATAATTTCTTAGGCAGTTTACAGATCTTAAATCTGAGGACTGGCATATAATCTAGTCATAAACAGTGCCATGTCAAGTGATCCGTTTCTCTGATACATTTTGATGAGTTACAAGTTTATTGAAAATTGCTTCTGTAATAAATGATTAATATTGTCCAGTCATTCAAATAGCATGAACTTGGGCCCTTCTCTGCCCTTCCCCAATCCCTCCTTTCACCCTCTAGAGAAAGATTTGTGTGTTTTATTATAAGGCACAATGGTTTTTAAAATGGAGGGGAAATGGTGGCAGGCTAACGTTTAAAAAAAAGGACAAGATGTCATGCAATTTTCATGATATTGTTGATAGTCTCAGAATTATGTTTAATATAGATAACTTTTTTGACTTTTATGCACCTGAGGTTATTAAAGCTTTTTAAAGTAAAACTAAATATTCTAAATGCATTAAAGTAACTCCCACTTCTCATTACTTAAGGGTCTGAAAATCAGACCTTCTTGAAACTACTGCAATAACTGAATATTGTATTCTTATTTTTGTTTTTTGTATTAGGGTTCAAAACACTGTAGGCTTACCTTCATTGCAGGGCATCCCATGTGGTACCTAGCAGTTATTTCAGGGGCTTTCTTGGGATCTAACTTAAGTAACTGTAGAGAGAGAACTAGCAACAGGGACAACAACGTTGCTTTCTGTTTCTCCAATCAAGGTATTAGGAGTTAAGATGGAGAACGCCTTTGCCACAGTGCTATCTTTAATCACGCTTATTACCATTTGCCACTGAATAATAGCATCGGTATTTAATTTTAACATACACAGCCTGTTTATTTTAGGAAGAGCACAGCACAAGGAGTCAGAATATTGTGATTTTACTGTGTGACCTCTAGAAAGGCACACAACTGCTCTGTTTCACTTTTTTAATTTTCCCCTTACTCATAGCGTTGTTAAAATAGTGTGTGAAATTTATCAAAGCATAAGACTTTTTAAAGTATATCATTATTTTTGTAGAGAAAGAAAAAATTGTAACAGTTCCAGTTAATTTAAGAAACTTTAGATAAAAACAATATCTTAATTCCAGTATACTCAGAGCTAACTATGAGAACATTTTGTCCTTTATCTTTTTATATCCTTACCCTTTTAAAAACTTCGTTATATGCTTTTAAATATTATAAAGTACCTTAATACGTGTTCATTGTAATATGTCAAAAAACTGATGTGTAAAAAAAATGATTATATCTTTTCCTACCTGCCATCAATCTTGTCTTAATAGTTACCACTCATCTCCTGTATCCTTCTCTGTTTTCAGGCATATATATGCATATATTACTTAGCTTTTTTTTAACATGTAAAAATACAGTCATACTATGTATGGTATTTTACAACTTGGACTTTTTATTTGTTCAGTGCTAGATGCAATATGTATACACACACGTGAAGCTGGTTTTTGCTGGAATTCTGTCAAAATCTGGAAGTTAATACTATTACTATATCATTTAAAGCATTTCTAGGGAAAATTTGAGGAGCACGTAATTTGTCTTTTATGGAGTCAGCACAGATTCAACTTTATTTTTACTTTGGTTACCTTGATTACAGTATGTGTAAGAATAGGCTTATGATAAATTTATTATAATCAATACAGGAAAGAATGGGTTACTTTATATAAGAAAATCCTATCTCATAATTGCAAAAAACAAATAAGCGAAGATGATTAGATTAGAAAAGGGGCTTGTGACATCTTTAAAATATTATTTAGATTTATTACAGACTAGTATTTTTAAATTTGAAATTTTGACCCAACTCTTTCTGTAACATTTTATTATAATCTTCAATTTTGGTAGTGACTATATCATATCATCGTATTATAGTATAATTTCTTTCCTTGTTGACTCTACCTTTTAAGTAAATATTCAGCTTTTTATTTATTTTTTGACTAAATTATTCAGCATCTGCTCTTGCAAATGTTGTGCGTTTATTGACTTGTTTGGGAATTGAAAGACAAGTAAATTGATACCATATTGTTTAGTAAGTTATCAAAGTTATTTTTTTTTTAATGGGGAGGGACTTCACTTATTTTTAAAATCTTTTGTGGCCAAGTGGAGTGAGTGGTAAAAGCAAGATGCGAAAGCTTGAGCTTCCAGTGGAATCATTGGTGACTTCTCTTCTATGATCTGGATAGGTAACAGGTTTGTTTGTTTTTTTTACTGAGCACATATGAATATTATTTTTAAGGAAAAATTACTTTTGTTTACTGCTTTTACTTGGAAAATAAGCAGAGTGCTGGAAGCACTGGGTTAGTGTTAAGTGAACTGATTCTGTGCACTGGCACTTAACCTTTGGAGGATTCAGTTTGTTCCTATATAAAGTAAAGGGTATAAACTGGATGATTTCTAAGGTTCTTGAATATGTGATTCTATGAAAGAAAAATCTTCGAATGCTTAGCATATAAAGGCTTATATTCTTAAGTCACTGCTTACCTAACTTAAATGAGATGTTTTAGAATATGCTTAGCTATATATTGCTATACTAGAGCATCATAAACAATGTGTATAAATAGATTTAATTCCAAACCACTTTTGGGTGTGGGACCGTATTAATATTACATTTACTCTAAATATTTTAGCAATATTTATACCAAGAATAATATTATGATATCAGCTCAGAAAATTAAAATTTAAAGGGCACTGCTAGTATAAAAACATTTAAGGGGATAGTTCTAGACAAACTTTCAAGCAATGTAATTTCATTTTTGCCCTTCCAATTTTAATCTTGAAGGAGGGGAGAACTAAAATATGTAGACTTTCTATATATTTTTCTTATGAATGTATTTTAATTTCTGAATTTTTAATTGTGAAATTTTATGTATATGAAACTAATATAACAGATCTCCACATACTCACCTACCAGATTTAACAGATGTGCTATTTTTTGTTTTAGTAGAATCTTTTAATTTAATAATAGTAAATAAGGGTTTTGATTAAAACATAGCTTTATATTTCCAAATGCCTAAATATTTCGGCTAAAATTTCTGAGAACCACAGACATTTTTATGTTTTAGCTAAAATGCTTTACATTTTACTCTGTAGTTAATGATGGTAATATTTGTTCCATAATTTGGATTGACTGTTGTTTGGTTGATATGTAAAAGAAGCTGGTATGAACATAAATTTGTAACTGTTATACACAGATTACCTAAATGATCAGATGCCGAACAGTAAATAAAATTGTAAAAAATAAAGTCTGTTATTTTCTTTGGCATCATCATAAAGAAATTGTGCTTGTAGATGTTGTTTCCAATTGCACCAGTGGTTTGTACGCAATTTCAGTAATTTGATCGTAGCTGATGAAAAGCTGACAAGATTTCCACAGTGCCCCATTAGATGAAAGCAGCATGAAACTACAGGTTAATCTGCAAACAGATTTTCATGCTTATTACTCTAATGATTCCATCATATTTGATGTAGCAGGCTGCAAGGCGTCTCTCGGCAGCAACAGTGTGCTACATTTTGATCTCTCTACTCATTAAATGATGTAGTAATTTGACTGACCTCTGACCAGGTGCATATCTGTTCATAATTGCATGTCATTCTGATGGGGAAATTACTTGAGAGAAACCAAAGTATTCATCCTGCTTTCTGAGTCAAAAAACTAACAAAAGAAATATTGCATTAATTTTCAAATGATGATATTACATTTAGTGCCTAGGACCCATATATCAAAATCTGAAAACTGCTCAGTTACTGTATGCGCTTAATCTTAATGGTATCTGTGGATGTCAAGGGCATGGAGGAAATTAAATCGGAAAGTGCAGATAGACCTAAGAAGACATTATCTCTTGATGATTGCAGTTTTGATAGGTATTTCAGTGAATTTCATTTTCGCAGAATGGTGGAAGATGAGTTAGCCACCAGATTTTCTCATTTTTCTTCTACATGATTTATGTGAGTTGAGTATAAAACTTTTTATGGGAGTGCAGTTACCGAAGATGAGAGGTAAATTAATGCACTGGGTTTCCATCTCAGCTTCATGCACAATTGTCAGAGCTGTACATATGTAATGGTCCCCATCATTATTCAGGGTTGTTTACATTCAAAATATGTAATGAAATCTGTTCAGAATAATGAGGGAAATAAAAGTTTAGAAAATTGTAAAGGTCATGAAGTTTGAGAAATGATGCACTGCTCCCAAAATAACATTTAGGCAATATAAATTACATTATTATGCACCAACTCTGCCTTATAGAGACATGAAGATAAAGTGCTTTCGACTAGTAAAATGCTGTTAGCGCTCTCTGAAGTATGAGAATGTGTAAAATGTTTCTGATTTCATATTCTGTTTTGTGCATATTGTGAAAAAATATATTTAAGGGATCTTGATGTGGTATCTGCTTTTATAAACCTCTAAGTTTTAAACATATTTTCAAGTCCTCAAATTAATTCATTCTGAAACTAATTTTTATAATTATTGGTCTGATTTTCTATTTTTTGAACTATGATAAAAATAATTCTAGCATTTAATAAACGTTTAATAAATGTTTTTAAGTGGAATCTTAGTGATGGAAATGACAGAAGGCCAACTAGAATTCAGCATAAATTTGTTTAAATATGTGAAATATTTAATGTATTCTATTTGTGCTCTCATACATGGATTAGAAGTACATTGCTAGATCTTATACTGGTACACTCTTATAAAAAACTACATGATTTAACTTCTTCCTAGTAAAATTTTGGTAATGCATAATTTTATTTATATATTGTCAAAACAGTTTTATCAAAATAGCTACCCGAATATGTGATACACAAAGAAAGCTTTAATCTAAAACATTAATATAATCTTTCTCCTACCAGTTTCTGGAAATGACCTCCTAGGTTTTATTTATCCACCAATACCATCATGTCAGTTGTAGTCAGGTTACTATTAAGTTCATGTAGATTATATCTTTGGTAAATATGTTAAAATATCATTAAAAATAAACTATTCTGTAGCATTTAAGATATTTAGCTACCATGATATTTTAAGGTAACCTTGAGAAAGTGTATTAAACCATAGGAGTAGATTTAAAAAACTTAGCATGTACTGCATACAAGTTAGATGGTAAGATACTATAATGGATGTATAATGGATTTATCTTTAAGGAATTTATAGTCTAATATAGTAGGTAAGATATGCTTATAAATACCTTACTTCACTTAAAAAGCACTTTATTTATATAAGATATTATATAAATACCTTACTTAATTTGAAAAGCACCTTACTTTTTTCTTAGAAAAATTTAGCATATTTTTCATAATTGACTAAATATTTAATCTTTCTCCCCTTGTAATCGTTGTCTTTGCTTTGCTATCTTATTGAGGTGAAGAGAGAGTCAATTGTAAATGGATTGCTTTCAACTTTTGGGGAAGGCTCTTTTAGAATTTAGCAAAATAAATGCTTTAAATGTAATCATCAAACTTTAATCACAATATTTCCTACATAACAATAAACCTAAGTTCAATTTTTTAAATTGGTTTATTCAAAAATTAATTATGTTATTTGGTTTTTCGCAGGAACGAATACAAATCTTGATTACATAGCTTTTGTGTGTTACCTTTAAGGGAGTTGTAATCAAGTACTAACTGTAAATAACAAATGTAACATGGTTAGCTGTATCCAGGTTTATTCTAAAGTTAAGTGTAGCATATTCTGAGAGTTTGATAAATTTAGAGAAGCAACTTTTAAAAATATGTTTTAAAATAACACAAATCAATACTAGTTGAGGAACACCTGATTTCCATTTAAAGAATGTTATATAAACATTAAATATAAAGTAATGTAGTTTAGAAAATTTTGAAGTATCTTAAAAGGTAATTGCTAAAATGTCTCATAAATTGTTATTCCCAGATACATGGTACTCATATGTCAAAATTTACAATGAAATTTCTGTAACATCACTTTTAATGCAATGCCAATATTACTTCTTTCTTCCCTCCTTCATTCACTCAATCACCTTTGTTACAATTTATAAAATGTTTATACTAATCTACTCTCCTCGTTTGTCAGTTTCTAAATAAATGTGTATTTCAAGAAGAAATTTTACAGTGACAAAAGTGGCACTTATTAAAATACACGTGCTTGCTTTTGTCAGTCATTGATATGTCATTGATATGTCTTTCTTATATCTCCAATCAAAATTAATCATTCCCTATACTGAACTACCATACCAACTTACAGTACCTCTCTAACAGTGTTAAGAATTAGAATACTTTATGCTCATTATTATATCTATATCTTACCTACCATATTAAACTATGAATTCCTTACGGTTAAACTCATGTTTGTACTGCTTATATAGTCCCTTAGCACCTGGTATATCGGTTGTAAAAAGTATATGCTAATTTTTTTCATTTATTGGATGAATATTTTAAATGCTCCAGAACAGCGTATTCTTCAAATAAATATTTATTATGAATAGATGTATAATCTAATTTTTAAATCCAGCCTTTAATATTTAGATTTAAAAATTAATATTTTTATTTCCTTTCATCTATTTCATTTTTTCCTTGAAATTCCAAAGAAACTGACACAGAGAAAATTGCTGGAAACCTTGGGTGTTTTTTAAAAAATACAGCCCTCCCTACTCCCCTTTTCCTCTACACACATACTGTAAGAGTACAAAGTTTCAGTTACCCAGGATGAACAAATTCTGGAAATCTAATGTACAGCATGGTGACTAGAGTTAATGATACTGTGTTTTATACTTGAAAATTGCTAAGAGAGTAGATCTTAAATACTCTTACCACAAAAAAGGTAAATATATAAGGTAATAGATATGTTAATTAGTTTGATTATGGCAATTATTTCACAGTGTATACATATATCAAAACATCACATTGTATACTTTAAATGTATATAATTTTTATGTGTCAGTTAGACCTCAGTAAACCAAAAAAAATAAAAATATGAGAGTGGGGAAATTTTTTTCTTTAAAAGATAGTTAAGCTTCAGAGAATTGACCAACCACTGTGATATTTTAAGGTAGCATTGAGAAAGAGTATTAATCCATAAGAGTAAATTAATATCCATGAGAGAAGGAAAAGCAAGTGGACATGGTAGAAACCCTGGCAAGACTCAGAAGGTGAAGGAGCACATTTCTTGGTTTTATAGAGTGTTATTTTGGTTGTTGTCCCTGAGAAAGCTGACACGAGCAGAGAGCACCTATTATACTCTAAAATAGCTTCTAACTTGACATGTGCAAAAGACTCATTCCTACTCTGGTGAGAAAAGCTGTCACTGAAAAAAGCTAAAGTACTTAATGAATAGGCAGCATCTCTTGTGGGTATTACCAAATGTGGCCTTAAGTAGTGTTTGATCCTTATAGAAAGTTATCAGCCAAGCAGAGCATGAGTAGATCTTGGAACTTCAGAAATATGTGTTTCTTCAACAAATATTTGTTGAGTGTCAGTTATTTATCAGGCTAGGTGATAGATATGGAATGATGAACCAGATCAGGAGAGATGACTCTGTCCTTATGAAGTGTAATTTAATAAATAGA
Source organism: Homo sapiens (assembly GCF_000001405.40). Taxonomy (NCBI): domain Eukaryota; kingdom Metazoa; phylum Chordata; class Mammalia; order Primates; family Hominidae; genus Homo; species Homo sapiens. Next base: position 158,312,477 of record NC_000003.12, read on the forward strand.
AGAAGCAGGTGCCAAATAAATATATAACAAGCATATTGTGCTGTAATTCTTGTAAATTATAAGTTTTTAGAAGGAAAAGTGCAGAGTGCTATGAAAGAATAAAGATTGGATGGATAACAGCAGGACAGCAACTTACTTTATGTAATAGCAATTAAAAGAATAATCAGTAAGAAATTATCAGTGGCATTTCAAAAGGACCTTAGAAATATCTTATCTTGAGTGTCAGCCTTGGTTCTCATCCCTAATCTCCCACATACACTGAAATACCATATCTTGCTAACACTTATCCCCTAAATATTTCTCAAAACCATGTCTTCCTCTCCACCCTTTATTGCCACTGCTCTGGTTAAAGCTTTAGTGCTTGCTGCCTGGACTACCCACAACAGCCACTGTGTTTGATTCCTACCTCCAGTCTTCATGAAGGATGAAGTCCAAATTTCTTAAAAGATAGCATACCTTCTGAGTGATTTAGAGCTCTCCTAACAGAGATATAAACCTAACAGGTTTATATCTTGACATGTTCTGAGTCATACTTTCCACATTATGCTTTTATGCTATTTCTTATATTCTAGTCCTTGCTGTTGCTTTTCCCTTTGTTCAAAATATGGTATACCAACAACCTCCCCCCTCCCCTCACCCCTTGGTTACTAGCTCATGCATCATCTCCTTTGTAAAAAGCTTTCACTGATCCATCCCATCCCCAGGATGAGCCCCCGTACTTCTCTGTGACCATCTCCATTACTAATATTACTTAACCATATTATTGTGTAATTACTTGAGACCAGGAAATATCTTATTCATTTTTATATCTGTAGTGCCTAGTGATAGTAGGCACTCAATAAATGTTTTTAGGTAAATAAGTAAATTGGTTGCCTTAAATTGGCCTCTCTTATTCAGTAACTATTAAGCATAGATTTTTAAATATTTATTATGTTTTAATATGTGTCTCTCATCATGAAAAATTCAGATTTGAGCAGATATTTAGTCTTAATAATTTGTGCCTGTAATGAGACCTTTATGTGGTCTTTGCTACCTAGTGAGAGCAGTGCCATCTATTGGCTGTAATCCAAAGTGTATCCACTGTTATATCCAGAATTGAGCATAGAGCATTAATGAAACATTTTAAGGAAGGCACACGTATGAAAATTTTTTCATAAATTTACACAAAAACTATCTCATGCATGGCAAAAATAAATGAAGTAATTTAATCAAATATGCCAACAAAGGAGAACGATGTTGTGTCTTGACACAGTAACAGAAAATGTGTATCATCAGCATTTGCTTTTATTATTTATTTATATCCCAGCTCATTTCTAAAGAAATTATTATGGCTGTATTATTCGATAGAAAAAGACTAAGCCAAAATGCAAATGAATATTCACTCCTATCCTTCTTTAAAAACTAATTAGTACTTTGTGATTTAGATAGCATTTTATTTCCAAAAACATTTAAAGTTTTTACAGAACCATAAAGGTGAGACAAAAAAGATCTCTAAACACAAAATATCTCTAAACCATGAAAATTGTCTTTTAATAGGAATCCACACCTGGATAAGAAAGGTAGCAGTCCTGTTTGTTACGAGTAACTTGTGCCACATTATTGAAAATTGTTGTTGTTGTTGTTGTTGTTGTTAGACGGAATCTCACTCTTGTTACCCAGGCTGGAGTGCAGTGGCACGATCTCAGCTCACCGCAATCTCTGCCTCCCTGATTCAAGCTATTCTCCTGCCTCAACCTCCTGAGTAGCTGAGATTACAGGTGCCTGCCACCACGCCTGGCTAATTTCTGTACTTTTTTAGTAGAGACAGGGTTTCGCCATGTTGGCCAGGCTGGTCTCGAACTCCTGACCTCAGGTGATCCACCCACCTCGGCCTCCCAGAGTGCTGGGATTACAGGTGTGAGTCACTGTGCCCAACCGAAAAAAAATTCTTTTTTTTTTTTTTACTTCATTCACTGATACTGTTTCTTCTGCAACAGTATTTTCACATGTTAAATGAAAATATGCTAAACAGTTAAATTTAATAAGCAGAAATAAAGCTATGCTGGATTTAGCAGGTGTCAAGTAGTCCTCTGACTAGCAATTGTTATCCTGTCAGCATGTATAGTTTAGTGCTACAGTGCTTTCTAGATAGACAAAGAAAATGTGTCATGAGGGTAGGCCACCAAAATATTAGGAAACCTTGCTGTATTGTCAAACTGCCACTGCTCTAAGGAGTTTCAGAAATAGTGTGTTTTCCGGTATGGTTAAAATAAACATAGTTTAAGATATACAGGATGGTAACAATATAATTTAAAAAATGTAGTGTCTTATATTTTAGTCATATATGAGTAAAGTTCGAGACCAGCCTGGTGAAACCAATGGTGAAACCAAAATGGTGAAACCCCGTCTCTACTAAAAATACAAAAATCAGCCGAGCGTGGTGGCAAATGCTTGTAATCCCAGCTATAGAGGAGGCTGAGGCAGGAGAATTGTTTGAACCTGGGAGGCAGAGGTTGCCGTGAGCCAAGATTGTGCCACTGCAATCCAGCCTGGGCAACAGAGTGAGACTTTGTCTCAAAAAAAAAAAAAATTATGTTTGCTCCTCATTGCCTTTTAGACTCTGATACTGTGTCAAAATGTTACTTAATGTGCATATATGAAACCAAATGTAAACTCTTTACTGTTGTGCTTACAACTGTAAACCCATAATACTAATAATGAAGGCACTTTGAATGGATGGTTACATGGATGGATGGTTGGAGTACATGCACATATATGCACACACAGACACTCATCTAGTCTTTATAGCAACAACATTATGAGATAGGCTTAATAAAACCTTGTAGTAACACACAGGAGGAGAAGGGAAATTCAGGTAAAAAATCCAAGAAGTATGGCTCCAAAGCTCATACTCCTAATTTTTTGGATCTCACTTAAAAAATTATGGTGGAATTTTTGGTGCTACTCTTATCTCCATTTTACAGATAAGGAAACTAAGAAAGAGATAGGCTATATGATTTGTTCAAGATCCCACAGCTTATAGATGTCAGCTGTGCAACTCAAACCTAGACCAAGCAGGCTCCAGAGCCCATGATTTTAGTATACTAAATTATTTTTCAAACAAATCTAGCTAGATTTACAAATTAAAATTTCAAAATAAATGAAAATAGGCCTTAAGAAATATAATTTAAACAATCTTAATTAAATGAAGGAGTTGTTTTATTTATATTGAATTTCCAAAATTTTGATTTATTACTAGACAGATTTACTTGCTTGTTTTATGTTTTATATGTTGCCTAAATGATTTGGAGATTTATGTCATGGTAATTATCACTTTAATTTTGAAAATATTGATAATAAGCTTATTTTAGTTACTGAGCCATTATTTTGATGATTTAGTTACATTAATAATGCAACCGAAAATGCTGAAAATAGGCCAGGCATGGTGGCTCACGCCTGCAATCCCAGTGCTTTGGGAGGCTGAGGTGGGTGGATCTCTTGAGCCCAGGGGTTTGAGACCAGCCTGGCCAACATGGTGAAACCCCGTCTCCACTAAAAATAAAAAAATTAGCTGGGCGTGGTGGCATGCACCTGTAATCCCAGCTACTGGGGAGGCTGAGGCACGAGAATCACTTGAACCCAGGAGGTGGAGGTTGCAGTGAGCCAAGATGGTGCCACAGCACGCCAGCCTGGACAACAGAGCGAGACTCGGTCTCAAAAAAAAAAAAAAGCTGATAATAAAAAGAAAGTATTTAACAAACAATTCTTAGACAGTTTACCTTTATGCTCACGGCTGTTGCAGTCATTGCAAGTTGGCGTATGCAAAGACCAGCAGAATGTCAGCTTAAAATACCAATATGGAAAGAGTTAGTGTAGCTCTGCTTTTTTGAGTCTGTCTTATGTGTACTTCCCTACTCTGTTTGCTGTGATATGCCTCATTTTTCCACCTGCTTTTTCTAATCAGTCCACTGCAGAATCTCTCATTTTTTTTTTTTTTTTTTTTTTTTTTGAGACGGAGTCTCGCTGTCGCCCAGGCTGGAGTGCAGTGGCGCGATCTCGGCTCACTGCAGGCTCCGCCCCCGGGGTTCACGCCATTCTCCTGCCTCAGCCTCCCGAGTAGCTGGGACTACAGGCGCCCGCCACCTCGCCCAGCTAATTTTTTGTATTTTTAGTAGAGACGGGGTTTCACTGTGTTAGCCAGGATGGTCTCGATCTCCTGACCTTGTGATCCGCCCGCCTCGGCCTCCCAAAGTGCTGGGATTACAGGCGTGAGCCAACGCGCCCGGCAGAATCTCTCATTTTTGTACAAATGTGCTATGACATTGTTTGGCCTGCTCTTGGTGCAAACAAAGCATTGACATATAAGCCCAGTTTTTTCCTTAATTCTGGCCCTAAATCAAATAGTGCTTAATTTACCTTAGCAAAAATAACAGAGTTTCAATTTACTATGTAACTTGAGAAATTAAAGATTTATTATTTAGTGCAAATACCTTAGTCACAAATTTTGGCTACAGTAAAAATCACTTTCTGCCAGAATATTGAACATGAGTACAGCAGCAGTAGATGCAAGGCTATTGCCATGACATTTGGACAGGCCTCCTCAGCAGCAGTTAGGCATTGCTTATGAATACATTAAAAGCAAACCCTAGCATTTGAGGAGAGCACATGACACCAAGCCTAACTATGAACACAATTATGGCACTGAAATTGCACTGAATTGCTTGATAATGAGTGGGGTGCTCATATGCTTATGTTAGTACTTAGGTATTTTGTTTGTTTGTTTTTTATTTTGAGACAGGGTCTTACTCTGTCCTCCAGGCTGGAGTATAGTGGCGTGATCTCGGCTCACTGCAAACTCTGCCTTGTGGGCTCAAGCGATCCTCCTACCTCAGCCTCCTGAGTAGCTGGGACCACAAGTGCATGTCACCACGCCCAGCTAATTTTTGTATTTTTTTGTAGATTCAGGGTTTCACCATGTTGCCCAGCATGATCTCGAACTCCTGAGCTCAAGTGATCCACCCGCCTTGGCCTCCCAAAGTGCTGGTATTACAGGCATGAGCCACTGTGCCTGGCCAGTATTTAATTTTCAGAGTATGATGAGAAACATTTTATTTTATTTGTGAGACAGAGTCTCACTCTGTCACCCATGCAGGAGTTCAGTGGTGTGATGTTGGCTCACTGCAACCTCCAGCCCCTGGGCTCAAGCAGTCCTCCCACCTCAGCCTCCCAAGTAGGTGAGACCAGAGGCATATGCCACCATGGCTGGCTAATTTTTTGTATTTTAAGTAGAGACAGGGTCTCACCATGTTGCCCAGGCTGGTCTTAAATTCCTGAGCTCAAGCAGTCCACCCATCTTGGGCTCCCAAAGTGCTGGGATTACAGGCATGAGCCACCGTGCCTGGCCTAAAAAACATATTTTAAAAATTCACACAGAACACACGAATTGGATCCCCCTAGAGCAAACTTGTCCAGCTCACAGCCTGTGGCCCACATGCAGCCCAGAACAGCTTTAAATGTGGCCCAACACTAACTCATAAACTTTCTTAAAACATTATGAAGTTTTGTGTGTGCGTGTGTGTGTGTGTGTGTGTGTTTGTTTTTGGCGATTTTTAAAATAGCTCATCAGCTATTGTTAGTGTTAGTTTATTTTATGTGTGGCCCAAGGCAATTCTTCTTCCAGTGTGGCCCAGGGAAGCCAAAAAATTGACAACCCCTGCCCTGGAGCATATCCAGGGGCTCCCAGGCTTCATGGACTCCAGGTAGAAAGATGTTCTCCATTAAAAGTTGTGATAGAGCCATTAATTCACCCACATGTTACCATATGACAGTCTCCTAGCAATACACAGGAACACAGGCAACATTAGGGTATTATGGCGTTCAGGACCATCCTGGGCAATATGGTGAAACCCTGTCTCTACCAAAATATCTTTTTATTCTAGCCTTTTCCCTACTGTTTAGTTTGAACCATTCTAAAAGACAGTTAAAATAGAACTAAACTTCTTTGTTGGAAAAAGTGCTTTACTGGTTTTTGCCCTTATAGTTAAGGTGGATGTCAGTGTCCCCCAAGTTCTGTAGCAGTTTTCAAGAGGATTGCCTCATATGTGTTCACAAACACAGGCCTTAGTAGTTGGGGGGAAAAAGAAAAAAGGACCACATCACCCCCTCTGCTTTTACCATCCTCTGTCCCATAACACTGTTGATCCCACTAGATGCTGCTGTATGTGTAAAGTATTTCCCTATTTGTTAGGCCACATAGACTGATCTTCCTGCATGGACTTATGTCAGAACTTGGGAAGGGCACCTCTCTCCCTGTTTACATTACACATTCTGTTAAGGAGAGAGGAGCTACCTAAACATGAATACTTCATACTACTGAGTATCTTTTTAAGAAGATTATAGTGAAAGTAACTTTTGAGTTTTTATTTCAACCCTTCTCTTTTCCTAGGACACATAAATAAGATTTGAAGTGGAGGAGGGCCTGGGGCGGGAGCCTGGATCAGAGAGAAATTGGAGTGACAGATATGTAGTCTAACCTTGGAAATAAAAAAAAATTGACAACTGAAACATTGTCATGAGGTTCGACATATCTACTTTAACTTAGTCTTTCCTGAAGAATGACTTCTCTTCCAGGACACTTCTCATTCCAACACTAGATGTCTGATATGGTTTGGCTCCACATCCCCACCCAAATCTCATCTCGAATTGTAATCCCCGTGTGTCAAGGGAGGGACCTGGTGAGAGGTGATTGGATCATGGGGGTGGTTTCCCCCATGCTGTTCTGGTGATAATCGTGAGTGAGTTATCATGAAATCGGATAGTTTAAGAGTGGCACTTCCCCACTCTCACTCTCTCCCCTGCCACCACGTAAGATGTGCCTTGCTTTCCTTTCACCTTTTGCTATGATTGTAAGTTTCCTGAGGCCTCCCCAGCCATGCGGAACTGTGAGTCAATTAAACCTCTTTTCTTTATAAATTACCCAGTCTTGGGTAATTCTTTATAGCAGTGTGAAAATGGACTAATACAATGTCTAGTGGACTTGTTCCAAGGTTGACCAAGCAAGCCCTCAAATATGTGAATCTAACACAATTTAAGCTCAGTGTAGGCTGTTTAGCTACATTTATGTGTTGGTGAGTAGAATATTGAGTGGACTAAATGTGGACTAAACCATCGCATTTCATGTTATTCTGTCTCAGGATTTTTTCCCTCTACAATTAGATCTTATATTGTTGCATAATTATTATCAACAGTTCTAAATTTTGAGTGAATTTTATATTTAAAATGGCTTTATTAATAAGGTACACTACTAGAATGCATATATGTACAGCTTTAAATTTCTCTTCCCGTATGATTGGAACAGGAAGTGAATTCCTGGTTTTTTAAGGAAAAGTATCTCTATTCTATGAATTACCTGATCAGACAACCTTATCTGAATATCATGTTAAAGTACCTTTTATACTTTTAACCCATGATCCTCATATGTTACAAGTTTATAGTTTCAAAAGACTACTGGTATAGCAGGAATTTTAACACTTGTTAATCAACTATAGGAGGAGATTTACTTTTGATTGGAATTGATGTAAAATAGCATTGTTGTTAGAAATAATTATTTCTTTCCTCTTGTTTGGAAAGGAAACCAACACTAAGATTGTTGAAGTTTACATAATGTCCCTTGATTACAATCACTCAGGAGCCTAAGAGGTATTGCTCACTCAAGGAATAAGACTTATCTTAGGAAATAATGTGAATGAGAAGTTACTCTTACTTTGACCAGTGAGGAGAAAAAGGATATCAGGGACGGAGATCTGGAATACTTACACACTAGTGATCCATACACAAATTTTCTAATATAACCAGTAACTTATTGTCTAAGTGATGTAGGCACTTTCTTATCTGAATACTTGTTACATGTAATATGTGTTTGTTCTGTTATATGTAATATGTGTTTGTTATATGTAATTTGACATTGCCTATTTTATTTTATCTACACATTGTAGGAAAAATGTAATATTGTTAAAAATTATTAATAAACTATTCAACTAACCATTTAGAATCTTCTGTGTTTCAAGTACAACTTTGGATGCTAGTGATACCGAGAGATTATAAATTATCTTGGCCTCAGGACTTTACTGCTATTCACAACAATAATTCCCAACCTGGCTGATCATCAGGACCACATGAGAAATCTTGTGAAAATTATAAATTCATAGATCCTAAAATAAAAGCAACAATTACATTGCTTAGTACCTAACTTCAAGAGTAGGGGACTTCCAGCTCATACAATCATCTTGCTGTTTTCTGCCTTCATAGCCCAGAGAATGTTCTCCTTATTCTAGCCCTTCCCGTCACCCAGATCTATCCCTCTGAATAAGAATAAAGGACAATTAAAGAGTTATGAACTAACTTAAATTAGTTAATTATCATATCAAAAGACAATAATGAGGTAAGGATGCATCAGAATCCATAGTTCAAATGAATGGGATTTGGCAAGCTACTTTAGAACACTGGTTCTTAATTTTTTTGGGCCACACATACCTTTGAGAATCTGATAAAAACCGGGATTCTCTGTACAGGAAAATATAAGTACTTTTTTTTAAAGAATTTCTTATACTTCCTGACTCCCATGCATGATACCCATATTAAAAACATCTTTAGTATCTCCCAAGCCCTGTATTCACCTTCCTCTTCATCACTTCTCCTTCTTCTGTGTCCATGCCTCACCCTCAACCTCTCTTTCCTTCTTTATGTTTAGGTAACCTCTTATTTCTCTATGCATGTTTTTGTTATTCTCTCTCTTCCTTCTTCTTCTTTTTCTTCTTCCTCTTCCTCTTCCTCCTCCTCCTCCTCTTCTTCCTCTTCTTCCTCTTCTTCTTCTTTGCCAGAATCTCTTCTCTCTCTTATCTTTTTTCTCTTCTTAACTAACTAGAATATGGATTTGATGTATATTCTAAAACAGTTATGGTATATTTTGCGTGGTTTTAATTTTATTGGAATATTTTATTTAAAACATTGTAATCACATATGCAATCTACAAAGAACAAAAAAAGGAAAAAGTTAATTTTAATGCTACCATTTTGATATGCTTTACCATGTTGGTATATTTTTGTGTTTTTTTTTTTTTTTAAACACACTATGTATTTATATGTATTATATATGAGTGATAGTCTGACTGTATTAAGTTGGTGCAAAAGTAATTGTGGTATTTGCCTTTAAAAGTAATGCCAAAAACTGCAATTACTTTTGCACCAACCTAACAGAAGTTATCAAGGACATTGTAGCAAATTTTGTTTTTTAGGAGTTGCTCTAGGAATTATACTATGCATCTTTAATGTATCATAATGTACTTATTTCTAATAAAATGTAGGAGCTTTGTACCAGTTTACCTCTGTGCTCCTCTCCTTTGTACTATTGCAATCACGAATATCACATTTATATATATTATAAACTTAATGCAATATTAGTTTTTGCTTTTATCAAACATATGTCTTTTAAAGAAATTAAGAGAAGAAACTTTTAACACCTACACACACACACACACACACACACACACACACAGTCTTTTATATGTATTCACATATTTACTAATCACAGTGCTCTTCATGCCTTCCTGTGGTTCCAAGTTACCATGTGGTATCATTTCCTTTTGGCCTGAAGTACTTACTTCAGTATTTCTTGCTAGGGCAGGTCCACGAGCAATGAACTGATTTCTTGATTTTTTGTTTCTATGTGAATGTTTTTATTTCGTGTTTATTTTTGTTGGATATAGAATTGTTGCTTGAAGGATATTCATCCCCCACCTTCCACCCCTCCCAGCACATTAAATTTTGGTAGAGATGGGATCTTACTATCATCCTGGCTGATCTTGAACTCCTGGCCTCAAGCAATCCTCCTGCCTTGGCCTCCCAAAGGGCTGGGATTACAGGTGTGAGCCACTGCCTGTCCCCCCAGCCCACCGCAAACTAAATGTACCATTCCAGTTGCCATCTGGTCTGCATTATTTCTGTTGAGAATTCAACCATTTATCTTTTACTTGTATGTGTCATGATGTTTTTCCCTTGCTGCTCTTAAGATTTTCTCTTTGCCTTTGGCTACTAGGAATTTGACTACAATGCATGTAAGTGTGAGTCCTTTTGCACCTGTCCTCTTGGAGTTCATTGGTCTTCAGTTATTTGTAAATTAAACTTTTTTGCCAGATTTGATATTTTTGGCCATTACTTCCTCAAGTATTTTTTTCTGCCCCTTCTCACTTCCTCTCTCTTTTCTCCTTCTAGGACTTCAATTACATGTATGTTAGGATATTTGATGTTGTCCCACAGATAGCTAAGGCTCTGTTCATTTTCCTTCAATGTTTTTTTTCTCTTTGTTTTCTGCTTTGGATAATTGTTTTATCAATCTGTTTTTATACTCACTAATTCTTTCTTCTGCCATCTCAGATCTGTTAATGAGCTCATCTAGTGAGTTTTGTTTTGTTTAATTCTTTGATCATATTTATAATAGCTTCTTTGAAGTCTTTGTCTGCTAAAACAGACATCTGGGTTAATTTGGAGTTTCTATTGACTACCCTTCTTCCTTGAGCAGTGAGATCACATTTCCACACTTCCTTTTTTTTTCTAATGTCTAGTAATTTTTGGTTGAAAATTGGAACTTGTAGGTAATATGTTATTGTGACTCTGGGCTTAATTTACCAATTTTGTTCTTCTGAGTATTTTAGGGTTTTTGCAGTTATCTTTTCTAGACTCAAACTGTGAAATTTGGTACCTCTGCAGTGTTTATCTGCTGATGTTTCAGCTTGGATTTTGAGTGTTTATTGATATTGTCTGCTTTTTTAGCATGGCTCCTTAGGGGTTTCCTCTGTGTCTGTGTAGTTTAATGGTTAGTAAATGATTTGGGCAGAGGTCACGGTCGAATACGTCAGGGCAGGATCTTTGTGAATTAGGAATACATTCAAAGGTGGAGCAAATTCACAATTCTCCCGGACTTCCAATCTTCATCTGGTTCTTCAAGATCTTCCGCACACATGTGTAATTTAGTAGAAGAAAGTCACAAGTGTGTGAAGAGTTTTTAATCTGCTATGGCTCTCTCACTTCTAAAATCTTACCATTAAATGTCTACTTGTTCTGCCACTACCCTGAACCAAGTCTACCACCTCTGGTGCTGAAGCAGTAGGTTTTTGCCATTCAAGCTGTACAGGAAGTAACATCCCCAAGCAAGAAGATCAAAACTTGCTGTTCTTACTAGATAAAGTATTAAATAGCACTTTGCCTCAGGAATATATTTCTTAGGTTTTTGTCTGCCTTTGGTTATTTCCTAATGCTCTGAAGTGATTGTTTTTAGTCATTTTTGCCCATATGTATAGTTGTTTTTTATAGAGAATGGGTCTCCTTATCTCCTCTTGTTACCTCTTACTGGAAATAAGATGCATCATTGCTAACATTCAGAACAGTTCCTTCACATCTTTATTCTGTGCATCCGTACTATAGTACACATTATATATACACAGAGAGAGACAGAGAATCAACAGTATGATCTAAATTTGTATCCTGCATTTCACTTAGCAGTATAGTATTGATATTTTCTTTTGGTAAAAATTTTCATATAATTTTTGCTAAAATATTTTATTTTTTTGGAAAAGATTTTGATACAGCTACATTATACTTCAGTATATCAATATAGCAAAATTCAATTATTTCTCTATTGTTAGGAACTTACTGGTATATGGCTTTCTATCATTCTTCAATCATTTGCTCTTTTAGATATCAACATGGTGAGCATCATTGTGCAAATTTTTTTTTTATTATACTTTAAGTTCTAGGGTACATGTGCACAACGTGCAGGTTTGTTACATATGTATACATGTGCCATGTTGGTGTGCTGCACCCATTAACTCGTCATTTACATTAGCTATATCTCCTAATGCTTTCCCTCTGCCCTCCCCTCACCCCACGACAGGCCCCGGTGTGTGATGTTCCCCTTCCTGTGTCCAAGTGTTCTCATTGTTCAATTCCCACCTATGAGTGAGAACATGAGGTGTTTGGTTTTTTGTTCTTGAGATAGTTTGCTGAGAATGATGGTCTCCAGCTTCATCCATGTCCCTACAAAGGACATGAACTCTTCCTTTCTTATGGCTGCATAGTATTCCATGGTGTATATGTGCCACATTTTCTTAATCCAGTCTATCATTGATGGACATTTGGGTTGGTTCCAAGTCTTTGCTACTGTGAATAGTGCCGCAATAAACATACGTGTGCATGTGTCTTTATAGCAGCATGATTTATAATCCTTTGGGTATATACCCAGTAATGAGATGGCTAGGTCAAATGGTATTTCTAGTTCTAGATCCTTGAGGAATCGCCACACTGTCTTCCACAATGTTGAAGTAGTTTACAGTCCCATCAACAGTGTAAAAGTGTTCCTATTTCTCCACATCCTCTCCAGCACCTGCTGTTTCCTGACTTTTTAATGATCGCCATTGTAACTGGCCTGAGATGGTATCTCATTGTGGTTTTGATTTGCATTTCTCTGATGGCCAGTGATGATGAGCATTGTTTCATGTGTCTGTTGGCTGCATAAATGTCTTCTTTTGAGAAGTGTCTGTTCATATCCTTTGCCCACTTGTTGATGGGGTTGTTTTTTTCTTGTAACTTTGTTTGAGTTCTTTGTAGATTCTGGATATTAGCCCTTTGTCAGATGAGTAGATTGGAAAAATTTTCTCCCATTCTGTAGGTTGCCTGTTCACTTCGATGGTAGTTTCTTTTGCTGTGTAGAAGCTCTTTAGTTTAATTAGATCCCATTTGTCAATTTTGGCTTCTGTTGCCATTGCTTTTGGTGTTTCAGACATGAAGTACTTGCCCATGCCTAAGTCCTGAATAGTATTGCCTAGGTTTTCTTCTAGGGTTTTTATGGTTTTAGGTCTAAGATTTAAGTCTTTAATCCATCTTGAATTAATTTTTGTATATGGTGTAAGGAAGTGATCCAGTTTCAGCTTTCTACATATGGCTAGCCAGTTTTCCCAGAACCATTTATTAAATAGGGAATCCTTTCCTCATTGCTTGTTTTTGTCAGGTTTGTCAAAGATCAGATGGTTGTAGATGTATGGTATTATTTCTGAGGGCTCTATTCTGTTCCATTGATCTATATCTCTGTTTTGGTACCACTACCATGCTGTTTTGGTTACTGTAGCCTTGTAGTATTGTTTGAAGTCAGGTAGCATGATGCCTCCAGCTTTATTCTTTTGGCTTAGGATTGTCTTGGCAATGCGGGCTCTTTTTTGGTTCCATATGAACTTTAAAGTAGTGTTCTCCAATTCTGTGAAGAAAGTCATTGGTAGCTTGATGGGGATAGCACTGAATCTATAAATTACCTTGGGCAGTATGGCCATTTTCACAATATTGATTCTTCCTATCCATGAGCATGGAATGTTCTTCCATTTGTTTGTATCCTCTTTTATTTCCTTGAGCAGTGGATTGTAGTTCTCCTTGAAGAGATCCTTCACATCCCTTGTAAGTTGGATTCCTAGGTATTTTATTCTCTTTGAAGCAATAGTGAATAGCAGTTCACTCATGATTTGGCTCTCTGTTTGTCTGTTATTGGTGTATAAGAATGCTTGTGATTTTTGTACATTGATTTTGTATCCTGAGACTTTGCTGAAGTTGCTTATCAGCTTAAGGAGATTTTGGGCTGAGACGATGGGGTTTTCTAGATATACAATCATGTCATCTGCAAACAGGGACAATTTGACTTCCTCTTTTCCTAACTGAATACCCTTTATTCCTTTCTCCTGCCTGATTGCCCTGGCCAGAACTTCCAACACTATGTTGAATAGGAGTGGTGAGAGAGGACATCCATGTCTTGTGCCGGTTTTCAAAGGGAATGCTTCCAGTTTTTGCCCATTCAGTATGATATTGGCTGTGGGTTTGTCATAAATAGCTCTTATTATTTTGAGATATGTTCCATCAATACCTGACTTATTGAGAGTTTTTAGCATGAGGCATTGTTGAATTTTGTTGAAGGCCTTTTCTGCATCTATTGAGATAATCATGTGGTTTTTGTCTTTGGTTCTGTGTATATGCTGGATTACATTTATTGATTTGTGTATGTTGAACCAGCCTTGCATCGTAGGGATGAAGCCAACTAGATCATGGTGGATAAGCTCTTTGATGTGCTGCTGGATTTGGTTTGCCAGTATTTTATTGAGGATTGTTGCATCAGTGTTCATCAGGGATAATGGTTTAAATTCTCTTTTTTTGTTGTGTCTCTGCCAGGCTTTGGTATCAGGATGATGCTGGCCTCATAAAATGAGTTAGGGAGGATTCCCTCTTTTTCTATTGATTGGAATAGTTTCAGAAGGAATGGTACCAGCTCCTCCTTGTACCTCTGGTACAATTCGGCTGTGAATCCCTCTGGTCCTATACTTTTTTTGGTTGGTAGGCTATTAATTATTGCCTCAATTTCAGAGCCTGTTATTGGTCTATTCAGGGATTCAAGTTCTTACTGGTTTAGTCTTGGGAGGGTGTATGTGTCCAGAAATTTATCCATTTGTTCTAGATTTTCTAGTTTATTTGCATAGAGGTGTTTATAGTATTCTCTGATGGTAGTTTGTATTTCTGTGGGATCGGTGGTATATACCCAGTAATGGGATATATCATTTTTTATTGCCTCTATTTGATTCTTCTCTCTTCTTTATTAGTCTTGCTAGCGGTCTATCAATTTTGTTGATCGTTTCAAAAAACCAGCTCCTGGATTCATTGATTTTTTGAAGGGTTTTTTGTGTCTCTATCTCCTTCAGTTCTTCTCTGATCTTGGTTATTTCTTGCTTTCTGCTAGGTTTTGAATGTTTGCTCTTGCTTCTCTAGTTCTTTTAATTGTGATGTTAGGGTGTCAATTTTAGATCTTTCCTGCTGTCTCTTGTGGGCATTTAGTGCTATAAATTCCCCTCTACACACTGCTTTGAATGCATCCCAGAGATTCTGGTATGTTGTGTCTTTGTTCTCATTGGTTTCAAAGAACATCTTTATTTCTGCCTTCATTTCATTATGTATCGAGTAGTCATTCAGGAGCAGGTTGTTCAGTTTCCATGTAGTTGAGCAGTTTTGAGTGAGTTTCTTAATCCTGAGTTCTAGTTTGATTGCACTGTGGTCTGAGAGACAGTTTGTTATAATTTCTGTTCTTTTACATTTGCTGAGGAGTGCTTTACTTCCAACTATGTGGTCAATTTTGGAATAGGTGTGGTGTGGTGCTGAAAAGAATGTATATTCTGTTGATTTGGGGTGGAGAGTTCTGTAGATGTCTATTAGGTCTGCTTGGTGAAGAGCTGAGTTCAATTCCTGGATATCCTTGTTAACTTTCTGTCTTGTTGATCTGTCTAATGTTGACAGTGGGGTGTTAAAGTCTCCCATTATTATTGTGTGGGAGTCTAAGTCTCTTTGTAGGTCTCTAAGGACTTGCTTTATGAATGTGGGTGCTCCTGTATTGGGTGCATACATATTTAGGATAGTTAGCTCTTCTTGTTGAATTGATCCCTTTACCATTATGTAATGGCCTTCTTTGTCTCGTTTGATGTTTTTTGGTTTAAAGTCTGTTTTATCAGAGACTAGGATTGCAACCCCTGCCTTTTTTTGTTTTCCATTTGCTTGGTAGATCTTCCTTCATCCCTTTATTTTGAGCCTATGTGTGTCTCTGCACATGAGATGGGTTTCCTGAATACAGCACACTGATGGGTCTTGACTCTTTATCCAATTTGCCAGTCTGTGTCTTTTAATTGGAGCATTTAGCCCATTTATATTTAAGGTTAATATTGTTATGTGTGAATTTGATCCTGTCATTATGATGTTAGCTGCTTATTTTGCTGATTAGTTGATGCAGTTTCTTCCTAGCATCGATGGTCTTTACAATTTGGCATGTTTTTGCAGTGGCTGGTACCGGTAGTTTCTTTCCATGTTTAGTGCTTCCTTCAGGAGCTCTTGTAGGGCAGGCCTGGTGGTGACAAAAATCTCTCAGCATTTGCTTGTCTGTAGAGGATTGTATTTCTCCTTCACTTATGAAGCTTATTTTGGCTGGATATGAAATCCTGGGTTGAAAATTCTTTTCTTAAGAATGTTGTATATTGGCCCCCACTCTCTTCTGGCTTGTAGAGTTTCTGCCGAGAGATCAGCTGTTAGTCTGATGGGCTTCCCTTTGTGGGTAACCCAACCTTTCTCTCTGGCTGCCCTTAACATTTTTTCCTTCATTTCAACTTTGGTGAATCTGACAATTATGCACCTTGGAGGAGTATGCTCTTCTCGAGGAGTATCTTTGTGGCGCTCTCTGTATTTCCTGAATTTGAATGTTGGCCTGCCTTGCTAGGGTGGGAAAGTTCTCCTGGATAATATCCTGAAGAGTGTTTTCCAGCTTGGTTCCATTCTCCCCATCACTTTCAGGTACACCAATCAGACGTAGATTTTGTCTTTTCACATAGTCCCATATTTCTTGGAGGCTTTGTTCATTTCTTTTTGCTCTTTTTTCTCTAAGCTTCTCTTCTCACTTCATTTCATTCATTTGATTTTCCATCCCTGATACCCTTTCTTCCAGTTGATCAAATCAGCTACTGAAGGTTGTGCATTTGTCACATAGTTCTTGTGCCATGGTTTTCAGCTCCATCAGGTCATTTAAGGACTTCTCTACTCTGGTTATTCTGGTTAGCCATTCATCTAATCTTTTTTCATGGTTTTTATCTTCTTTGCATTGGGATCGAACTTCCTCCTTTAGCTCTGAGAAGTTTGATCGTCTGAAACTTTCTTCTCTCAACTCGTCAAAGTCATTCTGCATCCAGCTTTGTTCCATTACTTGCGAGGAGCTACGTTCCTTTGGAGGGGGAGAGGTGCTCTGATTTTTAGAATTTTCTGCTTTTCTGCTCTGTTTTTTCTCCATCTTTGTGGTTTTATCTACCTTTGGTTTTTCATGATGGTGACATACAGTTGGGGTCTTGGTGTGGATGTCCTTTCTGTTTGTTAGTTTTTCTTCTAACAGTCAGGACCCTCAGCTGCACGTCTGTTGGCGTTTGCTGGAGGTCCACTCCAGCCCCTGTTTGCCTGGGTATCAGCAGCAGAGGCTGCAGAACAGCGAATATTGCTGAACAGCAAATGTTGCTGCTTGATCGTTCCTCTGGAAGCTTCATCTCAGAGGGGTACCCGGCTGTGTGAGCTGTCAGTGTGCCCCTACTGGGGGGTGCCTCCCAGTTAGGCTACTCGGGGATCAGGGACCCACTTGAGACAGTCTGAACATTCTCAGATCTCAAACTCCGTGCTGAGAGAACCACTACTCTCTTCAAAGCTGTCAGACAGGGACGTTTAACTCTGCAGAGATTTCTGCTGCCTTTTGTTTGTCTATGCCCTGCCCCCAGAGGTGGAGTCTACAGAGGCAGGCAGGCCTCCTTGAGCTGAGGTGGGCTCCACCCAGTTCGAGCTTCTGGGCTGCTTTGTTCACCTACTCAAGCCTCAGCAGCGGTGGGCACCCCTCCACCAGCCTCGCTGCCGCCTTGCAGTTCGATCTCAGAGTGTTGTGCTAGCAATGAGCGAGGCTCCGTGGGCGTTGGACCCTCCGAGCCAGGCGCAGGATATTATCTCCTGGTGTGCCGTTTGCTAAGACCCTTGGAAAAGTGCAGTATTAGGGTGGGAGTGACCCGATTTTCCAGGTGCCATCTGTCACCCCTTCCCTTGGCTAGTAAAGGGAATTCCCTGACCCCTTGCACTTCCTGGATGAGGCGATGCCTCGCCCTGCTTCAGCTCACACTAGGTGGACTGCACCCACTGTCCTGCCCCCACTGTCTGACGAGCCCCAGTGAGATTTCCTCAGTTGGAAATGCAGAAATCACCCGTCTTCTGCGTCGCTCACTCTGGGAGCTGTAGACTGGAGCTGTTCCTATTCAGCCATCTTGCTAATGTTCTATGAACAGATTTTTGTACGTATCTTAAATAATTGCATTAGGCTAGATTCTTAAAATGAAAATCCTATGTCAAAGGGTATGAGTATTTTAAATGTTCTTAATATATAGTACCCTACCATTTTCTGGATGGTAGGCAATTTTGGACACCTTTTCGTGTTAACATTGTCATTGTTTTCAATAGGTACACTATATCTCATTAAGTAGAGTGACCTAACTAGTTCTTTATTGTTGGATATTTAGGTTATTTTTTGATCTTTGCTCTTCTAAGGAATTTTCTGAATATCTGAATGTTCTTAGCTTTTCCATGTTTTAAATATTTTCTCTAGGTCCCCAAATTGGAAACATTTTCTCAAGGAGTATGAGTACTTGAAGGGCTCCATTCACATAATTTTAAATTGCTTTCTATAAATATTATATCAATTTATAATACCGCTAATGAGGCATGAGAGTTTTACATCTGTATTAGTCTGTTCTCATGCTGCTAATAAAGACCTACCTGAGACTGGGTAACTTATTAAAAAAAAAAAAAAAGGTTTAATGGACTCACAGCTCCATGTGGCTGGGGAGGCCTCACAATCATAGCACAAGACAAAGTAGGAGCAAAGTCATGTCTCACATGGCAGCAGACGATACAGAGAGCATGTGCAGGGGAATTCCCCTTTGTAAAACCAATTAGATTTCTTGAGACTTAATCATTATCACAAGCCCTGCTCCCATGATTCAGTTACCTCCCACTGGGTCCCTCCCACAACACTTGGGAATTATGAGAGCTACAATTTGAGATTTGGTGTTGGGCTCAGAGGGTGAGGGGAACACACACAGCCAAACCATATCAACATCATTGGCTAGAATTAGCTGTCATTTATATTTTTCACATTTACATATTTTAATAATGGCATAGTGAATTCTACAAGAGAAATTTGAGGAGAGAGCTTGACTAGTAGTCTTTTGTGCGTGTGAGTTTCTTATGCTTTTTTGTTCTCTTTTAAGAATTAGTGATTTTGTTATAAACTTACAAGAACTTTTTTTGAATGAAGCTATTAACTTGGTTAAATTTGTTTCTAATAAATTTATTGTCACTGTTTTGCCATTTTATTTTAGTTCTGTGTTGCTGGATACTTTTTATATAAAATTGAATATTTTTATGTAGTCAAATCTGTTGGGTTTTTTTCTTTATGATTTCTTCTGTTACTTCTAAGCCTAAAAATTCAGCCCTTCTCCCATGTGAATTCTTATTCTGTTAGTTTGAACCAAATGAACTTGCCACTTTTATAGTTAACAAATGATTAAGTATCAGTATTTCATATAGTTTAATCTTGAAGTTTTTTTGAAGTGTATTCATTTTCCTTATTGGAATATTTTTTTCCTCATGGCCTAACAAATAAAAAACAAAATATATGCAAAAAACCTGAATAAGATTACATATTTTTTTTCATTTTGGTATAGTGGTCTTTTTTTTTTTTTAAGTATAAGTGGGTGTTAATCATGTGGTAAAGAGTTGGATTATCATTCCTACACTACCATACTAATATATTATTTAGTTGCTCTTTCATAATATATATCTTTTAAAGTATACAAAGCAGTACTTTTGATTATATATTGTTATTAATGTAGCAAATTTCATAAATAAAAGTAGAACTTAATTTATGTCATTTTTTAGGTCAGAAAAGAGGAGTCACAAAGAGACTAGCAAGAAAGAGAGAGGGATCTCTGATTGTTTTAGAATGAAAGCCCAAGGAATAATGTATTCATTATATATATTTATCTTACTTTGGCTCTACATTAGAATTTTAAAAGAAATATACCATCATAAATTAGCAATCAAGTTTCTGCCAATACTTTTTAATCATAACTAACAACACCCATAGTTTTGGACTTTCCTGAAGTAGAGATCATTAGTTATGATGAATTGTGAAGTGGTTTTGTGATTATACTAATGTTGACTAAAACATCCGTGTTTGATCATCTATATCATTTTCACTTATTACTTGAGCCAGTTATTGATTCTAGGTCTCCTGGGGCAAAAAACTGGTATGTTTATTCATTATAAGTTTCACCTCTTAAAATAAATCCGTAACCTCATGGTAGGAGCAGGAGTAGGTGTCAAAAGTTAGATTACAGGCAAAACTTAAATATTTCTTGCAAAACTTAAACATTTCTTAAATAGGGAGACTGTTTTTATGAAAACGTGTGATATAAACATACTTTGTACTTAATTATAAACTTCAAAATTTTTAATTTACTATTTTCCTTATCTTTTAAAGATTTTTTCCTTTTGTCATAATATCCATTTTTCCCTGATCCATCCAGTCAAATTTTACTTAGAAAACAGATAGGATTAAGGATAAAAAAGAAAAAGAAAAATTATTACCATTTTGCTATGTATTTTTCTATGATAGCATATTATTTTGAATTTTTTTTTCCAAATCTGGATCATTTTACATAGTTTTGTAGTTTTTAAAAAATGTAATGTTAGCATTTCTGCATGTTACTAAATGTCTTTACATTTGAAAAATTGACTGTTATGCTACTTCCATCATGGATTTGGACCATAATTTATTTAATCATTTTTCTCTTAGGGATGCTTTTCTGTTTTTTGTTTTTTTTTTTTTTTGAGACAGAGTCTCGCTCTTTCGCCCAGGCCGGACTGCAGTGGCGCTATCTTGGCTCACTGCAAGCTCCGCCTCCCGGGTTCACGCCATTCGCCTGCCTCAGCCTCCCAAGTAGCTGGGACTACAGGTGTCTGCCACCATGCCCAGCTAATTTTTTGTATTTTTAGTAGAGACAGGGTTTCACCATGGTAGCCAGGATGGTCTCGATTTCCTGACCTCATGATCTGCCCACCTTGGCCTCCCAAACGCTTTTTTGTTTTTAGAAACATTGTGATGAGCAGACTTGCATAGGTAAGGAAACCAAAGCCCTCAGTCAATTCTAGAATGCAGTTCTTCTGACATCCAATTAATCTTTTGTGTTTTGCCTTTTTTCCTACCATATAAAACTAGTGATTACTATGAAACATGCCCTCTATGCAAATATTCCATCTAGAAAAATCTCTCAGTACAGTATTTAAATAAAATTATTTTTTGTAACACATTTATAGTAGCATGAAATAAAGTATGTGTTTGATCTTTTTTAGTTGGTTAATCTGTATTAGTGTGTATTTTGAACACATTGGTTCAGACAGCTCGATATTTAATATATTTTTTAGGACAAAACATATTGTAAAAAGCATTCTAGTACTTTCAGCACTTTTCATTGAGTGAGGACAAAGCTTCAAAAAAGTAAATTTGAAAGCTCTATCAGAGGCAAAGTAAAGTAACTGCATTCAAAGATAGAAATTATAACTTGGAATAAAAACACAGAAGGTTTTGTCAAGGGAATTAAAAATCTATGTGAAGTCTCTAAAGCAAAGAGAGAAATAGGTAGACTGTTCCAGGTAATTGGTGCTGCAGGAGAACACCATTCCCTTTCCAGCAGTCATACAAAGGGAGACAAAATAAAGAAGTTGAAAGAAAAGTAGAAGTTGAAAGAAAAGTAGCACAGAGAATGGGTGTCTTACAAATAACCATTGCAACACTACAGAAGGATTTAAAAAGTGGGAAGTATTATTTTAAACTGAATCCTAAAAGGGTCAGGAAAGACATTTATATAATTGTTTAAAATAACGTGTTTTCTAGAACATCCTGAAATGTTAATGTTTATGGACTAAAAAATGTGCTGATACTTAAAATTATGGCAGCAAAAAAAGAAGGCTATAAAGATGCTAAATAAAAGAAGATACTAAAGCAGGGTTTAAAACTATATAAAGTTTATTTTTATTATGCCACCACATACCTTTTCATTTTAGAAAAAATTTAGGAACCTTTGAAATTATTTGAACTTTACCTTTTAAAGTATAAACAACTGTTATTGAGTCTAATTTTATTTTAACCTCTGTGTCATGTCTAAAAGTATTAGTAAAAATAACTAGTTTTGTGTGAAATTATTTTAAAATTTTATAGAGGTCTAATGTCATAAGTAACTGATACATATTAAAAGCTGTAATTTCTTGCTTTTATGGGAGAATCTCTTGGTTTAGCTATTTTAAAAAGGTCTCAATTTCTAACAGGAGAATTTTTTTTTTTTTTTTAAGATGGAGTCACTGTGTCGCCAGGCTGGAGTGCAGTGGTGCGATCTCAGCTCACTGCAACCTCCGACTCCCTGGTTCAAGGGATTCTCCTGCCTCAGCTTCCCAAGTAGCTGGGATTATAGGCACATGACACCACACCCAGCTAATTTGTGTGTGTGTGTGTGTGTGTGTGTGTGTGTGTGTGTATGTGTTGTGTTTTAGTAGAGACAGGGTTTCACCATGTTGTCCAGGATGGTCTCGATCTCCTGACCTCGTGATCTGCCCACCTCAGCCCCCACAAAGTGCTGGGATTACAATCATGAGCCACTGCACCCAGCCACTCAAAGGGGAATTTTAAACATTTCTGCTTAGTGGCATAATGTGTAGCCATTACAAATACATTGTGATTTGGTCTGTTGT
Organism: Homo sapiens; assembly: GCF_000001405.40. Lineage (NCBI taxonomy): Eukaryota > Metazoa > Chordata > Mammalia > Primates > Hominidae > Homo > Homo sapiens. The sequence continues at coordinate 158,334,901 of NC_000003.12, forward strand.
TTCTTCCATTTCCTGTTTGTTTCTAAACTTGCATTAAAATAGCCAAAGTTTTTTTCCTATCTCTTTGCCTACCTTGGCTCCACAGAGTGGAGAGAATTTTCTATTTCATCTACTTAACTTTCACATAATGCTGTTTCCTTTCCAAATCTAAGCCTTAACTTCTGTTAAAAGTTGGTTTCAGTATTGAGGCTCCAAAGCTAGGACTAGGAATAAAGGAAACTAAGAAATGAAGAGGGTACTCATTTTGCAAGAATAGAGAGGTGGCAGTCTGTAGCATTTTTAATAAAGATTTTGAATATTCTGTAGATTGTGAAGCAGACCATACTGTATCCAACCAACCAAGGTGGAGGTAGAGAAAGATGGTGGAATTTCAGCATTTTTATAACTAAGAATGACCGGACACAAAGGAAATTCCAAGTAGAGGGTTTGGCATGAGTGAAAGCAGAGGGAGGAAAATGCAGGGCCTAGTTGAGAAGTAGTGAAAGACCATGTATTGCTGAAAAGTTGGCTATGAGTATGAAAATGGTTAAAAAATGACAGTGAAAGAATAAGCTTGGGATATTATTGATAGCATTGAAAATTAAAGTGATAAGTTTATGCTTAATTCTGGAAGCAGCGGAGGGTCATTGAGGTATTTTTTAAGGTACAAACTAAATTGGAGCCTTGCTTTGTGAAGATAACTTTAGCAGCTGTATATGCAATGGAAAGGATAAGTAGAAAGGATATAGCTGCAAAAGTCTAGATTTGGAGTCAATAGTAGTCTAGATCATGGGTCAGCCTGTTTTTTATAAATGGCCAGATTTAGGATTTATGGGCCCTGTAGTCTCTATTGCAACTACTCAATTCTGCCACTTGGAGCCATAGGTAATTTGTAAATAATAAATACAGCTGTGTATTTGGTGTTTTGTTTTTTTTCCAAAGTAATTTGTTTAATTGATGAACAGTTAGAATCTATGAAAAATTGCCATATTGTTCTTTTGATACCTTTGGAAGGGTCTTGGGAGTTATTGGGCAATGATAGTAGAGATTCTGAAACTTTATTCTTGAGGCCTCTAGATTAAGTGCACAGTAGCATCCTCTCAGTCAGGCTGACTGCCAGAGATTTAGAAGCAGTAATTCCAGAGGAGGACTCATTTAATCCGCAACTGTAAGCTCTACTGCCCAAATGATATGCTCTGCACTGACACATCACTTATCTTTGGGCACATTTTGCCTACTCACTTGTCTATGCCTGCCTAGGCAATGAGGAAGATGCTGCGGTTGTCCTCTGGGTAAGGGCACTGCAAGTCAGCTGGGAACAGGTAACATCCTATGGTCCTACGCTTCAGAGGCCTCTCCATTCATTGGTCCGGCCCCTGGCTGCCTTTCTTTCTTGGCAGCATTGTTTTTGGTTTTGCAGTGGTGGAGGATAAAGATGAGGGTGAGGTGGGGATGCCAATCATAATGTTCTGGGGTTCCTCTGGGAGGCTTTGGTTGTGAGGTAGGGCAATTGAATAGCTGGGCTTTGTGGGATTGCCAGGAAATTCTTTGACCCCCAGCTCCAGAGGGTCACTGGGGTGAGACCACACATTGGGGTCATTGCTGATGACACTGAAGCATCTGTAGGTCCCTGCCCATGTGGAGGTGACACGGTTCATGAGGAAGACAGCCTTGTGTTCATTACCCTGGGATGTTCATTGCCTTTGGTTCTTGGTGGTGTGAAATCCATCTTATTTGGTGAGAATAAATAAACCAAGTTCAAATTTTGAGAAACATTGCAACTTCATATTCTCTCGTGATGCCACCTCAGTGCCTGGCATGATTGAGAGAAAGGGTTTGTCATAAGCTGTGGTCATTACCAGCTTCAGAGGTTCACTCAGACTAGTGGTCTCTGCTTCAGTAGTAACAGTGGTACAGCCCTGACCTGTTTGGCAGCATCTCTGTGATATTCCTTATGTTCGTCTTCCCACACTCATTTATTTCTGTTGGAGGGCTCAGGACTTTCCACGTTACATATCCTATGTGTTTCAGTTTCTGATGGCCCTTGACCAGGATGCTTACAGACTTGTTAGATGAAATCAGGGAGCCCGGCATAGCCGTGATAAGAGGTGGGAGATTTCCCGTCTGTGCCTGAGTTAACTGGCATGGATAGGACCCAAGACAAAGTAGGGTAAGAAGAACCACATTTATGATCCTGTGTCTAAACAGTCTCCCTGGCCTCACCAATGCTGCTCTTATGAAGAACAGGTCCTCTGCCATGTGAGAAAGACCTGCAGGAAGTTGTAGGAGTGTCCCGCTTCCCACGCGGAGAGCGAAGACATTCCACATCCTCATTCCACATCCTCATTCCACCTCCTTCTGAGTGGGGCTGCAGAAGTCCTTGCTATCATGAAGACATTCATCATCTGCACTTCCAACTAAAATCAGTCTCATGTGATCCGTTTTTTCTGTCCCCAGTCCCACATCAGCATTTTAATCTTTGTACAAAGCATGGGGTAAGAGAGTCTCAGACTAAGTAACAGGACAGGGAGAACTGCCAATCCGAGAGCTGCTCTGAAATGCTGTGTGGGCGCATGGCCCTTGCTTCTTAATGCTGAGCTTCCATCTCTTTACATACATAATAGGGAAATGATGATGAGTTCCTGCAAATCTATGATCATAGTGGGTACAAACTGTCCAGAATAGGCATTGCTGGAGAGGTGGTTAGAATAATTATTAGTTTCCCTTTCTTCCCTTTCTATATTCCTAACATATTGTTAGCACTGAATCTGTCCATGGGGGTCAATTTTGACCTAAACAAGATACCTCCATTATGTTAAGTCCTTCCTGTGTTCTAAAACCTATCTCATCCTGGCTGCACCTTACTTAGTAGCTATGCTATCGATTCTCCTAGCTAAACAGGTAGCCTCGATGTAAAATCTTACCTTCCTTATACCCTCATGAACCACTTCTCTCCAAAAATCTGAAATAATTTAATAGCTAACGCTTTACTGAGTTTTCATTTTATGATGATTACATGGAGAAGGATTACATTTAATCTGTACAAAATCTGTGGTAGATTGAATTATTATTCTACATTTTTAAGTCAGCTCTTAATTCATTAGATGCTGAGGCTTTTGTATGGCTATGTATTTGTATAGTATACAAGCAGCATCACTGAGGAGGTAATAGTATTGGATCATGAATATGGGCTCTCAAGCAAGTCCTCAAGGATGTTGTAACCTTTGCTTCAGTTTCACCTTTATAGTTTAACATCCTCATCTATGAAATATGTATATAAAATGGCATCTTTCTCTGGTTTTTAATAAAGACAGCTATTATATAACTTTGCTTTTTTTTTTTGCAAACCCCTTAAACTGTTTAGAGAAAATGTTTGATAAAACTCTTCAGATGAATTTGCTATCAAGAATGGAAAACATGTTCTTGGGTTTTTTTCTTTTCTTCTTTTGGTTTTTATTTAAACCAACTTGGTACTAAGTTCTAGAGGCAAGATAAATCTACTTTTGAGCTATTTGTAATATCTCTAGCTTAGACCTTGATCCTAAGAGATAGAATTATAGTAACTGTTAAAATGAAATGTAGCTAGAAATATGATAAGCTGTTGATATGTGTCTCTGTCATAGTGAGATTACATTTAAAGGAAACTGCACAGTACCTACACTGCAAATATGTTTAGTAGTTTTTTAAAGTTGTGCATCTGAGAAAGCATGATTAAAATTAGCTTTTTAGATGGTGCTCACAACCTTTAAGGCCATTAATGGTAGCATCCAAAGACTAAAGGAAATTTAGTTTTAACTCTGCATAGTCTTTTCTGGCAATTAAAAATGATTAGATTTATCTTTTTTCCCTATGAAAGTTAATGAGCAAATGGATCTCAAGCTGTTGTAAGCAGTGTAGTATTGTTAAGGCTTAGATGTTGTGAGCTGAATTAAAATTCAAGCTCTGCCACCTTGTCAGCTTTGCCATTTAAGGTAACTTATTCTTCTCTAAAAGCATTAAGAATGCCTGCCTTGTTAGGAATGTTGTGAGAATTTTGTTAAATGAGGTATGTAAAATGTTTAGCATGGGATCTCGAACATTATAAGCATATGATAAATAATAGATATTATATTTTTTCAAAAATGATACTAGGGCCGGGCGCGGTGGCTCACGCCTGTAATCCCAGCACTTTGGGAGGCCGAGGAGGATGGATCATGAGGTCAGGAGATTGAGACCATCCTGGCTAACAAGGTGAAACCCCGTCTCTACTAAAAATACAAAAAATTAGCCGGGCGCGGTGGCGGGCGCCTGTAGTCCCAGCTATTCTGGAGGCTGAGGCAGGAGAATGGCGTGAACCCGGGAAGCGGAGCTTGCAGTGAGCAGAGATTGCGCCACTGCAGTCCGCAGTCCGGCCTGGGCGACAGAGCGAGACTCCGTCTCAAAAAAAAAAAAAAAAAAAAAAAAAATGATACTAATATTTTTCAGGCAGCTAATGTTCTATTTCAGGAATGTCTGTCATGTTGTCTGGGAAAGATATGGCACATAGAAGTTATCACTTATGTGCATTTGGAGCTCATAAGATCACTTTAAGAATTGCCATTGTATTACCAAATAGTTTGGTTAATTATTATTTATAATGTAGATTACGTGGTTTATTATTACCATGTGTTGTAATTTCTCTTACACCATTATCATTCCCTTAAACATCCAGCTCTTTGAGTTGGATGAATCCTTCCTAAGAGATAGATTTCAGTGAAATTGATAATTCAAAAGTAAATTATGTATGACACTAAGGAGGATTTTAAAGTTTACAAGGAAGTTTATCTCAAATATATACTTACTGATCACCAACTGTATTTCAGGCACTCTCCTAGGTGCTAATGATACAGAGATATAAGACAATGGTTGCTTTCAAAAAGCTGATAGCCTGGTAGAAAAGACAGACAACAGAACAATTAATTAAACTGAAAATGATAAGTGTGCTGATACATGTTTCCCCAGGGCATTACAGGAAGACAGAGCAGGAAATTGTAATCATCAGGAAGAGAGTTAGGGAGAAAATAAGCTAAAACTGATGAGATTTTCTGAAAGTGATGTTACTTGAGCTGAGCTTTGAAAGAACACTCATTAGTTAGGAACAGGAAGTTATGGAGACAAAGGCAACATATAGATTTATATGTAGAGTGATATGCTTTGGCTGTGTCCCCACTAAATCTCAACTTGAATTGTATCTCCCATAATTCCCATGTGTTGTGGGAGGGATCCAGGGGGAGGTAATTGAATCATGGGGGCTGGTCTTTCCTGTGCTATTCTCGTGATAGTGAATAAGTCTCACGAGATCTGATGACTTTATCAGGGGTTTCTGCTTTTGCTTCCTCCTCATTTTTCTCTTGCCGCTCCCTGGCCAGGCATGGTGGCTTACACCTGTAATCCCAGCACTTTGGGAGGCCGAGGTGGGTGAATCACAAGGTCAGGAGTTCAAGACCAGCCTGCCCAATATGGTGAAACCCTGGCTCTACTAAAAATACAAAAATTAGCTGGGCATGATGGCATGCACCTGTAGTCCTAGCTACTCAGGAGGCTGAGGCAGGAGAATCGCTTGAACCCGGGAGGCGGAGGTTGCAGTGAGCTGAGATCACACCACTGCACTCCAGCCTGGGCGACAGAGCAAGAGTCCGTCTCAAAAAAAGAAAAAGAAAAGAAAGACAAAAAAAAGAAGTGCCTTTTGCCTCCCACCATGATTTTGAGGCCTCCCCAGCCATGTGGAACTGTAAGACCAATTAAACCTCTTTCTGTTCCCAGTGTCGGGTATGTCTTTATTAGCAGTTTGAAAACGGACTAATACAGTAAATTGGTACCAATAGAATGGGGTGTTGCTGAAAAGATACCTGAAAATGTGGAAACGACTTTGGAACTGGGTAACAGGCAGAGGCTGGAACAGTACCTCCTGTGGAGGAAAATGTGGGAAAGTTTGGAACTCCCTAGAGACTTGTTGAATGGCTTTGCCCAAAATGCTGATAGCGATACGGACAATACAATCCAGGCTGAGGTGGTCACAGATGGAGATGAGGAACTTGTTGGGAACTGGAGCAAAGGTGACTCTTGTTATGTTTTAGCAGAGAGACTGGTGGCATTTTGCCCCCACCCTAGAGATTTGTGGATGATTTAGGGTATCTGGTGGAAGAAATTTCTAAGCAGCAAAGCATTCAAGAGGTGACTTGGGTATTGTTAAAGGCATTCAGTCTTAAAAGAGAAACAGAGCATAAAAGTTCAGAAAATTTGCAGCCTGACTACGCAATAGAAAAAAAAACATTCTCTGGGGAGAAATTCAAGCTGGCTGCAGAAATTTACATAAGTAGTAAGGAGCCTCATGTTAATCCCCAAGACCATGGGGAAAATGTCTCCAGGCCATGTCAGAGACCTTCATGGCAGCCCCTCCCATCACAGGCCCAGAGACCCAGCAGGAAAAAGTGGTTTCGTGGGCCAGGTCCAGGTCCCTATGCTGTGTGCAGCCTAGGGACTTCGTGCCCTGTGTCCCAGCCACTCCAGCCATGGCTGAAAAGAGCCAATGTACAGCTCGGGCTGTAGCTTCAGAGGGTGGAAGCCCCAAGCCCTGGAAGCTTCCAGGTGTTATTAAGCCTGCAGGTGCACAGAAGTCATGAATTGAGGGTTGGGAACCTGTGCCTAGATTTCAGGAGATGTTTGGAAACGCCTGGTTGCCCAGGCAAAAGTTTGCTGCAGGAGCAGGGCCCTAATGGAGAACCTCTGCCAGGACAGTGCAGAATGGAAATATGGGGTCAGAGCCCCCACACAGAGTCCCTAGTGGGGTGCTGCCTAGTAGATCTGTGAGAAGAGGGCCACCATCCTTCAGGCCCCAGAATCACAGATCTATTGACAGCTTGAACCGTGTGCCTGGAAAAGCCACAGACACTCAATGCTAGCCCATGAAAGCAGCCGGGAGGGAGGCTGTACCAGGCAAAGTCACGGGGTGGAGCTGCCCAAGACCATGGGAACCCACCTCTTGCATCAGCGTAATCTGAATTTGAGACCTGGAGTCAAAGGAGATAATTTTGGAACTTTAAAGTTTGACTGCCCCACTGGATTTCGGACTTGCATGGGCCCTGTAACCCCTTTCTTTTGGCCAGTTGTCTCCCATTTGGAATGGCTATATTTACCCAATACCTGTACCCACATTGTATCTGGGAAGTAACTAGCTTGCTTTCGATTTTACAGGCTTATAGGCGGAAGGAATTTGCTTTGTCTCAGATGATACTTTGGACTGTGGACTTTTGGGTTAATGCTGAAACGAGTTAAGCCTTTGGGGTACTGTTGGGAAGGCATGGTTGGCTTTGAAATGTGAGGACATGACATTTGGAAGGGCCAGGGCAGAATGATATGGTTTGGCTGTGTCCCCACCAAATCTCAACTTGAATTGTATCTTCCAGAATTCCCACATGTTGTTGGAGAGAGCCTGGCGGAGGTAATTGAATCATGGGGGCCAGTCTTTCCCGTGCTATTCTCGTGATAGTGAATAAGTCTCACGAGATCTGATGAGTTTATCAGGGGTTTCTGCTTTTGCTTCCTCCTCATTTTTCTCTTGCCACCACCATGTAAGAAGTGCCTTTCACTTCCTGCCATGATTCTGAGGCCTCCCCAGCCATGTGGAACCATAAATCCAATTAAACCTCTTTCTGTTCCCAGTTTCAGGTTTGTCCTTATCAGCTGCATGAAAACAGACTAATGCATAGAGATAATAAATTATTATTAACATGCATGGCTATATGACTTTCAGCAAGTTATTTTCCTTCACAAGATTCTTGTTAGTATTAAAAGAAATAATAGACTGCAGCTTCCAGTCACGATGGAATAACAAGAATCAGATTTACTCTCCTTGAAACAACTAAAAACGCGGACAAAATATTTGAAAAAACAGCTCTCGAGACAGTGAACATCAAATATGAAGTATGATGATTCCTGAGAGATGGGGAAAAAAATGAGGTGATTCCTATGATTGCCTCAACTTACTGCCTAGAGAAAGATTCTAGATCATGCTACAAAGAGGAGAAACCCAGGCAGAGCCTAGTGGTCTCCTTGAGTTGAGAAGATGGAGCTGTGAGACCAGGAAGGCCAAAGCATCTGGGATTCACAGAACAAGTTACCTGAGAGGAGTGAGCTGCAGGAGATCCTCACAGGGTGCCCCTTGAGTATTTAGCAGACTACTAATCAGTACATGCATAAGAGGAAACTGAAGCTTGGGAAATAGCCACCTAAAATGATTAGTGGGAACAATAACTGGTACTCACACACAGTTCCTGTTCTCAACAACCTTCATGGTATTTAAATAGAGTATAAAAACCATCTTCCCTTAATAGTGGGGGGAAATTACAGATGTAAAGCTGTTGTGGTCCTGCCTAACAAAGCAGGATGCGAAGGGATCAAACTACTTTCCAAGTACTTTAACTGTGTCCTAGAACAAAATTCCAAGTCTACTTATAGGAATACAAAAATATCTGGCACTGACACACAAAAAAAATGTCTGACATCCTATCAAAAATGACCAAAGGCAAGAAAATATAACATATATTAAAGAGAAAGCAAGAAAATACACCGTATGTTAAAGAGAAAAATCAGGTGAAACTGACCCAGAATTGACACAGTGATAGATTTAGTAGACAAGGACATTATTAATAGAGTTATTATAACTGTATTGCACCTGATCAGAGAGCTATACCAGAAAGAGTGAACATATTAAGTAGAGACATGGAAACTATTTTAAAAAACACACAAAATTCTAGACACGAAGGCTATACAGCTGAAATGAAAAATACACTGGATGAGATTAGGGGATATGATACATTGTAGAAAATGGATTAGTGAGCTCGAAGACATAGCAAAAGAACTATCCAAAATGAAACTAGAGAGAAAAAGAAGGCTTAGAAGAGCATTTGTGAGTTGTGGTACAACTTTAGGTAGCCAACCATACAATATACATGGAGTTGCCAAAGGAAAGGAAAGGAAGCAGCAGAAAAAGAGAATAATGAATAATGACTGAAAATTTTCCAAATTTGATAAAAACTATAAACCAACAGACCCAAGAAGCTCAGTGAACCCCAAACACACAAAAAAAGATGAATGAGGCTGGGTACGATGGCTTACGTCTGTAATCCCAGCCGTTTGGGAGGCTGAGATGGGTAGATCACTTGAGGTCAGGCCAACATGGTAAAACCCCGTCTCTACAAAATATAAAAAAATTAGCCGGGCATGGTGCCATGCGCCTGTAATCCTAGCTACTTGGAAGGCTGAGGCAGGAGAATTGCTTGAACCCAGGAGGCTGAGGTTGTGGTGAGCTGAGATAGTGCCATTGCACTTCAGCCTAGCCGACAGAGCAAGACTGCATCTCAAAAAAATAAAAATAAAAAGATGAATGAAATTACATCAAGTCACATCATAATCAAAATGCTTTTTAAAACCAGTTATGGAAAGGAAAGTCTTAAAAACAGAGAAAAATATATACTCATTATTATGCATAGAGGAATGCAAATAGGTATGAAAGCAGATTTTTCATTGGAAACAATGCAAACCACAGACAGTAAAGTAACATCATTAAAATACCAAAAGAAAAGTTTTATAAAATTTGAATTCTATACCTTGAGATAATTTCTTTCAAAAATGTAGGCCAAATGAATATTTTTAAAAAGACATACAAAAACTGAAATAACTCATCACCAAATAATCTGTACCACAAGAAATGTCACAGGGTGCCCTTTTAGCATTAGGGAAAATGACACCAGATGAAAACCTGGGTTGACATAAGAGAATAGAGAGTGAAGGAAATGCTAACCACATGGATAAATATGTCTCTTTATAAGATAACTTCTTAAAGCATCAACAACAACAATGTTTTGTGGAGTTTATTGCAATATATGACAACAATGACATTAATACTAAGGAAGCTTGGAGGGGAGAAATGAAAGGAGTATTGTAAGTTTTTGGTAGTATAGAAGAAATGGTATAATGAAGAGTTAAAGCCAATAAGCCAACAAGGAATATAAAATAGCATTATAAAATACCCAATCTAGGCCAGGCACGGTGGCTTACGCCTGTAATCCCAGCACTTTGGGAGGCCGAGGCTGGCGGATCGCCTGAGGTCGGGAGTTTGAGACCAGTCTGGCCAACATGGTGAAACCCCATCTCTACTAAAAAATAAAAAAAAAAAAAATGTAGCTGGGCATGGTGTCGGGCACCTGTAGTCCCAGCTACTCAGGAGGCTGAGGCAGAGAATCACTTGAACCCAGGAGGCAGAAGTTGCAGTGAGCCGAGATTGTGCCGCTGCACTCCAGTGTGGGCGACAGAGCAAGATTCTGTCTCAAAAAAAAAAAAAATCCAATCTAAGAGAAGGCAGAAAAGTAAATTGCAATGTGGTAGATTAATAATTACGGTAAGTGTATGTTGGTCTAAAAATTCCAATTATAAAGCACAGTTTTTCAGATTGTATAATAAAGCAAGATCCAACTACATGCTGCTTACTTAAAAAAGTACACTTTAAGTATATAAAGACATTAGCAGGTAAAAATGGTGGAAAAAGATATACCAGGCTAAAACTTAGTAATGTTAAGATGTCAGTTCTCCTCAAATTGATATGTAGAGTTGGTTCAATCCCATGCATCCTCCCAGCAGGCCTTTAAACAAAAGAAGAAAAAAGGACAACTTTATTCTAAAAATTGGGAATGCAAAGGAATTAGAAGAGCCAAAACTGCATTGAAAAAGAAGGGTAGAGGTGTTACTCTATCTGATTTCAAGAACTAATACCAAGCAATAATAATCAAGACAGTGGGGTGCTGGCATCACTATTGACAAATAGATCAATGGATCATAATTAGAGTCTAGAAAGAGACTCATCATATATATGTGTGTGTGTATATATATATATACACATATATATGTATTACACACATATATATGCATTATATATAATAATAAACAATAATATATATATTTATCATATATATATGGTAAATTGATTTTTGAGAAAAATGCAAAGTCAGTTAAGTGGAAAAAAGATAGTCTTTTCCACAGATGGTGCTGGAACAATTGGATAGCCATATATAGTACCCAAATAAAAAAGGTTTTCAGTGCACACCTTGTACTGTATTAAAAAATTAATTGAAAGTCTTCATAGAATTAAATGTAAAACAAAACTATAAAACTTCTAGGTATAAATACAGGACAAATCTTTGTGACTTCAGATTAGGTAAAGATTTCTTAAATACACCACCATAAAAGCCTGATTCCTAAAAGAGGAAATTGGCAGAGTATGGTGGCTCATGTCTGTAATCCCAGCACCTTGGGAGACCAAGGCAGGCAGATCCCTAGAGCCCAGGAGTTTGAAGCTGCAATGAGCTACAGTCCTGCCACTGCACTACAGCCTGGATGACAGAGCAAGAACCTGCCTCTTAAAAAGAAAAAGAAGGAGAAGAAGAAATTGATGGATGGGATTTCATCAAAAGTCCAGTTGGATTTTGCATATCAAATTTGCAAACTATATGAAATAAATTACTTTTGTTAAAAAACTCTGGAAACTCAATTTTGAGAAAACAATCTAATAAAAATTGGCAAAAGATTTGAACATCCATTTTACCAAGGAAGATATATGGATAATCAGTACATGAAAAGATGCTCAACACCGTTATTCATTAGGGAAATATAGACCACAATGAGACACCACCACATACCTACTAGAATTTTGAAATTAAGAAGACTCACTCTACCAAGTGATGGTTGGGATGTAGAGCAACTGTAACTCTCATACCCTACTGGTGGGATACTAAAAACACTTTGGAAATAGCTTGGTAGTTTCTTAAAAAGTTAAACATATATTTACCATATGACTTAGCCATTTCAATTATAGATATTTACCCAAGAGATATGAAAGCACATATTTATACAAAGATGTGTACCTGAATCTTAGCACCTTTTATAATAGCAAAAATTGGAAATACTTTGAACATTTATTGATAGTTGAATGCATAAAGAAATTAGGGTATATCCTTACAGTGGAATACTACCCAGCAATAAAACAGAATGAATTGTTGATAGACATAACAACATGGATAAGTTTCAAACTAATTGTGTGCTGAATTTAAAGACCAGATATGTTAAATATATACACTTTATTGTAGTTCAATTATACCTCAATAAAGCTATCTGAAAATGTTTTAGGAAAAATAGGAGTAACACATGTGCTTGGCACAATGTAGACATTTTAGTAAATAGTAAATAGTATTTCTTTTTTTACATTGTTATTTTGACTCTCTCTCTCTGATTATACTGTAAGATCCTTGAAGTCAGGAACTATATCTTTTCATCTTTTTATTCTCAACTTGTAACACAGTACCTTATATAGAAGACATAGTTTATAAAATTTTTTGAACAAATGAAAGTAATAAATTTCGGTTGATTGAATGTAGTGACAAGACTCTGTAAAGGGCCCAGTAGTACTCTAGCACCATTTCCCTATGAGATGTGAAGTTATTTCAACTATACATTCTCTTCAAACAGGAAGTTCCAATTACTCTCTTACAAGTAGGTTAAAGGTTATTTTATATTCTTTTTGTATAAAGAGAACATATGATAATATGGAATTGAGGGCAATATCAAAAAATCTGAATCTAATCTTAAATCTGATCTTAATTTTTTTTTGTTTTCTTGAGATGGAGTCTTACTCTGTCTGGAGGCAGGAGTGCAGTACACAATCATAGCCCACTGCAACCTCAAACTCCTGGGCTCAAATAATCCTCCCGCCTCTGCCTCCCAAATACTTGGGACTACAGGCTTGTATGTGTAGTGCAACTAATGGCTGACTAATTGTTTTGTTGTGTAGAGACAGGATCTTGCTTTATTGCCCAGGCTGGTCTTGAACTCATGGCTTCAAACAATCCTCCTGCCTCAGCCTCCCAAAATGCTGGGATTACAGGCATGAGTCACCACGCCCACCCCAAATGTTGTTTCTCTTTTTATTTTTTTTAAAAAAATTGAATTTTTGTGATTACGTAGTAGGTGTATATATTTATGAGATACATGAAATATTTTAATATAGGCATGCAGTGCTTAATAATCACATCAGAGTAAATGGGGTATCCATCCCCTCAAGCATTTATCCTCTGTGTTACAAACAATTTTAATTTTCTTTGTTACCCTATCTTAATTTCGATTTTTTGAAACATTGCACATCTAATTTTGTTTCCAAGTTTGAGTTCTTTTTAGGTGAGTCACAGTCTTTTGTTTCAGACTTTCTACTTTTCTCTCTTTAACAACCTCAAAAGTGTTGTTGGCAGATGGAATGGCTTTAACTTCATCAACTTTCAGAATTTCCATAGTGGTGGCCAGGGGTTTAGGGAGTTGAATATGAATGGAAGTGAGAAAGGTAAACAAATAGTTTCAATAGTTTAGTATGTAAACTAGTTTATATAAGGATAGGCTTCTCTCTTATCATTAATATACACTCATGGGTGGCTCAAAGGATTATGCTGGTTTTGAATGTATGCTTTGGCAGTATTTTGAGAATCTAGATATGCAGTAATTTATAAGGAACTGAAGAGGTAAGAATAAATCCAGAGTCAGGAAAAACTCTAGACATTGAGAATGGTCATCTCCACAGGCCATTATGAGACTGACCTATCATTTGGTTAATCTTAGAAGTTTTTGTGTGTTTTTTTAAATTATTTTATTTTTTTTTATTTTAGAGTTTGGGGATACATGTGCTTTTTTGTTACATGTTTATTACAAGTGTAATGGTGGGATCGGGCTTCTAGTGTGTCATGATCCACATATTGGACATTGTACTCAGTAGGTAACTTTTCACCCCTCACTCCCCTCCCAACCTCCTCTCTTTTGGAATCTCTAGAGCCTGTTTTCTCCATCTTTATGTCCATGTATACCATTTGTGTAGCTTGGCTTTCACTTATAACTGAGAACATGTGATATTTGACTTTCTGCTTCTTAAGTGTTAGTTCACTTAAGATAATGGCCTACAGCTTCATCTAGGTTGCTGCAAAGGACATGATTTGGTTCTTTTTTTGTGGCTGCATAGTAGTCCATAGTGTACATATACCACGTTTTCTTTATCCAATCAACTATAAGTGGACACTTAGGTTTGTTTCATGACTTTGATATTGTAAATAACACTGCAATCAAGTGTCTTTTTTATAGAATGATCTCTTTTTTTTTGGGTAATGAGATTACAGGATTGAATGGTGGTTCTATTTTTATTTCTTTGAGATATCTCCTACTGTTTTCCACAGAGGTTGAACTAATTTAAATCCCCATCAACAGTGTGTGAGCATTCCCTTTTCTGTGCATCCATGTTAACTAACGTCTGTTGTTTTTTTAACTTTTTAATAATAGCTGTTCTGAGTGGTGTAAGATGGTATCTCAGTGTAGTTTTAAATTTGCATTTCTCTGATGATTAGCAATGTTGAGCATTTTTTTCATGTGTTTGTTGGCCACTTGTATTTCTTCTTTTGAGAAATTTCTGTTCATGTTCTTTGCCCAGTTTTTAATGGGACCGTTTGTGATTCTCTTCTGTAAACCCAAGGCTTACAAATGGAGTTAAGTAGTCCAGCCGCCTTTGCTCCCACCAAATAATTATTACTAGTTTTAGCAATTTTAAGCCCTATGTGATACAAATTTCTAACAGCATTACAGTTTTCTTTTATACAGTCAAAATTATGGTACAGTATCTGTACTGACTTTTTTATTATTCATAATAGTCAGTTTTAACTTTAATATGGCCTTTAAAGACTTACACTAAAAGTTTACATTATTCTTACTGCCCTTTTTTTTTTTTTTTTTTTTTTTTGAGACAGGGTCTCCCTTTGTCACCCAGGCTGGAGTGCAGTGGCACAATCTCGGCTCATTGCAATGTCTGCCTCGCGGGTTCAGGCGATTCTCCTGCCTCAACCTCCTGAGTAACTGGGATTACAGGCGTGTGCCACCAGGCCCAGCTAATTTTTGTATTTTTAGTAAAGACAGAGTTTCACCATATTTGTCAGGCTGGTTTGGAACTCCCGACCTTGGGTGATCTGCCTGCCTTGGCCTCCCAAAGTGCTAGGATTACAGGCTTGAGCCACGTGCCCAGGCTGTCACTGATCTATTAATTCTATTAATGTCAACACTACCATTTATGTTTTAAGGGAGTCATATTTATATTCTCTATAATTCTATTTTTGTGATATTCTTTAATTATGTACTGTTGATATTGGGTGTTGGTTTTTGTTTGTCTGTTTTTTTACTTAAACAACAGAAATATATATATATATATAATTTTTTTTTTTTTTTTGAGAAAAGGTCTGGCTCTATCACCCAGGCTGGAGTACAGTCGTGTGATCTCAGCTCACTGCAGTCTTCACCTCCCAGGCTCAAGCTATCTTCCCACCTCAGTCTCTCAAGTAGCTGGGACCACAGGTGGATGACACCATGTCTAATTTTTGTGTTTTTGGTAGAGATGGAGTTTTGCCATGTTGCCCAGGCTGGTCTCGAACTTGTGAGCTCAAGCGATCTGCCCGCCTTGGCCTCCCAAAGTGCTAGATTACGGGCATGAGCCACCATGCCCAGCGTAGAACTGTATTTTCTCTTTGTCCTGGAGACTAGAGGTTCAAGATCAAAGTGTTAGTAGGGTTGGTTCCTTCTAAGGCCTCTCTTCTTGGCCTGCAGATGGCTGTCTTCTTTCTGTGTCTTCCCATGGTCTTCTATCTGTAGAAATAGTGTTTTTTAATGGAATACATTTTTTTCTCATTAAGTTTCTATCATATAAAGTACTTGTGACATTATGCTCTTAAACATGTCCCCATTTAAAATTTTTTTTGAGAAATTGCTATATTCTTTGCGTCTGTATTTGGTAATACTGTTTATTCATTAAGGTATAATTTCTGGTTCTGAATAAGATTAATACCATTTACGAATTTTAGATGAAATTTATACTGATCCTGGAGTCTAATACATGCTAAAATAACTAAAGCATTAGAAATTTTAGCACGCAGGCCCCAAAGGTATTTTCATTCTAAGCCAGCTAGTGTGATGATAGGTAACTAAAAATGGGTTGGTATGAAATTTTTTTTTAATTCTATATTCTGTTCTTTCTTCCTCCTTAATCCTTTCTTTAAAAAAAATAACTATAGATAGCAGTCACAATGAAGGCAACATAAATCAGACTGCCTTCTCTTCATTTTCATTTTCATCTCCAACTGAGCTACTTTTTCTGAGCCAGGCAGCTACTGATGCAGATAGACAGGTGGGACGCAGAGGGTTTCAGCCAAGAGGCCTGTGGTGATGCTTTCCTTCTTCTGAGACAAACTCAAGCCTAGAAACAATGGAAGGGAGCCCTTACGAAAGATTTGAGGAGCAGGTCACTGAGAGGAAAAAGACGACAGCCCAAGAATCCTATATTCATTCAACTTATTCACCAGTCACGCTAAGAAAAGGCTATTTGCAGATGGGCAAAAAGTGAGTGAACATTTGCATCTGTACAACCTATTGAAGAAAAAGGCTTGAGCAATAAATATAAGCAAAGTAAAACTATAAAATACAGATTACTTTTAAAAGTTTGATCAATGTAACAGTATATCCCCATAGTTGGAGTTCGTCCCTGTATTTCATAAATAAAATTTAGCAAGTTATATCTGCATAGGCAAATATTTTTAGAATCAAATTTCATTTACTGGGTCAAGTGTATTATTTTGGACAATTTTTTTAAACGGAATCAAAACTCTATATGCATTTATATCTATGTGAATTAATTGATTTTATTTCCTGAGTATCCTAGTGATTTAGTTAGAATGATCCTGAGATTTGGAGTCAGAGTCTTAGTTTTAGTTCATCATTTACAAGTAGAGGCAAGTTACTAAACTGCTGTTATTTCCTGGTTTTCTTTGTCTTTGAAATATGAATCCTGTATTATAAATTGTTGGAGTTATTAGTGAAAAATAAATATATCTTAACAGGTATATTTATATAAATATTATGATATATAACTATTATATAATATATAATTATATAAATATTATATATATATAAATATATATAATAGATAATTATAATATATAAATATTATAATTAGCCATCAAGACTTTCCTAGCTGGGCATAGTGGCTCACATCTGTAGTCCTAGCTCTTTGGGAGGCCTAGGTGGGAGGATTGCTTGAGGCCAGGAGTTTGAGACCAACCTGGGCAACATGGTGAGACACCAACTCTATGAAACAACAGAAAAAAGGAGCTGGGTGTGGTGGTGCACACCTGTAGTCCTAGCTACTCAGGGAGCTGAGGCAGGAAGATTACTTAAGCCCAGGAGTTCAACACTGCAGTGAGCCATGATCACACTGCTGCACGTTAGCCTAGGCAACAGAGTGAGACCCTATCTCTTACAAAAAAGAAAAAAGAATCTTCCCTTAGGAATGGTAGTGACTATATCTTCAAGATAATGGTTATAGATGTGGAGAGGAAGAGATCTTCTATAGAGGGAGACTTCATGGAGTAGAAAACTGACAATATTGCTATTAATATTTTATTGAATGTTGGGTATACATTATTATGTATTTATTTTCTATGTCTTAAATATTTCTTAATTGTTAAAAAAATCTTTCCTTATGAAATACAAAAAAAAATTAGTCATGAAATATCTTAACCAGTAAAATGTCTAGGATTTTTCTATTAAAGGACACTACTTACAAGGATGCTCTGACATGTATGCTTCCTAATTCTTCGCTTGCTTAGGATCTGCTTGAATCTGGCCCGTAAAAGTACTGT
Organism: Homo sapiens; assembly: GCF_000001405.40. Lineage (NCBI taxonomy): Eukaryota > Metazoa > Chordata > Mammalia > Primates > Hominidae > Homo > Homo sapiens. The sequence continues at coordinate 158,352,657 of NC_000003.12, forward strand.
ATTTATCCACATTCTGTACTGGTTTTCATGGTGACTTAAATGCTTGTGAAAAAGTAACAAATTTCGTAACCCTGGGCTTGCGTTTCTGCATGACCACAATCAGTTGGTGCTGGGTGTCAGCTGCTTCCTTTAGTTGGGGCATGTGCTTCACAGTTCTCCACACTTCCCTGTGCTTTCTGATACTAATGTCAAATGTCATTTGCCATTTATCATCATAAATGTTTGCATTAATGGCTTGATACCTGTAGACAGTTTATGACTTTTATATTCAGTAGATATCACAGTTTTCTATTGATATTTTGCTTTGATATTTTAATTTGATGTCACATATTTCCAATACTTTATAAAGCGTGCTTACATACATTTTCCCTTAAACATATGACATAAAGTAGTCTTTATTGGTTGTCATCTCCTCCTTCTCTAATAACCAATCAGTCCTTTTGTTTTACCAATTAAATATTTCTCAAATCTGTGTTGTCCTGTTTGACCTTTCTGCTATTGTTTCAGCTCAGGCCCTCCTCTCACCTGGAATTCATTAATTGCCACCTAACTGAGCTCCTTGCCTCTAGACACATTCCTTTCAATTCATCCTCAAAAATATTGCTAGAGTGATGTATCAAAGTGCAGATCTGATCACATCTCCCCTTTGTTTAAAATTTTTCTAAGTCTCTTCATCTTCCATGGCAGGGGTTGGCACACTTTAAGGTCCAGATAAATATTTTAGGCTTTGCTGATCCTAAGATTCCTGCTACAAATAATGAACTCTTATTGTTGAGTTGATCACAAAAGCCAGTAGGCACTATGTAAACAAATGGCATAGCCTATATCCCAGTAAAACTTATTTATGAAACCAGGCCACTGGTCCAGGTCTATAGTCTCTTAATCCCTGTTCTGTGATATAATACGTTCTCCCAGTCTCCTCACTTGTCTCATCTACCACTCTTCCATCTTGTTTCCTATAGGTTTTCCAGAAGGACCATTCAAATTCTTAAACTTTTCTGAGCACAACATCTTCTTTCTGTATCCAGTTATTTAATTCTTTTATTCAAGCTGGGTTTCTTTTTACAAATAGCAAAATATTCTAATATATCACATAAATTATTAGTTTTGAAGTGATTATTTTCATATATAAAACTGGGGTTATTTTGTTTATTGCTGACAACTTTATAAATATATTAATTGAAGTCTCAAGTATGGACAACAGTTTTTTTAACAGGTCTTTAGTAAAAAGTCATAGTCTTGACATAATTCATGATATAATTTGTTGTTGTTGTTTAATATGTTATCCAAAAATCTCAGAGTGTGGTCACTGGTAGGAAATTAGTTTAGTTTCTTTTTCTTTTTTTTTTTTTTTTTTTTTGAGACGGAGTCTTGCTCTATTGCCAGGCTGGATACAGTGGCACGATCTTGGCTCACTGCAACCTCCCAGGTTCAAGCAATTCTCCTGCCTCAGCCTCCCAAGTAGCTGGGACTATAGGTGCATGCCACCATGCCCAGCTACTTTTTGTATTTTTAGTAGAGATGGGGTTTCACCATGTTGGCCAGGATGGTCTCGATCTCTTGACCTTGTGATCCACCCGCCTCGGCCTCCCAAAGTGCTGGGATTACGGGCGTCAGCCACTGCGTCCGGCTGGAAATTAGTTTAGTTTCATTGTTATCAACTATATTGAATCAAGGTTCACTGAAAAAGCAATTTTAGGACAGTTCATAGGAGCCGGAAGCATATAAGCCAAATTGTGTCCTATCTTCATCACAATTGTTCCTTTAAATTCCAGTTAGGAAAGCAGAAAAGTGGTTTTAGAGTCTGACTTACCTCAAATATTGAACTTAAAGGTTGCTATTTAAATTCTCATAGATTGCTTGCCTGTTTCTATGTGCAAAGAAATAACACAACTTAAGAATATGTTGTTAAATGTGTGTGCCTTGCCTTGTTATTAAATTTCAGTTAATTATGTTATTGCTGATTGATACAATGTTGGATAGTAAGCAAAACTTTTTCTAGGAAAAAAAAATGAAAGAAGCTTATCATTCTTGCATCATATATGCAAGTGCAAGATGTGATGGATTTTAATATAAATTATGTTAAAGCTCTTTAAATTTCCTAATATTTGCAAACAAATGCATTAATTTAAAACTCCATCAATTAAAACTGACCTGTAAAAGTCTTGTATGGTTGAATTTTTTTTTTTTTCTTTTTTAGCCACCAGCTGAACAGGCCAAAGCCAGACTACAGCTGGTTCTTGAAGCTGCTGGTAAGTGTTGATAATTAACTTTTATTAAATGAAGAAGTGACGAGTAAACCCTAGGCTGGTAGCATGCTTAGAAATGAGTAAAAAAAAAAACACTATTTTTATATATCCTCACAAATTTATCAGATCTAGATTATATGTATGGCCATATATTATCTGAAATATTTATTGCCGCAGTATAATGCTAAGTGTATTGCTAACAGGTCATTCTTTACCTTTTCATTTATAAAATTGGCTTCAGTTTTAGTTTTTTATTTTGATGAAGCCCAATTGATTAATTTGTCTTTTATGTACTATGGTTTTGGTGATGTGTTTAAGAATTCTTTGACTAATCCCAGATTATGATTTTTTTCTTACATTTTCTTTCTTTTGAAAGAAAAATTAAAATGGAGGAGTTAGTCTTAAATGTAACATGTAAAACCATAAAACTTTATATTTTATGGCTTTTATTTATATAAAATATAACTTTATATTTTATGGTTTTACACTTTACATTTAAGACTAACTCCTCCATTTTAATTTTTTAAATAAGGTGTAATGTTTAGGTTGAGATTTTCATTGTTCTAAAGAAAATGAGATCAGTGTCATTTAGTAATTTCCCTAATTACATTGGACTAACTCACTGGACTGTATGTTCTGGATACCATGTACTCTTCAAGTGCTGTATGTTTTATTTCTCAAGGTACTATAATGCTGTGACTTAGATTTTAGATACCATGTTCACTTGCATATAGACATTAAATACTTTACTTTTTTAAAAATATATAAGATCTATATTTTCTGAGTGCTGATATTTTACTTTGAATCTTAATGTGCTCTTCAAAAATGTATATAACTTATTCAAACAATAAGTTTTAATGAGTAGTACAATAGTCCTCTCTTATACATGGTGGATGTCTTCCAAGCGTCCAGTTGGTGTCTCAAACCATGGGTAGTACAAAACCCTGTATCTATATCTATATTTATCTATCTATATATCTAATTTATATCTGTATCTAGATACACACACACATATACACACGCTATATTTTTTCCTATACATACATACCTATGATAAAGTTTAATTTATAGATTAGGTAAGAGATTAATAATGATAATAAAATGGAACAATTATAATAATATACTTTAATAAATATAAATGTGGTTTCTTTCTCTCACTCTCAAAATATCTTGTACTGTAATCACCTATTTTTGGACCACAGTTGACCGCAGGTAACTGAAACCACAGAAAATGAAACTGCAGCTGCAGATGATGGGGGACTACTGTATATATTTCTTAAAATTTTTTACTATAAAGAGCTCATAATTTCAAGCTGGAAAAATGAGAATTCTATTTTAACATCAAAAGTAATTTCAGACCACCAAATGATAATAGTTATATTTTTAGGATTCATTGATCAAGAAAATACATATGTGCATATTGATTAAAGGATCTCTTGCATTAGTTCTTTGTATTCTCATTTAAAGTGTCCACAGTCTAAAGATTGGGAACTCCAGTATGATCGGTATACTAGCTTCCTGAATTACTAATAGAAGTAACTTACCATGTAGGTAAAAAGATTGGCAATGTTTTAGTTTTGATGAAGTGTCTCTATACTCCTCCTTATTACTCTAAAAATAATTCATAGTTTATGTTTTTATCTTATTTATCTTTATGTAGAAAACATTACTTACTAAAATTTTGTTAATTTTTTTAATATTTTCACTCAAATAAAATATACTGTAGGATAAATCTAATTAATTTGATTCTATATCATTTACATAATATGCATGGCATTTTGCTTTGAAAAAATATTTGCAGCTCCTAATTGAGTATTCCAGCTCATAATTGAGTAAACCCTTGCTTTGAAGGAAAATATTTATGTTGCTTAGCACAGAAAACATTTGTTTCCACAAATGCAATTTTAAATAATTTTATTTCATAGTTTTATTCAGTTTTTTAAAAATATTTAGTATGATTTTGAAGCACATTAGAAAATAGATGTGATACTCCAGACCTCACAGTGTATAACTTGCTTATATCCATCTGAGTTGTCATCCCTAACATTTAACTTCAATGTTCTAAATTGTATCTAAGGATAAAGAGCTAGATTCTGTGAATTTGAGAAGCATCCAAAATTATGACAATTTTCAAGTTAAAAAATTTATTTTGGCCTAGGCCCGATAAGCAAAAGACAGACCTTAGCTAAATACTCAAGTTTTTAAGTCACTCTTTTTTATTGAATATTTATGTTGTTCAACTTTTCCCTCTTACCAATAACACTGTAATGAACACCCTCTTATACATTGTGTTAGTCATATTCTATTTTATTTTGGGGGGATTTGTTACTATAGAAATGAGTTTATGAGGTCAGAGGGTATTAACATTTCAGGTTGGTCCAAAAGTAATTGCAGTTTTGGCAAAACCTCAGTTACTTTTGCACCAATTTAATAGAATGGCTTTTTGTACATTTTTGCTGTATTGTTTTATAAAGCTTTGTGCTACTTTTCATTGCCACTGGTTAAGTAATCGTTTTACTAGAATTGCTTTTTGATACCAGTTCCGTGAATATGTTGCTGTATAATATGATATAACATATTACACCTTTTTGAAAAATATCCAGTATTGTTTTTAATGAGAACTTGTGGCATAGTAGAGGGCAAGTAGATGGATAGGTAGGGGAAGAGTACATAGCTAACTTACTGTCAAGATTCTAGTTGTCTTTTTGGTGATGAATTTTAAGGTGTTCATTATATTATTAAAAATAAGCAAATAAATAAGAAGAACTTGAGACCTGTCTGGTAAGTTTTGCAGTCCAGCCTAGTCTCAAGGTTGAGATAAATGGATAGGGAAGTCTAGTAGTACCCATTGTCACATTGGAGTTCACTTAGGTTCCTAGGAAAAACACCTTGATTTGGGGGCCTTAAAAGTGGCCATGGGCAAAGACTTCAGGCCTTATGCTAGATTCTTGACGCAGGATTAATTTTAGCCTTACAAGCAGCATAACTTGATAGATAAGGTTAATATGTAGAAATCCTACGATTAGACTTAGTTGTTTACTCTAGCTCTGAGTCCCAGAAGAAAGTTTTATATTTAACTATTGCATCGTAATTGATATTAGTAAATGTTAATAATGTTATTGGTTTGGAATTAAAATCTGTTTCGAATATTTAGCCACGATTTTTAGTGGTATGATTCTGAAAGGCATATGAAGGACTAAAATAAGATTTAAAAAAATGTACCTATAGGGTGTTATGATTATTATATCAAACATAAATTTGAGTCTGAGATTTTATTGTATTTGGGTTAGGAACATACTTTATATGTGCTAAACTATTACATATTTGTACTTTGGTTCAAAACTTTGAACATTTTCTTTGACTCTTTTATAGGCGATAATTCACCTGGACTTAATTATTCTGATTTTGTGTAATTTTTTTGTATTTATCCCTTTATTGTCTCTCCCACTGCCATCTCCTTAGTCTAGATGCCAAACATTTCACTCATGGCTTATTCCATTACCTCCTAATTGGCTTCCTGCTTCAATTCTATTACTTCTGTAGCGAGACACTAATGAATAGTGGAAAGATCCTAAGCCTGCCATCACCACTTGTTCTGTAACTTTGAGCAGTTTAATGTTTATTGTTTAGCCAGAACAGAGGGTTTTTTTAATCAAATATGACAGATGTGTGTTTTTTTCTAGTTCATTGAGGTGAAATTTACATAACATAAAATTAATCATAATTGCTTAAAATGAACAATTCAGTGGCATTCAGTACATTCACAGTTTTGTACAACCATCAATTCTATCTAGTTCTAAACATTGCAATCACTCCAGAGTGAAACCGCTTACCTACTAGCAGTTTCTCCCCAGTTTCCTTTCCCCCAAGCCCTTGACAACCACCATTCTCCCTCTGTCTCCGTTTGTCTATTCTGGATATTTCATATAAATGGAATCCTATAATCTGTGACCTTGTGTGTCTGGCTTCCTTCATTTAGTATGTGTGTGTATGTGTGTATATATATATATACACACAAACATACACACACACACACACACACACACAACTTATTAATCCATTGATAAAATTTGGGTTGTTTCTACCTTTATTCTATTGTGAGTACATTTGAATATGTGTGTATATGTACTTGTTTGAGTACCTGTTTGGAGGTTTTTTAGGTGTATACCTAGGAGGGTGATAGTGGGGTCATTTGGTAATTCTATGTTTAATTTTCTGAGAAACCACAAAACATTTTCCATAGCAGCTGAACCATTTTACTTTCGCACCAATAGCAGTGTATAAAACAGTTCTCTATTGCCTCAACTATACCATATCACACATTTAAGTTACCTATTTGAAAGTATTTGTATTTGGGGGCTTCTCTTTACCATAATTTCTTTATCTGTAAGAGCGAAAGATAATAACTGCCATGTTGGACTGTTATGAAAATAATAACACATGAAATACCTAGCCCAGAGCCTGAAAAGTGGTAGCCACCAGAAAATTTGTATTTCATCTTGATTTTTGTAGACACCACTGCTAGATGATTCTTTGGTGTTATCGGATCTTTGGGGTGTTGCTTTTCTGGCTGGAAAACTCTGTGCGGCTGCTGCAGCAGAGCAGGTGGCAGCATGGGCACCAGCTCTCTGAGAGGCTGCAGCTGGTCCGGGCACACTACAAGCAGCTTCCACAGCTGGCACCGGGAACACGGTGGCACCCGGAAGCTTGAAGATCCCAGGAACTGCAGGGTCCCAAGGAGGGAGCCACAGTCCTGGTTCTAGGAGCTTCCAGGTCTGAGCTCCCCCAAAGCACCACAGCTCTTCTCTCCTTCTCTTTGCCTGCAACATGGTGAGCAAGGAGCATGTCTCAGTCCTGTTTGTGTTATAGCTCTTTTAGCTTCCCTATTCATTGGATCCTGAGTTCTTGTCCTGCAACCAGGAAGAATAAGGTACACAGACAAGTGGAGGGTGAACAAGATGAAGAGGGGCTTATTGAGCAATAGAACAGCTCAGAGGGGACTGGCAGAGGGCAGCTCTTTCCACAGCCAGAGTATCCTAATGAGTGTTCAGCTCTTAACAGAGAGTAGCTCCTCTCTGCTAGGCAGGTGGTACCAACAAGTGTTCAGTTCTCAGCAGAGAGGGTAGCTCCTCTCTGCTATTGGTCATCCCATGGTCTGCAGCTCTCTGCAGAGAGAAGGCCCTGGAGTGGATGTCTTCCCTCTGCAGGCAGGTTGTCCCATCATGTCTGCAGCTCTCAGCAGAGAGGAAGCCCTAGAGTTGGTGGCTCCTCTCTGTAGGCAGGTCCTCCCCTTGTCTCTGCAGCTCTCAGCAGAGAAGGTAGCCTCTCTCTGCAGCTGGTCCTCCCATCTTCTCTTCATCCTCTGTTCTGCTTTGGCTGAGCCTGGGGCTTTTATGGGCCTTAGAGGGGGAGGAAATACACACTGATTGGTCCATGGGCAGGCCCAGAAAAGGCACCACAAGTCCCCACTCCGGTCCATAGGACTGGCAGCCCAGCTGCCAGCCTTCAGGCCCTCTCTGGATTGAAGGTAGGGCCTCACCTGTCCCCCTCTGCCCAGGAGACCTTCTGCCTCCTGCCGCCATCCATGACACACAGGCTGCTTGCAGTAAGGGGCACCTGCAGGCCAGTGCCCAGCCACCCTCAACCCTCCACCTTCAGCTTCAGCCGTAACTTGTGTTTGTTAGTGCCCAAAGTCTGGAGGGGGCTAAGGCAGCAAAGGGCTGGTGTGTCCATGCTGCCCCATGCATGCAGTGTGCACATACCTGGCGGGGCTGTGACAGCACCTAGGCTTGGTCCCAACCCTGCTCTGAGATTGGAGCAGGTGCCAGGAGTGGAGAGAGGCCAGGCAGCAGGAGCAGGCACCCTCAAGCCTGCAAGGGCAAGGCGGAGGTCTTCCTGAGCTAAGAGTGCAGAGAGACCTGGGTCCACAGCCCCAACTTGGGGGCTGCAGCCATGCTCAGGAGGGCAGGGCTGCTGCCTGCTCCTGGCCTCTGTCAGCTCCATGGAGCATGCAGCCCCAGCTGCGCCCCCTCACAGCCTGGGGTGGGGGTTCCAGGTTCTCACTGGGCCCAGGCTGGCAACCAGGGCAGGAGAGATGTCTCCGCAAGCTCCCCCTGTGGCCCTGGCTCTCAGGGGTGGCCCGGAGCTCCTCCTCACCCATGTGGCAGCTTTTCTTGATTAAAGTGGCAGTTGGGGGTGCCTAGGGCACCTCTCGGAGTGTGCCTGGCCATTGGGAATGTCAGGCCTGGCGGTCACCCAAATGTGGGGCAGACAGACCCTGGGGACATGGCCCCAGGCAGCCCTTGGCAGAGCATCCTCCCAAGGTGCAGGAACCCAGTGTCCTCAGCAGGACGGCTGTGTTGCTGGCCAGGTCCTCGAATTGGGCACCGCTGGCCCCCAAAGCATGGCCTCAGCTCCTGCACCCTCCTTCCCTGCAGTAGCAGTGGGCAAGAGCAGCGACATGGTGCCAGGTCCAGAGCCACAGAGGCTCTGGGCCTTGGGGCGGGTCTCAACCAGCCATAGGAGGGTGGAGGCAGCACAGCCGGCTGCCTTGGGGACACGGGACACAGGGGACCCACTACCGTTATTGCTGGTCCCGTAGCCACTTCTGCCACCACCACCCATGCCTCCCCCACTGTGGACAGCCCATTGCTGCCATCATTGGGTATCATATGTTAATGCCACTCCTTTGCTCAAAATTACTCAGCGGTTCTCAGTTGCTTACAAAATCAGTGTTATGTTTCTATGCTTAAGGTTCTAAAGTTCTATATGGTAGATCCACAGACTTTTCTAACTTTATCTTCTAGAATTCATTACTGTGCTTTTTCCATTGGTCTTCAAGTTTCCCGTATTCTTTTCTACCTGGGAAGCTTTGCACATTGTTTTTCTCTTCTATAAATGCCTTCTTTCTTCCTTTTCCCCCTCTCCAAACACTCCAAGGCTCTTCTAAAACAAGATTTCCACATCTTTTCCCTGACCATTCCAGTACCTAATGTTTCTCTCCTCATTTGAATTCTTTTAGTCCTGTCTTTGCACACCATTTATATTGATGTTGATTCATACACTGCTGATATTAATATTTAGTTGTTTCATGAATGTTATACTTATTTTTCCAATGAAATAAACTTCCAAAGGTCAGGAACTGTATATTTATCCAGACATGGTGGCTCACTCCTATAATCCCAGCACTGTAGGAGGCCAAGATGGGAGGATCATTTGAGCCCAGGAGTTCGAGACCAGCCTAGGCAACATGGTAAAACCCTGTCTCTACAAAAAAATACAAAAATTAGCCAGGCATGGTGGCACATGCTTCTGGTCCTAGCCTCTTGGGAGGCTGAGGTGGGACATTGCTTGTGCCCGAGTGAAGTCAAGGGTTCCGTGAGCTGTGATTGCGCCACTGCACTCCAGTGTGGGTGACAGAGTAAGACCCTGTCTCAAAAAAAATAGAAATTACATTTAAAACTTCTACATCTTTCCCAGCAGTTTTAACAATACCTATAGTAGTACTACATCAGAGAACATTTTAGCTGTTAATCTTTTGTAAGTAAGTCATTGTAGAGAAACAGAGGATCTAGCTGTCTGAAAAACATTTAGATGCTGATGTGCTCATTTTAACTGCTGTTTGATGGATTTTATAATAAATATACTAAGATGTTACCTAGCTTCAAAAGCAGAAGATATATGACATAACCTGACTTTTTACACTTAAACTTTAAGACAGCGCTTGACAGAAAAGACAGTAAAACATGATTATTTCACAGGGGATGGAGGGAAAACAGGAAGTTTAGGTAAGGACTCCTTTGTCTCCATCACTTTTGCTGTTGCCTTTGTTTGTCTTGATAGCCCCATTCCAAACATTATCTAGATTTTCTGCAAAAACGTATTATCATCTTATCCCAAATGTGTCCATGGGTCTAAAGAATTTAGAAGAGAGATTTTTCCAAAAGATATTTTTTATCAGTATGAGAAGACAATACCTGTAACACAATTTTCTTTGAAGCCTTCTCAATATTTTACTTTTAATAGAATTGACACATGCACCTTTAAAATTATATTTCTAATGTTATAAGAAAAGATAGAAATTTCTTTTTGTACATATGTGGTAAAACAACTTATAAAATCTCTGCATAACAGTATTTCATTTTCTGCATAGTATCTACAACCTTTGGATTGTACCTTATAGTTTTCAAAGCACTTTAATAAATCTTTATCTTTTGACTCATATCACTGCATGGAGAGTTAATTAGGTCCAGTTTACAAGTATTCTGAAAGCTTAAATGACTTGTAAAAAGTTACAGAGCTAATAAGTGATAGAATCAGGACTTAACTCCAGTGATTTCTGACTCTCCAGCTACTTTTTTTTTCTTTTTTTTTTTTTTGACATAGTCTTGCTCTGTCACCCAGGCTGGAGTACAGTGGCACAAGCTCGGCTCACCACGTCCTCTGTCTTCTAGGTTCAAGAGATTCTCCTGCCTTAGCCTCCCAAGTAGCTGGGATCACAGGTGCGCACCACCACACCCAGCTAATTTTTTGTATTTTTGGTGGAGACGGGGTTTTACCATGTTGGCCAGGCTGGTCTTGAACACCTGACCTCAAGTGATCTGACCGCCTCGGCCTCCCAAAGTGGTGGGATTACAGGCGTGAGCCACCATGCCCAGCCCTCGAGCTACTTCTAATTCATAAGTTAAATACCTGAGTTATGTTAGGCAGAAAGGCAATAGATAATATTACAAAATGCATAACCTTATTCTATAAGACTTCCTTCTACAATTATCTTAAAATAAAATAATTTCTATCCTCAAGTAAGCCTCTGATTCTGAAGTAAGTTTTCTTATTGATACCACAAAGGGATTAAAGCATCATTTAGGAACAATAAGTTATTTTCCTTGACTATGTAGAGTGTTTATAGTAGCTAAATTTATAACTTTGAAAAATCTAAAGTAATGTTTTATGATTTTTTTCTAACACCTAGCTATGGAAGTGAATTTTAGGGACCCTTCCTAGGAGAGAAACTGGTTAAGTGTTATCAAAACACAGATCAGTTATACATACTGTATCCAAGTAATAAGCTTTGCTGAGTAGTACGCCATAAGTGCCTCACCCCATCCCAATTTTTCTGCAGCCTGTTAAACTGAGATTTTATTCTCTTAGTTGCCTATTAAGTACCTGGAAGCCAAGTCCTGACCCTTTCTCTTCATAGCCATGTGATCCTTAGGACTCCCAACACTTCTCTAAAGTCCGTTGTAGTGTTAAATATGTGTAATTCAAAGAATTACAAATCAGATTGCTTTGATAATGTTGTACTGTTTCCGGGGAGCATAGAAAGCTGCTCTGCTTTACCCTGATCTAAAGCTGAAAGAGGTTTTGTCTGTAGGTTTCTGACCACTCACTATCTATGGCTCCGAGAAATAGTACTGATTTATTGTGAGAGAGCCTTTCATGTTAGGGCAAACCCCCCAAAAAGAGCAGGAGATTGAAACGTTTATTTTTATTTCATATAAATAGTTTACAGACTTCTTTTTTCCCCTATATAGGCTTATGCTTGATTGTGTTTTGGTAGTCCAGATTTATATTGTTTCACTAACAAACTGTGAGCTTGAGCAGATCACTTTTTATTTACTGTCCTGTAGTTTCCTCATCTGTAAAACAGAGATACTAATAGTACATAACTAATGGGTTGTTGTTATGGATTTCAATGAGTTAGTATTTATAAAACACTTAGAGCAGTACCTGATACATAGTAAGTATTCAGTTAATGTTAGCAGTAAGTATGAAAGACAATATTGTATGGTGGTGAAGTCCTCAAGTCAGGGGGCTTGGGTGCCATTCCTAGCTCTCATCTTTACTGATGAAACCATAGGAAAATTGTTAAAACCTGCTGAGCTTCAGTTTTTTATTTACAGAATGGGAAAAATAATAATAATAATAATAATAATAATAATAATATGTACCTTGTAGAGATTTATAAATAAATTAATTTAATAAAGTCTATAGAGAGATTGGGAATGGGAATTATAATAATGTGTACCTTATAGAGATTTATAAATAATTTAATAAAGTCTTTAGCAGCTAGCATATAACTGAGCATTCTATAAATGTTAGCTAGTAGGAGTAGTTTTTTATGTCATTACCAAAGTGGCTTTATGAGGTAATTAAAGAAGTTGAGCCACATGTCCTCCTCATACCAGTATGCTTATGCAGTTAAAAGACATTATCAGGAATTAAGAATAGTGCTTTTATTTATTTCATTTTTTTAAAATTATACTTTAAGTTCTGGGATACATGTGCCGAACATGCAGATTTGTTACATAGGTATACACGTGCCATGGTGGTTTGCTGTACCCATCAACCTGTCATCTACATTAGGTATTTCTCCTAATGCTATCCCTCCCCTAGTACCCACCCCCCGACAGGCCCCGGTGTGTCATGTTCCCCTCCCTGTGTCCATGAGTTCTCATTGTTCAACTCCCACTTATGAGTGAGAACATGCGGTGTTTGGTTTTCTGTTCCTGTGTTAGTTTGCTGAGAATGATGGTTTCCAGCTTCATCCATGTCCCTGCAAAGGACATGAACTCATCCTTTTTATGGCTACATAGTATTCCATGTTGTATATGTGCCACATTTTCTTTATCCAGTCTATCATTGATGGACATTTGGGTTGGTTCCAAGTTTTTGCTATTGTAAACAGTGCTGCAGTAAACATACATGTGCATGTGTCTTTATAGGAGAATGATTTTTAATCCTTTGTGTATATACCCAGTAATGGGATTGCTGGGTCAAATGGGATTTCTGGTTCTAGCTCCTTGAGGAATCACCACACTATCATCCACAATGGTTGGATTAATTTACACTCCCACCAACATTGTAAAAGCATTTCTATTTCTCCACATCCTCTCCAGCATCTGTAGTTTCCTTACTTTTTAATGATGGCCATTCTAACTGGCATGAGATGATATCTCATTGTGGTTTTGATTTGCATTTCTCTAATGACCATAGTGATGATGAGCTTTTTTTTGTATGTTTGTTGGCCACATAAATGTCTTCTTTTGAGAAGTGTCTGTTCATATCCTTTGCCTACTTTTTAATGGGGTTGTTTTTTTCTTGTAAATTTGTTTAAGTTCCTTATAGATTCTGGATATTAGCCCTTTGCCAGATGGGTAGATTGCAAAAATTTTCTCCCATTCTGTAGGTTGTCTGTTCACTCTGATGATAGTTTCTTTTGCTGTGCAGAAGCTCTTTAGTTTAATTAGATCTCATTTGTCTATTTTGGCCTTTGTTGCCATTGCTTTTGGTGTTTTAGTCATGAATTCTTTGCCCATGCCTATGTCCTGAATGGTATTGCCTAGGTTTTCTTCTAGGGTTTTTATGGTTGTAGGTCTTACGTTTAAGTCTTTAATCCATCTTGAGTTACTTTTTGCATAAGATGTAAGGAAGGGGTCCAGTTTCAGTTTTCTGCATATGGCTAGCCAGTTTTCCCAACACCATTTATTAAATAGGGAGTCCTTTCCCCATTTCTTGTTTTTGTCAGGTTTGTCAAATATCAGATGGTTGTAGATGTGTGGCATTATTTCTGAGGCCTCTGTTCTGTTCCATTGGTTTATATATCTGTTTTGGTACCAGTGCCATGCTGTTTTGGTTACCGTAGCCTTGTATTATAGTTTGAAGTCAGGTAGCATGATACCTCCAGCTTTGTTCTTTTTGCTTAGGATTGTCTTGGCTATATGGGCTCTTTTTTTTGTTTCCATATGAACTTTAAAGTAGTTTTTTCCAATTCTGTGAAGAAAGTCAATAGTAGCTTGATGGGGATAGCATTGAATCTATAAATTACTTTGGGCAGTATGGCCATGTTCATGATATTGATTCTTCCTATCCATGAGCATGGAATTTTTTTCCCATTGGTTTGTGTCCTCTCTTATTTCCTCGAGCAGTGGTTTGTAGTTCTTGAAGAGGTCCTTCATATCCCTTGTAAGTTGGATTCCTAGGTATTTTATTCTCTTTGTAGCATTTGTGAATGGGAGTTCACTCATGATTTGACTCTCTGTCTGTTACTCATGTATAGGAATGCTTGTTATTTTTGCATATTGATTTTATATCCTGAGACTTTGCTGAAGTTGTTTATCAGCTTAAGGAGATTTTGGGCTGAGATGATGGGGTTTTCTATATATACAATCATGTCATCTGCAAACAGCAACAATTTGACTTCCTCTCTTCCTATTTGAATACCCTTTCTTTCTTTCTCTTGCCCTGGCCAGACCTTCCAATACTTTGTTGAATAGGAGTGGTGAGAGAGGGCATCCTTGTCTCGTGCCGGTTTTCAAAGGGCATGCTTCCAGCTTTTGCCCATTCAGTATGATATTGGCTGTGGGTTTGTCATAAATAGCTCTTATTATTTTGAGATACATTCCATCAACACCTAGTTTATTGAGAGTTTTTTGCATGAAGGGGTGTTGAATTGTATCCAAGACCTTTTCTGCATCTATTCAAATAATCATGTGGTTTTTGTCGCTGGTTCTGTTTATGTGATGGATTACATTTATTGATTTGAGTATGTTGAACCAGCCTTGCATCCCAGGGATGAAGCTGACTTGATCATGGTGGATACGCTTTTTGATGTGTTGCTGGATTCAGTTTGCCAGTATTTTATTGAGGATTTTTGCATCAATGTTCATCAGGGAATATCCACTATGGCCTAAAATTTTCTTTTTTGTTGTGTCTCTGCCAGGTTTTGGTATCAGGATGATGCTGGCCTCATAAAATGAGTTGGGGAGGAGTCCCTCTTTTTCAAGAATAGTGCTTTTAAAACAAAACAAATGAATAAAGCCTTAAATAGTTTAGTTGACTTGGACATTAGTTAAAGCTTTTTTTTTCAATCAAGTATGGTTTATGGAAACTTAAAAATTTGATGTCAAATTGAATAGGTTTGATACAAATCAAATTCCTAATGTTAATTTAACTTCCAATTTCCAACAATGAATGTGGTTTTTAGCTTTTTGTTAATCCAAAAAGATAAAATTGGTGTGTCCTAAAGAGAATCTCTAAGTAAATTGCTTTACTTAAAAAGTGTAAGTTGTTTGTTTTAACATCAGTTACACGTTTATATTTGAGTGGCTATTATTTACCCTAATGACGTTTAGTAGGAAAAAAAAAGGTACCAGCTAGATTCTGACAATATCACAGCAACTTGCCTTGTTTGAGCAGATGTTAAGCAGACAGTAGTTGAATGTTAATTTTGAGAGGGTGATATGTTTAAGCCTAGCTGAAGTATGTTGCTTGTGGGCTTTCTAGACTCGAGTACAATGCTGGATCTCTGGGGAGAATTTTAAAGCTAAACCTCTTTCTTTTGGGTCCTCTATATGGACTCTCTCAAGTCAGTATAAAGCAGATCATCCCTAGGCTAAAGCCCTTCAGCTTTTGTTATTGGGCTCTGTAGACCTGTAATTAGGCCTCCTGGCAGGCCTTGCAGGCCAGTTAATGGTCATATGGAGTTTCTGTGAGGCAGACTGGCTTTGTATAAATCCTGGGTAGGAATACGTTTATGGGTCACTTCCTACCAGGACCATGCTTTGTCCTTATGCCCTGCGGGCTGACAGGGAGCAGGTTCCCTTGACCATGGACTGTTCAATGTGCAACTCAAAATCTACTCCACTAATCCCCAGTGTAAACAGAGGATTTAGAAGGGCTTCTGTCACTTACAGTTGCCAATTCACTTGGGTGTCTGTGAATTTGTTTTCCCTGACTTCATTATTGAAAGACTGACAAGTGTATAAGATTTGGATGCTTGCTTATATATTAGATATATGGGTCTTTTTCAGTGGTTTTAAAATCATTGTAACTTATCTATTGTAAAATTATGTAATGAGTTGTTTAGAATTAATTACCCTTTAATATCTTTAAATTTAAGCCATTAAAATATCTGTACTGATAGTCAACCTTTTCTTATAGGAGAAATTATAGGTCTGTTTTTTTGGATAAGAGTAAAATAACATTATGTAAATAAATTTACCGAAAAGTGATTAATTTGGATATCAGATAAGTGAAAGAAATAATTAATGTAATGAAATGAAAAATATAGCCTTTATGCATTTTATATTAAGTAAAAATTCTAGTTTAGTGTAACAGAGCTTTTGAAAGGAGTATCAGATCATTTTATAAAATGCTTAACAAAAATATGATTCATGAAGTATTTAAAATAATGAGTGCCATTTATTGAGCATCTACTATGTGGTAAGTAATTTATATACATTTTCACATATTTTAAATAATTGATCCATGTTTCCTAGCCAAGCAAAATATTTGGAGTTTAAGAAAATTATAATTGAGTTTTCATTTTCTCATTTTATTTAATCTTTTTTTATTATAATTTTCTCTTTGTTGCTAAGATTATATTAGGATTCAATTCTAAAATATGTGCACATTGCCAAGAAGGAACTGTCACCTGTCTTCCTATGAGCCATTTTTCCTTTTAGGGGAAAATGATGAATACTTTCCCAGGTCTGATCTAGTAAATCATTGCTCAGTATTTTGCATTTTGTGATGTAAAAATGGTTCATGACAGATGTGGCTGAAAAGACCACATACGTAGACTGTATGATTTTAGTCTGGTGGAACTAATAGGATCACTCATTACATTTTAGGCCCTGGGGTTTCTTTTTTCTTTCATAATAACATTTTTTTAAAAACTGTTTAAATAGACTGGACCTTCACATGTGTGAGTACAGCATCTTCTCCTAAATTTAGAAAGAGTGGATGGCAACAAATAATCTTTTCTCTTTCAGAAAATTTTTGTAATGTTTATTCAGTATTAACTGTTATTTTTAAATTGTCTTGTCATCCCAAAAAAGCCAAGACTTTGTTCTATATTTGTAAAGGATTTCTTTGAATTTTGTTTAGCAAAACTAGAATATATATTTTTAGAGATTCCAAGACCTGTGAATTCAATTGAGTTATACATTAATAAAAACAAGTTTTGCAAGTGTTCAAATAATTTCTGGCAACAAAAAGACATACAATAGAAAGTTCTGGTGTTCACTTACAACTAGGAGAATCATAGTGTAACTTGTCTTTTTTCCTTTTTTAAAATAATATACATGGTGAATTTGTTGAATGGAAGTAGTATTTGTGATATAATTTAGAATTTTTTAAAAGCTCCTGAATGGTGTGAAGACTTTTGTCCTATTTTGGTTTTACCAAAAGTTAATATTTATATTGAAAAATAACTAGATGATGTACATTATATCATTTGTATTGGTATTGTCTCTGGATAGTGGGATTTAGGGTTATGAAAAAATTGTTTTTGCTTATCTTTATTTTCTGATTTTTCTGTGGTTATGAAGAGAAACTGAAGAGGTCTAGCAAAGGTTTAATTTAAACATGATAAAATTCCCCAGTATTTAGTATAAAATTTAAAATTTTGACAAATGTATTCAGCTGTGTCACTTTGACCAAAGATTTTGGTAAAGAACCTTTACATTACTCCAGAAGGTTTCTTTGTTCTCATTTGAAGTCAATTCTCTCTCCCTATTCCTGGACCTTAGCAACCACTAATCTGCTTTATGTCACTAGAGTTTTGCTATTTTTAGAATGTGTTGTAAATGGAATCATATAGTATGTAGTGTTTTGTGTCTGTAGTCTTTCACTTGGTGTAATGCTTTTTGGATTTGTTCGTGTCGTTGTGAGCATTCATTTTTTTTTTACTGCTGAATAGTATTTCATTGTCTGGCTATACCAGTTTGTTTATTCATTCAGCAGTTGGTGGACACAAATAAATTGTTTCAGTTTATGGTTTTTATGAGTAAAGCTTATATGGATGTTTGTGTACAAGTCTGTTGGAATACATGTTTTCGTTTATTTTGAGTTATTGCTTAGGATTGGGATGCTAAGGAAGAAGAATGGAGTTGGAATTACTAAGGTTATATAGTAAGTGGAGCTATAACTTTATAAGTCACTGCCAAAATTTTTCCAAATTGGTTGTATCAGTTTGTATTTTCACAAGCATTGTATGAAAGTTTGCTTCATTTGTTCCATATCCTTGACATTACTTGGTGGTGTTGGCTTTTTTCTGTTTAATTTTTGCCATTTTATTGAGTGCGTTTTACTTCATTTAATTTAATGTGCCTTCCTGTGGTGACTAATGATGTTCAGCATCTTTTCATGCAGTCATTTACCATCTGTATACTTTCTGAAGTATCTGCTCATATCTTTTGCCTGTTTTTAAAAGAAATTATTTATATTGTTGAGTTATAGTTATTTATATATTCTAAATACAAATCAGTTATATACTTCATAAATATTTTCTCCCAGTCCTTGTCTTGCTTATTTTCTTAACAATGTTTTTTAAAAATTAATGATTTGTATACAGCAAAATGCACCTTTTTTAGTGACAGTTCTTTAATTTTCGACAAATGCAAATGGTTAAGTAACAGCTCTGAGAATCTAATTGTAGAATAATCCTATCATTCCCCCAAATTCCCCCATACCCCTTTTTTGTGAACCCACTACTCCTGACTCCTAGAAACCACTGATCTTTTTTTTTGTCCTTACACTTGAATTTTTCTGAAATGTCATATAAATGGACTCATAATATGTAGACTTTGAGTCTAGCGTTTTTGACTTAGCATCATGCATTTGAGATTTATCCACGTTGTTGCATGTATCAGTAGCTTATTTACTTTTTATTGCTGAGTAGTATTCCATTGTGTGAATTAGTTAATTGAAGGATGCTGTTGTTTCTAATTTGAGGCAATTATGAAATAAACCATTATAACTTTCTCAAGTTAGATATTGTGTGAACATGGGGTTTTGTTCTACTTGGGTAAATACCTAAGACTAGGATTGCTGGCATAATAACTTTGTTTAACATTATGAGAAACTGCAAACTGTTTTCCAAAGTGGCTGAACCATATTTTGCTCCCAACAGCAGTCTATAAGAAATCCAGTTGTTCCACATGCTTGACAATACTTTGTATGGTTAGTTTTAGTTTTCCTTTGGTCATTTCAGTGGGTGTGTAGATGTCTCTCATTGTGGTTTCAATCTGCATTTGCCTCATGGTGAATGATGTTAAGCACTCTTAATGTGATTATTTACCATAATAGGTCTTCTTTGCCCATTAAAAAAATTGTTCATTTTTCAGTTGCTGAGTTTTAAGAGTTTGTATATTCTGAGTAAAAGTTCATGATCAAATATGTTATTTGCAAGTATTTTTCACAGTTTGTGGCATGTTTTCATTCTCTTAATGGTGTCTTTTGAAGAGCAGCTCTTAATCATGATGAAGTCTAATTTCTCAGTTTTTCTTGTATGTATTGTGTTTTTAGTGACATATTTAAGAAATCTTTGCCCAACCAGAGAACTCAATGGCTTGCTTCTATGTTTTCTTCTAGAGTTTTTATAGTTTACTTTCTATGACCCATTTAAAATTAATGTTTATATATGATGAAGTATGGATTCTGGTTCTTTGCTTTGCACATGGATATCTTATTATTCCAGTGCCATTTGTTGAAAAGATGTTTTTCATCCACCAAATTGCCTTTGTACCTTTGCAAAGTATCAGTTCACTACATATAAGTAGCTCTATTCTGAATTCTCTATTCTGTTCCATTGATCTATCTGTCTATCCTTTTACTCAATACCAGCCTTGATCACTGTAGTGCTGTATGGAGTCTGGAAATTAGTTAGTGATTTCTCTAACTTTGTTTTTCTTTTTCAGAATGCTTTAGCTCTTCTAATTCTTTTCCATTTCGATATACATTTCAGAACCAGCTTATTGATTACTATTTTTAAAAATCCAGCAAATTAAATGAAAACTGACTCAGATTAAAATTTTTTTAATTTTAAATTCAACTGGAATTTTGATTAGAGTTGTATCAACTTCGTAGATCAATCTGGGGAGAATTGGCATCTTAACATATTAAGTCTTTGAATCCACGGACATGGTATAGCTTTCCATTTATTCTGTTTTTTTATTTCTTTTATCAGAGATTTGTCGTTTCCAGCACATACATCTTGCATGTATTTGTTAAATTTATTCCTAAATATTTCATGTTCTGGGCATCATTGTAAATAGTAAGTTTTTGTTTAAGTTTTTATTTCCAATTCATTGTTGGTATATAGAAATACAGTCCTATTTTGAATAATTTACTTGTATTCTGCAATTTTGTCAAACTCACTTAGAGATTACTAGTTTTTAAAAGATTCATTAGGATTTTTCTTTTTTGGCTTTTTAAAAATTTTACTTTAAGTTCTGGGATGGAGTTTTTCTACATAAACAATGATGTCATATGCAAATAGAGAAAATTTTATTTTCAAAACTGGATACCTTTCATTTCTTATTTTTACCTTATTACTGTAGCTAGAATCTCCAGCTTTTGAGTAAAAGTGTAAGAGTGGATATCCTTCATTTATTTCTGATCCTAATGAGAAAACATTCAGTCTTTCACCATTAAGCAAGATGTAAACTGTAGGTTTTTCATAGATGACTTTTTTTACGTTGAGGACGTTTTCTTCTATTCTTATTTTGCTTCAAATTCTTGTAAAGAATGAATGTTTTATTTTGTCAAATGCCTTTTCAGTATCTATATAGATGATTATATGTATTTTCTTCTTTATACTATTGATACGTTGCATTTCATTGGTTGATACTCAAATGTTAAAACAATCTTACATTCCTGGGAGAAACATCACTTGGGCATGATATACTTTTTTTTGTATATTTTTGGATTCAATTTTCTAAAACTTTTGTTTTGTATATATTATAGCTTATATTCATAGCAATTATAAATACTTCATTAGAACCATTTCTATACATAATTCCTTACAGGTAAGGTCTGTCTGTCAACCTTGTATTCCCCTGTAACTAACATGGTACCCTGGTATTAGAAGCTTTTGGTTTTTTGTCATTGGTTGAATAAATGAATGAATATCACCAGTAGACTATGTAAATGTGTATTTAAACACCACTGGAGTTAACATTCTAAAGTAGGAGTTAAAAGTAAGTGTGGCTTTTGCTCACAGAAAATGGAGAATGTGTTGTTCCATAATAATTTCTCTAGTTTTTCAATAAGCAGCACTTTGCTTTATTGTTGGTAATTGTTCTGAGAGTAATAATGGGCGATATGTCCCTAATACTTTATGTTTACCATTTTCATGTTCCTATAATTGAAAACACTGAACCAACTTTATTATATGCACATAGATAATTACTGTTTTATGTTTTTTGAATACAAGGGGGAAAGCTGATTATTACAATACTCTAACGGATTGGATATTTTTTTCTTTGGTTCCAAATGAGTGGGGACTTTATTGCCTGTACCCACAATTGCAGCTCATTTCATTTGCTCCTATTTATATGTAATGCAATTCACAAAGTATTCTAAGCCAGTGAAGTTGACTTTTCATATAGGACTATGACATAATTTAGAATTTGAGCTAGATAAATTAATACAGGAACAGAGGTATAGAGTGAGACAAAAAGAAGATGAGAGGACGGGAGAGGAAGTCTAGGTTGCTCTTTTGTATGGTTCTTTCTCACCTCCCATTCATAAATTGGAAAGGAAAATTCATCCCCAGGCATTTAGATCTGTAATTTTAACCAAGTAAAATACGCTTATTTTTCCTTTAGAGCAAACCCTGAGATAGAAAAGATTTATCAGACTGTGTGATGGGAAATTTATACATACAAAAACTTCCAGAATAGCTTTCCAATATCTGTACAGTACATTTAATATATTCAATTCATCTAAATGACCTGTCATCAAATGCTATCTGATTTAAGAACCTTATACATGTCTAATGTTTTCAGAAAGTTTTTAAAATAAGTATGCCAATGATGTATTATATATGCTCATAAAAGGTCATTTTGAATTTTGAATTAAAATAAGGAATTTTGAATTTAATACTTTTTAATTTTTTTAAATACTTTGTATGTAGTCATTCCTATGGTCTTCCTCCTGGAAGGAATATGTTAAAACCTATAAATTCCTTACAGTTCTTCATGTGACAGTAGTAGATTCCATTTAAGTGTACTTTTTATTGGCTCTAAGTTATTTGATATGAGTTAATTAATTCCTTCTGTTTTAACTCTCTTAAGCAATACTTGAAATGGTCGTTATTTCGCAGTTTTGCATAGTAATTTGGAAAGGTTACTAAGGCCTTGGAATTTTAAAAATTGTTTTAAAAAGAGGACTTTTAAATTATTGTCATTCTAACGACATTATGAAACTGTTAATCAAAGACCTTGAAAAGTAAATTGGACTTAGCAAGTTATTATTATTATTATTATTATTATTATTATTATTATTATTAACTTATTTTTTTGAGACAGGGTCTCACTCTATTGTCTAGGCTGGAGTGCAGGTGGCATGATCATAGCTCACTGCAGCCTCGACCTCCTGGACTCAGGTGAGCCTCCCACCTCAACCCTCCTGGGTAGCTGGGACCACAGGCACACCCTGTTAACATTTCATATCCTTTTTTTTTTTTTCTTAATGAGATATGGTTTTGCCATGTTCCCCAGGCTGGTCTCAAACTCCTGGACTCCAGTAATCCACTCACTTCAGCCTCCCAAATTACAGGCTCAAATTATTATTAATTAGATGAAAGAATTTTTGTATATCTGGATACAGTTGATTATTTCTGCTTTTAAAATTCAGGAAATTCAATTGGATAATATTCATTTAGTGAGGCAAACACATTTATATTCAAACCTTATAGTAAATAATTATAAATAAATTGTATGTAATATGAATTAGAACCATTTATTAGGAAGATATCTAGAAACATAGTGATGTAAATTTTTTTATAATGTGGATTTGAACATTGCATATTTTGCCTAAGCCTGTGTTCATTCTTTTAAATTTTACTTCCTATCACCTCTTCACTTTGGAAAATAATTTTATGGCATTTAAATTTACTGTGTAATTTATTTAAAAAACAATTAGAATGTTTAGTTCATTCAACATTCAACAATTTTTAATGAGCGTCTTTCATATGCCAGGTATTCTTTTAGGCACCAGGGACCAGGTGGTTCTTTCTTTAGCCATGGATGGTTTCTCAATTGCGTTTGCCAATCAATATTTTAAGGGTGACTCTCCACTGATTTCTGAATTCTCTTTTTAAGGGTGAGTCTCCACTGATTTCTGAACTCTCTTTCTGTACAGTTCCCTCCCTCCCTCCCTCTCGACCCCCCTTCCTTCCTTCCTTTGTAGTCGTTCCTATGGTCTACCTCCTGGAAAGAATATATCCCTCCCTCCCTCCCTCCCTCCCTCCCTCCCTTCCTTCTTCCCTTCCTTTCGTTTTTTTTTTTTTTTTTTAAAGACAGAGTCTCACTCTGTCACCCAGGCTGGAGTGCAGTGGTGCAATATTGGCTCACTGCAGCCTCTGCCTCCTGAGTAGCTGGGATTATAGACATGTGCCACCACTCCTGGCTAATTTTTGTAAATTTTTTGTAGAGACGGGGTTTCACCATGTTGGTCAGGCTGGTCTTGAACTCCAGACCTCAGGTTATCTGCCTG
Source organism: Homo sapiens (assembly GCF_000001405.40). NCBI lineage: Eukaryota > Metazoa > Chordata > Mammalia > Primates > Hominidae > Homo > Homo sapiens. The sequence goes on from NC_000003.12 coordinate 158,376,410, forward strand.
CCTCGGCCTCCCAAAGTGCTGGGATTACAGGTGTGAGCTACCATGCCCAGCCCCTGTGTAGTTCTTTCTCTTGTATATTGTTCTGCAAACTGTGGGCATCTTGGTCTCCTAGGTGCCTGTAGCTCCATCTCCTCAACTAACTTGGTCCACTAAGCTCTTCTTGGGTTCCCTTTCCCAGCATTATGGCTGGAAACTCAAAGCAGTAACTACAGTAGTCATAGGGCTCATCTCCGTTGTCTCCTGACCTTGAAAATCAATGTTCTACTTTGTGTGGTGTCAAGTGTTTTGAAAGTTATTTCTTCCATTTATTTTTTCCTGTTTTTCTTTTTCTTTCTTTTTTCCCCTTGGTTGTTTCAGACAGGAGTTTAAATACAATCAGCACCTATTATTCCATATTGGTTGGACGGGGAAGTTGGCATAGTCACTCTATATGATTTCAATTCTTTTACATTTTTTTAGACTTATTTTTGGCCTCAGATACAGTGTTTGTTGGCAAATGTACCAAGTGCATTTGAAGGGAATGTATATTCTACAGTTGGGGGTGTTGTGTTATATAAAATATCAGTTAGGTCAAAGTTGGTATCCTTCAAGATTCTTATCCTTCATCACTTTAAAGATAGTGTTCACTACCTGTTGGCTTTCTTTTTTCTGATGAAAAGTTTAGTCATTGAAGTCATTGTTGTTAATGTATGTAATGTGTTGGTTTTCTGTGGCAGTTTTCAATATTTTCTCTTTATGGTTCTCATTAGTTTGAATATGATGTGTTTCAGTCTGCAAATTTATGCCCTTAAATTTGGGAAATTATTTTGCTGTAATTTCTTCAAATGTACACTGTTTTCTGTTTTATACATTAGATGCCTTTTCCACTTCTTCGTCTTCTTTATAATTGATATTGTTTGGATGTGTGTCCCCTCCAAATTTCTTGTTGAAATATGATCCCCAATGTTGGAGTTTGGGCCTAGCAGGAGGTATTTGGATCATGGGAGTGGATACCTTATGAATGGCTAGATGACCTCCTTGTGGTAACGAGTGAATTCTTGCTCTGAGTTCGCATGAGATTTGGTTGTTTAAAAGAGTGTAGTGTCTTCTCATTCTCCCGCTCTTGCTCCTTCTCTTGCTATGTGATATACTGACTCCCCCTTTCCTGAGGCCTTATTAGGGGCAGATGCTGGCCCATGCTTCTTGTACAGCCTGTAGGACCAGGAGCCAAAATAAACTTCTTTACAAATTACCCAGTCTCCGATATTCCTTTTTTTTTTTTTTCTTCTGAGACAGAGTTTCAGTCAGTCACCCAGGCTGGAGTGCAGTGGTGCTATCTTGGCTCACTGCAACCTCCGCCCCCTGGGTTCAAGTGATTCTCCTGCCTCAGCCTCCCGAGTAGCTGAGATTGCAGGTGCCTGCCACCACACCCTGCTAATTTTTTGTATTTTTAGTAGAGGCAGGATTTCACCATGTTGGCCAGGTTGGTCTTGAACTCCTGACCTCAAATGATCTGCCCCCCTCAGCCTTTCAAAGTGCCGGGATTACAGGCATAAGCCACCGCGCCCTGCCCCAGTATTCCTTTATAGCAAGGCAAAATGGACTGATACAGTCATCCTGCTCTTTTTTCCCTCCCAATTTTTTTCTCTGAGTTTTCAGGTTGGATCATCTCTATCGCTCTGTTTTATCATTTTTCATGGTCACTGATCCTGCCATTTCTATTTAGTGAAGTTTAAAATTTCTAACATGTTTCAGTTCTAAAATTATTGTTTTGTTTTTTATATTTTATTTTTCTCTGCTGAGATTTTCAATTTTTAATTCATTATAGTGTATTTTTATGTACCTCATTGAGCATAGTTATAATGGCTGTTTTATTCTCATGTTGGGTGGGACCTTAAAAATAGCCATTTACAAATCTTTACTGTTAATTTCAACATCTGAGTTCTCTCAAGGTTGGTTGCTGTTGATTTTCTTTTCCTTTGACACTGGGTCCAGTTTTCCTTGTTCTTTAGATGTTGAATGATTATTTGATTGTATCTTAGACATTGTGAATATTTGGTTGTGAATACTCTGCATTCTATTCTGTTCCTCTGAAGAGCATTATTGTCTTTTGTTTTAGCAGGCAGTTTACTTGGATAGACCCAAATTGTAACTTACTTTCACCTATAGTGGGCAACAGCTGAAATATCAACTTAATTAATTTAACCTCATCTTCAAACTGCAAGTATGTCCTGAACGGGAGTGCTTCAGCTGTCAAGAGACTTAGGCAGAATTTACAAATAATCAGGTCTGCCTTTCTCTGATTCTCTCTTTTCTAGGATTCCTCCTTACTTCCAGTGGCTGGATTTGCCTGGGGCTGTTCCCTCTGGTTCTCAGGCCAAAAGACCACAGGGTTTTCTCAGCAATTCAGCCATGTCTTACTACAACCATGACCTACCCTTAGGTCAAAACCTCAAAAGCAGTGAGGTACCACCATGCCTGCCCTTTCTTCCAAGTTTCAGCTTCCCTCCAAAATCTGTTTATTCACTCTTCAGAGATTTTAAATGGTTACTGACTACACTGTTTCCCCACACCTCACAGTTGATCTATCAGCGACTTCTGGGGTCTGTGCCATTAAAACATATGTACAATCTTTGTTCTCACTGCCTTTCCTACCACTTACCTAGACCAAGTCACCACCATCTCTCACCTGAATTTGTGCAATAGCTTCTTTACTGGTTGCATGATTCCCACTAGTTCCATTGTATTTTTAACATGGCAACTGGAATGAGTGGTCCTTTTAAAACCTTGATCAGAAATACCACTTTTTTTTTTTTTTTTTTTTTTTTTTGAGACCGAGTCTCGCTCTGTCGCCCAGGCTGGAGTGCAGTGGCGCGATCTCAGCTCACTGCAAGCTCCGCCTCCCGGGTTCATGCCATTCTTCTGCCTCAGCCTCCTGAGTAGCTGGGACTATAGGCACCCGCCACCACGCCCGGCTAATTTTTTGTATTTTTAGTAGAGACGGGGTTTCACCATGTTAGCCAGGATGGTCTCGATCTCCTGACCTCGTGATCCGCCTGCCTTGGCCTCCCAAAGTGCTGGGATTACAGGCATGAGCCACCACACCTGGCCAGAAATACCATTAGGCCAGAACCTAATGCCTACTCCAGAGAAAATAAGGCCCTTAAGAATCCGATGAGCTATCTTTTTTTCATTTCATCTCCTGTTCTCCTCACTCAATCACATTCACCTTCTTAGTATGCCTTAGTCTCAGCAGGCAGCTTCCCCTTCAAGGCCTTAATGCTGCCTATTCCTTCTGCCTGGACACGCTTCCCCAAATAGCTATAGTACCTAGCTTACTCTCTTGCCTCCTTCAGGTCATTACTCAGATGTCATCTGACTGAACTGCACCTCCCCCCTACACATACATACAAACACACGCGCATGCACACACACACACACACACACACCCTCCCTCCCTCTTGTCCCATTTGCTTGCTTCATTTTTCTGTTTTACCACTGTTTCCATCTCTAGTTAATTTTTTTTTTCAATATCTGTCTCTACCCACTAGAATGTAAGCTATATCAGGGTAAGGATTGTTATCTGCTTTGTTCACTTTTGGATCTCCAGCACCAAGAACCTACACATCATTTGTGCTTAATAAACGTTTTCTGGTCAGATATATGAAGGAATAATTGGCTTTACTTTAATGTTTCTCATTTTTCTCTAGCTACTAAAAGCTAATATTTTAAAATATACATATTACTGATTCAGAACTGGAATGAACTAACAGAAGAAGCAATTATATGTCATTTTTAAGAAAAATAATTTCACTTTTTGCATCAAATATCATGAATTTCAAAAATGTAAAATAGCTGCTTTTATAAATGATATCACAGATATCTGTGCTGCTTTGTGACTTTTGCTGATTTAATAATGTCTTGCCCCAAGCATGGTGGCATGAGCCTGTAGTCCCAGCTACTCAGGAAGCTGAGGCTGGAGGATTACTTGAGCCCAGGAGTTCAAGGCTGTAGTGTTCTATGACTGTGAATAGCCTGTAAATAGCCACTGCACTCCAGCCTGGGCAACATAGCAGGACCTCATCTTTAAACAATTAAAAAATAAAGATAATAATGTTTTATGTTTGTATAACAGTTCCCGGTTTACAAAGCACTTTTGCATATTATCACATTTTATTTTATTAATCTCTAGTTTGCAAGTTGTCAGGTATTTTATATTTTTATTTTTAGATATATAGTTTGGTATATATTTTATATGAGTTTGGTATTTTATAAAAATCAACATGATGGGTATTTTTTGGGCAAGTTGTGGGAAAATACCACTCTGATGACTTAAAAAAAATTAAGATACCTGTGGAATATTTAGTGCTTATATTTGGTGAGGGAATATAAAGATTGCTTATTTTTGAATTATTACATGTGTATTTTGAAATTATATTTTTTTCTATACTTAATGTAGTATCATTTCATTCTAGATTTGAGACTAAATATTACTGTGTTCTGTTAACCCTTAAACAACATGTGTTTAAACTGTATGGGTCTACTTATACAAGGATTTTTTTTTACATAAATATTTTGTAAATTTTGTCTGTAGATTTGTGACAATTTTAAAAACTCACAGATGACCACTGTAACCTAGAGGTATTGTGAAAATTAAGAAAAAGTCACGTATGTCGTGAATGTATAAAATATATGTAGATACTAGTCTATGTTATTTACCACTATAAAATATATGAACTATTATAGAAAGTTAAAATTTATCAAAACTTAAACACATGAACACTTACAAACCATGCATTGTGCCATTTGCATATGAGAGAAAGGGAAACAGATGTAAAGATGCATTGTTCAATCATAACTGCACAATTAACTGTTATACATACTGTACTACTGTAATAATTTCTTAGCCACCTCCTGTTGCTATTGTGATGAGCTCAAGTGTTACATGTATCTGCTTCAAATGCCATGTGACACTAATTATTTCCATATGAGCAGTCCCCCTCTCCAGAAAATTGTATTACAGTAAGAAGTGATCTCTCGCAGTTCTTGCATATTTTTCATTGTGTTTATTGCAATACCACAAGGCCATTTATCATTGTGTGAACATCATAGAGTGTACAGTCATATATCACTTGATGAGGATACATTCTGAGAAATGCATCATTAGGTGATTTTGTCATTGTGCAAACATCATAGAGTGTAGTTATACAAACCTAGGTGGTATAACCTACTACACACCTAGGCTATATGGTATAGTCTGTTGCTCCTAGGCTATAAACCTGAACAGCATGTTGCTGTGCTGAATATTGTAAACAATGTTGACACAATGGTATTTGTATATCTAAACATATCTAAACATAGAAAAGGTACAGTAAAGATATGCTATAAAAGATAAAAAATAATGCACTTGATAGGGCACTTACCGTAAATAGACTTTGTAGGTGAGTCAGGGAGTGAGTGGTGAGTGAATGTGAGGGCCTAGGACATTACCATACAGTTCTGTTTACTTTATAAACACTACAGTTATACTACACTAAATTCATTTAAATTTTTTTTGTTCAATAGTAAATTAAACTTAGCTACTGTAACTTTTTACTTTATAAATTTTAATTTTTTTTAACTTATTGACCATTTTAAATAACACTCAGCTTACAACACAAACACATTGAACAGCCGTTAAAAACTTTAAAAAAAATTTTTTTAACTTTTTTGTTAGAAACTGAGATACAAACATGCACATTAGCCTAAACCTACACAGGGTCAGGATTATTATCAATATCATTGTCTCCCATCTCCATATCTTGTCCCATTGGAAGATCTTCAGGGGCAATAACATCCATGGAGCTGTCACCTCCTATGATAATAGTGCCTTCTGTAATATCTCCTGGAGGACCTGCCTGAGGCTGTTTTACAGTTAACTTTTTTTTATAAGTAGAAGGAATACACTCTAAAATAATGATAAAAAGTATAGTACTGTGAATACATAAGCCAGTAACACAGTCATTTATTATGCTATGCTTTTATATGCTGGGCAGCACAGTTGGTTTGTTTACACCAATATCACCACAAACACAGGACAGCCCTGACATCATTAGGCCATAGGAATCTTTCAGCTTTATTATAATCTTATGTCTTTTCTTGACCAAAACATTATTATCTGGTGCATGATTGTAGGTCTCTTTAGCCTGGCCAGCTACCCCCTACCCCCAGTCTAATACTGTTAGGTGTGGCTGGCCCTACTTTAAGTTGCTTTCTCAGCAAAAATACCCGGCGTGGTCTGAGAGAGCCAGTTTGAATAACAAATTTGAATGTCACTCTGACCTCTGAGGAGCTGAAGACTAAGGCCAGGCCAAATTTCTTACTACACAAAGGTCTTTCTCTTTCACCTCTTAGATGAATATGCAGTATTTTCATTTGGTCATTGTTTTTATATTTTTATGAGTATTGTATCTTTAACTCTTGAATTTTTTTGGAGTTTAATGCTGAAACTAAAGACAGATTTATTTTCACCCCTACAAAGAGCTAATCATTTCTGATACCATTTGTTAAATAATTCTTCCTTCTCTTCACTGATTTTGATGCCTTATTTACATTTGATGCCTAGTTTTTAAACCTCTGTCAGATTAATTAGAGTAAATTATTCAGAAATAGTAGAAAGTGCTTAAATTTGACCTACTAATTTCTGACAAGGAAGACATGGACAAATTATAAATAATGGACAAAAGAGCTAAAAAAACTGCAGGAGTCTAGTGACTGGCATATCTTTCTATAACCCCTTAAGGACATCGCTGTTTTATAATCCCAAACTCTGCTTAATGCTTTAATGTTCATAATTATACTCTGGGTCATCAAGAAAGGATGAATGAAGTTCAGCAGTAATTACTTTAAGAAGACATATAGTTGGCCCTCCATATCCACTGGTATGGAACCCATGGATATGAAGGGGTGACTGTCCTGTGCCATTTTATATAAGGGACTTGAGTATTCGAGAATACTGGTATCTGCAGGGAGTCTTGGAATCAATCCTCTGTGGATGTGGGAGGCTGACTGTGCAGCAAAATGCTGTGCAGATCTTAAAGAAAAGGAGGCAGGGCTGTATGTGCTGACTAACAAGGGAAAATATCTATCAAATCATTATGGAGGGAAAATCATGAAGTTGCAAAAGTACAGGTGGTGCCATGCATATACTTTTACTAATAACTCTGTGTATCTTTAACATGCATACAAAAAGCCTTGGGGGAATACTCACCAACTATGATGGGGAGGGGTGTAATAAGTAGTGGTGGTGTGTCTTTATTTTCTGCTTTCTCACAGTATTTTGATTTATTTTAAAATAAGCTTGTATTTGTTTTGTAATTGAAAATTTGAAAGACAGTATACAAGTTTATAATGCATTATAGAAAGATATCAGTCACAAACAAGTGATTTACATGTTGGAAGTTCAGTAGATTAGCTCTGAGAGTCAAATCATGACAATTCATTCCTCAAAGATTCACATACATGGGATATGCCTTTCTTACACTATTTTTGGTATTAAAAAAAGAAAAACTTTATGGGAAAATATTTTATAATTGAGAAGCATTAATTGTTTTTAAGCAAAACAGGTCATAAATTATATTTTATATATTTTAGAAAAGATTTATGACTAGTTTCTTTATGAAGTAGCCTACTCTTTGTAGACTTCTATGTATTAGTAATTTTATATTAGTGAAGATAGTTTTCGAAATATGTCATACTCTCAAAACTTGGGACTCAAGGTCAGAAGTAAGAGTTGAAATGGGGGAATGACATAATGAATCAGGAACAGGTAAGACATCAAGAAACTCTTCTGCACTCCATCAGTAGGGTACGATCTAAGATTGCAAGTACACAGTCAAAAACAGAAACAGTTACCATGGAGATACCTAAAACAGAGTCTATATGTCATGAGATATAGTGGTAAGGATCAGCATGCTGAAGTAATATAGGCAAGCCAGTATTAAGCTAACTAACTATAGATTATAGATTGTGCCTCAGAACTTGGGAGGCTAGGGAGGGAATGTGGGAACCAAAGATGAGCAAGTATACAGCTAATGATGGCAGCAGGAATAGCATGGCACACTCAATGGCATAATCAGATAGATTAATGAATGGGCTATTAATAAAGGTTTGGGCAGGTTTAAGATGACCCATCAAAATTCCTGGCCCAGCAATTGCTGTGAGTCTTTACCACTTCTAGACCTGAAAAAGGAAAGGGAAGAGATCAGCTATAGAGCATTTTGAGAACATTGTAAGAGGTCTGCCTCAACAGAAACTTGGCCTTCAATAAAGAAATGTAGCCACTGTCAAACTACAGATCAGCAGGAAATAAACCCTAGCCCCTCCTTCTTCTTGCCCTCTAATTATTGTCCCTTCAGTGTCTTCTGTTAGCCAAACTCGAACACTAAATAGCTCAAGGGCAAGGCAACCTATGTGATGTAGTCCATGAAGTTTATCAAGCAGGTCAGGGTGGAGGAGGGCAAAGAGTGGGCCAGAAAGAGCAAATAAAGCTTATTCTAAGCATAGAACCTGATGGCAGCTGGATCAGTCAGCAGTTCCAGATAGCCCAATGAGTCCCCCAAAGTGCCATTTAGTGATTGTGGAAGAAGGAAGGAGAAGGAAAAGGAAAAATAAATTTATTTTAGTAAATACAATGAAATTTGCTTTTTCTTTAGGTACTTTCAAAATAACATAGAACACTCCGCTATCACTGAAATCATTTAGTCAGAATTTTACATGACAGAGTACTTTCCCTTAGAATTTATTTATACAAAAATAAATTGTGCCAGGCCCTATGCTAGGCAATGGGAATATAACAGTTCCTGACACTATTCCTGCCACCTTGTAGCTCACCGTCCTAGTGTAGGTAGGAGAGAGCTGTGCAGGCAATATGGATACAGTATAGCATTGTACTATAAACCATTCATCTATTATATTTAAAATATTTGAGACCCTACTGCTATGTGTCAGGAAAACTACAAAGTGTTAAAAAGTGCACTGGAAACACAGGAGTGACTACCTCTGCCTGAGGAATCAGAGAGAACTCATAAAATGAGTGTAACTTTGGTAGCAGTGAAGTGCACTATTTTGTTTTTAGTTTTTCCCTACCTGGTTTCATTATAAATCATATGCATTAACAACTCAGTTATAAAAAGGAATGGTATCAACCCTGAGTAATAAAGTCCTTTTGATACAGTTATTGAGAGAGTATTTATCATTGCCTTATTAAATATGGAGAAATAACTGTGCTATTTTTTTAAATGTTTTCATTTGCTCATGTTTTCTTTGTTGACCCAAATGAATGAAATTAGAATAAACAATCTCTAAGTCATTTGTAATCATGAGCTGATTAATGGAGTTTGGTTTCATAGCCATTATTCATTCACGAACACCTGATATCTTTCCCATAAACAAATTGTGTTTGTCCAAATTAAGAAATTAAATGAAGCATTTGATGAGTTTATGATTGACCCTTCTAACTCAGAGCCCATTAGTCATTGTCGTTATCATAGAAAACTCTTTGACTAATGTGCTGTCTAAAGAAGCATGTGGATTTATTATGACTTCTGATTAATGCTTGCTGCAAGCCAAACTACTAGATTATAATAATTTTTTGATTCTCATTTTAGCAGTCATTGAAGAATTTCATCTCTGATGAAATGCGTTTATGTCCCATTAGATTTAGGGATGATTACAAGTTATTGAGTGGATAAATTTTTAAGGTATTATATGTTTTAGAAAACATACAGTATATGCTTTAAAAAAAGGCATTTTTTAAAAAAGCTGTTTTTTGTCTTTTAACTTTGTGGACATCATCTTTCCCTTTTAAGGTAATGAGCCTATTATTTAGATTTTATGAACTAGTACTTATTAATTTATTAAGAAATTTAAATAGGAGAAGTACATGTATGAATTTATAACACTTGAAGTTCAACTTATCAATTTAAAATATTTATTTTAAAATTGTATGTAATCTTGTTTAATACATTTTAGTTTTGACAACAAAGTAAATCCCTCTTTGCCCAATTTATTCTCATTATAAAGTAAGAACAAGATTTCCACCTTAAAAAAAGCTCTTTAATAGACGAATATAGCTAAACCACTGTTAACGTAGGTCTTGTAGTGAGATACCTGCTAGAGGCTATATTATATGACCAACACACTATTATTATGAAACTAAGGACCTCAATATGGCCAAGCTGTTGTTTAATTTGTATTGGGGGGAAAAGGCAGTTTAAAAGATGGAAACATTGATTGACTTTCATCAGAATCCATGTTATTAACAGAGTTTACAAGGCAGAAATGTAGGGTTTATAGTCTTTGTTGTTAAGTAAATTGACTTATATGCCTCTTAAAATGGGGAAGAGGTGAGCAGCATGCATGTTCACAGGACCATAATGTGAGTCGTATTCACTAGACCAAAAAAAAAAAAAAGATAATTTTATTACGTATTATTGCAAAATCATCGAAAAGAATGGCTTTATTGCCCATGGTAGTACATGGAAATAAAATGAATATTTTGAGCAGACAACAATGAAATAAGAAACATTTTATTTTAAAAGAAATTCCATGAAGTACATACCATTTCTTGTTTTATATAACAAAATACTGTGTAATATAACCCGAAGTCACATGTGAAATTACATTTCTTTGTGACATTTTCATTAAAAAAAAAGTGGTTGGTTTAGTTACAGTTTTCCAGATATGACCTCTGAGTAATTAGGGAAATATCTGCCTCTATATATGTCTCAAATACAAATATAAGGATTATCTTTGATAAACCTGTCTCATTTCTCTGAGTACTACAGGCAATTAAGAGCCATTCAGTCACGTTTAATTATAAAACCTTCTGGTCAGAGAAGTTTCCTATCTCCCTTTGGGATTTATCTATGGCATTAGGTTCTGGACTACTCCAACTTTTGGCCTGGAATACTGATCAAGCAATTTGGGAACTTTAAAAAGGACCAGTATAATCAAGTGAATACTGGTTGCTTAGTAAGAGACAGAAACAGCCTATCAGTCAAATAATAGTGGTAACATTTAGCCTTAGAGTAGTTCCTTTAGCTTATTAAATAAAAAAATTAAGTCAACTAGAATGCATAACATAAGTATGAACCATCCACACCAAATTCATTGGTCATCTACAGTATTTGCACTTAAAATTCCATAGTTTTTCACTGGACTCAGTGCCTTAATATCTTTGTTAATAATTTAAACTACTGTGAAATAAAGGGGAAAAACTGTAAATCCTTACAAGTATTGGTATGGTTTACATTCCAGATCCAGACAAAATATCATGAAAACCTTTTAGTGTGTGACCAAGGATAAGATTTAGTTGGAGAAGAAAGGGTCATTTTTCCTTCTTGTATCATTATTTTTAAAACGTTTGCTTTAAAAAGAAATCATAGTTTGATGCATAGAATGTTTTGTGAAATGAGTCTTCTCAATATAGCTGGCTTTTTATCCTCACTAGAGGTTCTTAAGGCATCTCAGTGACAAACGCACACATGCACATATACTGAAAATAGACATGGTGATAACAAAAGGAATGCACAGAAGCATAATCTATCATTTTTGGCAGGCTAAGAAAGTTGGTTTAATGTACTGGAAGTGTCAAATAAGTATCAAGAAGTAATAAATGAAATTAATAACTAGATTAGAAAAACTTATTTACCTAGTGCAATATTCCAGTTGTTGATCTTTGTAAGACATTGGCTGACTGCTATGGAAGCTTTCTTTATTCATTTGAATATATATATATTTTATCAAACATTAATATTATATAAAATTTTATAAATGGATTTATTTTCTTGTTTCCATTATAAAATGGGAGCTAAATTATTTTTAAAAATTGATTCTTAGACATAATGAGATTATTTTTAAATAACTTTTTAAACATATTTATGGAAAAATAATCCTTGATATATTAACAGTAATATTACTTTATGTTGTGTGTACTGTAACCATTTTCAAGATATCACCCTTTACATTATTTCATGATTCCCATATACTCTTATGAAATGAGCAGTGCATGTACTAATATTCCCATTTTAAACATGAGGAAATGAGGCTTAGAGAAGTTAGGAAACTTGTCAAAAATTTCATTGTTTACAAACAGCAATATAACTAGGACCCTAGGTAATAAAAGTAGGTCTGTTTTGACAATTTACCAGGCATTTGGGGAGCCAAATTAGCCGTGTTTTTTGTTTTTTTTTTTTTTTTGAGACTGAGTCTCGCTCTGTAGCTCAGGCTGAACGCAGTGGCGAGATCTCAGCTCACTGCAAACTCCGCCTCCCGGGTTGACGCCATTCTCCTGCCGCAGCCTCCAGGGTAGCTTGCACTACAGGCACACGCCACCATGCCCAGCTAATTTTTTGTATTTTTAGTAGAGATGGGGTTTCACCGTGTTGGCCAGGATGGTCTCGATCTCCTGACCTCATGATCCGCCCGCCTCGGCCTCCCAAAGTGTTGGGATTACAGGCATGAGCCACTGCACCTAACCCAAATTAGTCTTTAATATGACCCTTACCCCTTGAAATATACTATCAAGTTGGAGGAATAGATATAGATACAATTATTATGTAAGTCAGAGTTAAATGATTGTAAAAATGTTGAGCAAACACAAAAGTTTATAGAAAAAAAACAGATTATTCTAACTGGGGAAGTCAGGGAAAAGTAAATGAAAGTACTGAGAATAAAGTTGCCATCAAAGGATGATGTTGCCCCCTTCCCTCTTATAATTAACCCAGACGTTTTATTCTTCCAATACAGATTTCTCTACTGATCAGAAATAAACATCACTCTTTCATCAGTTGCTTATTTTTCTGTAGTTTTACCATAAAGAAAAGCAGAGTGTTCAGGTGAATATTAGAGTAAAACATTATTATTTCTTTGTAAAATAACTTAACTGTTAGCTATCTTAATAGTTTGATTGCTTCATAAGAAAAAATTTTGAGCATAGTATATTCAATTGTGGACAAAGCTGTAAAACCTAATTTCAAAATATTCAGCTAGATATTGTCAACTTTTTCTATATATTTAACATTTTGAAATATCTATACATATGTACCCACATGAATAAATGTAATAGAGATCAGTGCAGATTAATACAGTTGTGTTGTATCATGGCAACTGATATACCATGTAGGATATTGCCCTAAGTAAATTATCTTCTGAAGTGGTAAACAACTCAAAAAGTTTTGAACAAAGAAAAATATAATACTCTTTCAATTTACTTAGTAGGCGAGTTCTGGAAAATTTAGCATGAGTTAAGGCATGTGAAACAGTTTTTTTTGTGTTTATGTATAATTAGGTTCCAAGCTCAAATAATTACTCAAAGAATTTCACTTACATGTGTATCTGGTAGGGCATTCACAAGTCATGTGAGACATGGAATAATTCTTTCCAGAGCAGTGCAGGATATCTAGAATTCTTGCTATACCAACTTAATGCTACTTGCCTTTTTCAGTCTCCTCAACTAAAAACATCATTATACATTTCCAGAGTGCCCTAAGGACAATAACTGCACCCATTGAGAACTATTGTTTTAGGGCTTTCTTTGTTTCTTCCTGGAAAAATATCTTGATCTCATTTGACAAATATCCTTAGACAAAATTTATTCAGGTAACAGATTTGAGTAGCAATCTTACTGTGCCTTAAGTCAGAGGAACAATTAAGGGATGTTAATTTCAGGAACTATGACCAGAAACAGAGAGAATTCCCTCTTCTTTGAACTCCTTTCATGAGGTGACTGTTGAGTGTTTGTATAGACCAAATTAAGTGCTTCATGGTTAAAGGTCAGGGCCAAAAGGAAAATACTATCAAAAGTCCTTCCATGAAGGAGTAGTGAATTCACATGTATAAAAATGACTCCAGGAAAGTGGAGCCTGGCCCAGTCTAGGTTTACCTTGCAACTATAGTTAGTGGTCTTAGACCTGGCCAGGGCCCAATCTGAATGGAGAAGTTGGACAATCAAGAAAGTAGGACTGAGGGGCCGCATGTATCTATGTCCTGGCAGTTATATATAACATTTTATGTAACAGTAATAAATATCTTAAAATAAAACATGATTTGGAATTGAAACTAAGTAACATAAGTGTAATGATAGTATTAATAAGTACATATTCCTTTTTGTAGTAACTATTTTATGGAGCATTTATTATTTACTAGGGATTATACTAACTACATAGAATTTCTCTTATTTTATAATAATCGTAATATAAATACAATAATATTATTGTCCCTGGAGTACAGATAAGGAAACTAGGAAGTAGGGAGGTTAATTAAACATCAGGCATGGGTAGCATTCTTAGTGATTCATCAAAGAAAATGGTTATTTCTGATTTTAATATATTACAGTATTTATGCTGTGTACAAGTGAAATTTGTCAATGAGTGGATTTGTGCGCATTGTAATTTTGGTATCCACACATTGATGTTATTTGAAAGGATAAATGCAGACCACTGAACTTTTAAGAATACTTAATGTAAACAACCTCTGCTTTTTCTTTTGTATGCAATATTAAATATATTACAATGACTCTCCAAAATTACTTATTATTTTTTCTGTGTAATGGAAGACATTTTATCTTTGAATTGCAAATAACAGTTGCGTATCTGCTTCATGATAGAGCTACAATAAAAGTTAAAGAGTAATCATTATGAGGTATGAGACAAAATTGTAAATTAGTAATATTATAATTTTATAATGATAATGTCATTGTTGCATTTATCTTCTAGAACTATTCTTTATTCTCCACACCCCCACCCTGGGGTTCTATCTTCCATAATTTTTGGTTATTTTTTTCTTTGTATTTTTTAAGCAGTTTAACCTTTTAACCTTTCCTCATCTATCTTTTTGGTAGTTTGGTACTGCAATGAATCATAATTGATATTCAAAAAACTGGCATAGTAGAGCCACATTTCTTACCACAATCTGGCCTTGTGTATTTTCTCATCTCAGAGCTTATAGCAAGAGAGCATTCTCCATATGAGGGGTTGAAAGTTTCCATATTGAAAATGCCTACCACTTGCCAGGAGGAAGAGCTGTCCTAGGCTGCCCATATTCAAACAGCTTGCTAGTAATGGTATACCAAATGTGTAAAAACATTAAAAGGTAGAATTAAGTCCAATTTCCCTTAAAGCCCTTGGCTCCCTTTTATTCTTTGCTAGTTGGAAATAAGCATTCATTTGCCAGAAGCTGATTCTTGGATCTCAGGGATTTTATTGTTGACAAACAAAAACTTACTTGTTTATCTCAGGGACTGGGAGGGTGGTAGATGTCAGGGAATGGAATCTGCATGTGCCCAGAACCTAATCCAAACCCATAAAGAAGCAAGAAAAATAATAGAGTGGTACGTTGACTCAGTAAAAATATATTTTGTGGGTCAAATTGGGGTCAAATGAAGCTTCGACATTTCAAAAATAGCTAGTTTGAGATATTTTTCACAAAAGGTCACTGGAGGCAAAGGCATTGAATTATAAATATAATGTAAAGTAGGGATCACTTTATAATGTAAAGCACAGCTAGAGTGAAATAAGCCTTATTAAGCCAGAATTCTGAAAGAGGTGCTGCTGTCCTATTTTTGCCAGTCTAAGGACCCTTGATTATAATAATAAGATAATATCTACTAATTCTGTTAATGAAAGCAAACAAGTTTGTGAAACGTTCTTTAAGATGTCAGAAAGCTGTGTGGGGAATGACTGAGCTCATCCTCTAGAATAAAAACTGATTATAATGTACTCTGCATACCTACATACTATATTCTGCAATTTTACATGTAATAGATTCAGATATCAATTGCTGCTTCTCCTCACTAAAGAACAAGTGAAAGCCTTTTACTACTGTGGCTATGAGAATAATTTTGGTCCAGTTGGATCCTATTCTGTATGTGCTAAAGAGTTATTAGAGTTAACCTTTGTGTTTTAACATGAGTCCTTTAACACTTTTTTGTGAAATACTATTAAACTTATTAAGAGAATCAGGAGCTAGGAACACTATTGCTTGGCTACTTCACACCTAACATTATATGAGCTCCATATTCATAGAAAGATACGATACTTCATTTTAGCTATGATACAGTTGAAATATTTAATATTTTTTCCAAGACTGACACAGAATGCCAAGTGTAATCAATAGAAATACCAATTATAAACCAACTATGATCCAAAAATATAAAGAAGGGCATTACATAATGCTAAAGGGTTCAATTCAACAAGAAGACCTATCCTAAATATATATGCACCAAACACAGGAGGACCCAGATTCATAAAACAAGTTTTTAGAGATCTACAAAGAGACTTAGATAATCACACACTAATAGTGGAAGACTTCAACACCTTGCTTGACGTTACTGGACAAATCATTGATGTGGAAAACTAACAAAGATATTCAGGACCTGAACTCAACACTTGACCAAATGGACATAATAGACACCTGCAGAACTCTCCACCTAAAAACAACCAAATATACATTCTTCTCATCTGCATATGGCACATACTCTAAAATTGACCAGTCAGCCATAAGACAACTCAGCAAATTCAAAAATACCAAAATCATGCTAGCCACATTCTTGGACCACAGTGCAGTGAAAATAGAAATCAATACTAAGAAGATTGCTCAAAACCATATAATTACATGGAAATTAAACAACCTGCTTCTTTTTGTATAAACAATGAAATTAAGGTGGAAATAAAAAAATTCTTTGAAACTAATGAAAACAAAAGTACAACATAACAGAATCTCTGGGACATAGCTAAATCAGTGTTAAGAGGAAAGTTTATAGTACTAAATGTCCCTATCAAAAAGTTAGAAAGATCCCAAATTATCAACCTAGCATCACATGTAGAAGAATGAGAAAAACAAGAGCGAATCAATCCGAAAGCTAGTAGAAGACAAGAAATAACCAAAATCAAAGCTGAATTAACTGAAATTGAAACACACACACACACAAAAAATCATACAAGAGATCTATGAATCTAGGACTTGTTTCTTTGAAAGAATAAGATTGATAGGCTGCTAGCTAGACTAATAAAGAGAAGATCCAAATAAACACAATCAGAAATGACAAAGGGGACATTACTACCAACCCCACAGAAATACAAAAATCCCTCCGAGACTACTACAAACACCTCTCTGCACACAAACTAGAAAATCTACAAGAAACTGATAAATTCCTGGAAACATAAAACCTCCAAAGATTGAATCAGGAAGAAATAGAATCTCTGAGCAGACAAGTAATGAGTTTTGAAATTGAATCAGTAATAAAAAGGCTACCAACCAGAAAAGGCCCAGGAGCAGACAGATTCACAGCCAGATTCTACCAGATGTATAAAGAAGAGCTGATACTATGCCTACTGAAACTATTCCAAAGTTAGGAGCTCCTCACTAACTTTTTCTATGAGGCCAGCATCATCCTGGTAGCAAAACCTGCTAGAGACACAGCAAAAAAACAAAACTTCAGGCCAAAGTCATTGATGAATGTAGAATCAAAAATCCTCAACAAAATACTAGCAAATGGAATCCAATAGCACATTAAAAAGCTAATCCACTAAAATCAAGTAGGCTTTATCCCTGGGATGCAAGGTTGATTCAGCACATGCAAATCAATAAATATGATCCATCAAATAAACAGAACTAAAACAGAAACCACATGATCATCTCAGTAGATGCAGAAAAGGCTTTTGATAAATTCAACATCCCTGCATGTTAAAAACTCTCAACAAACTAGGCATTCACGGGATATACCTCAAAAAAATAAGAACCATTAATGACAAACCCACAGCCAACATCATACTGAATGGGCAAAAGCTGGAAGTATTCCTCTTGAGAACCAGCACAAGACAAGGATGCCCTCTCTCACTACTCCTTTTCAACATCGTATTGGAAGTCCTGACCCAAGCAATTAAGCAAAAGAAAGAAAAAAAAGGCATTCAAATAGGAAAAGAGGAAGTCAAACTATCTGTTTGCAGATGACATGATTCTGTACCTAGAAAATCCCATAGTCTTAGCTCCAAAACTCCTATATTTTGTATCCTGAAACTTTGCTGAAGTCATTTGAATTTCCAGAATCTGGAGTTTCAGCAAACTTCCAGGATACAAAATCAATGTACAAAAATCAGCATTTCTATACACTAACAACATTCCAGCTGAGAGCCAAATCAAGAACACAATTCCATTCACAATAGACACAAAAAGAATAAAATACCTATGAATGCAGCTAACCAGGGAAGTGAAAGATCTTTATAATGAGAAGTACAAAATACAGCTAAAAGAAATCAGAGATGACACAAACAAATGGAAGAACATTCCATGCTCATGGATAGGAGGAATCAATATAATTCAAATGGCCATACTGCACAAAAGGATTTACAGATTCAGTGCCATTTCTATCAAACTACCAATGATATTTTTCACAAAATTGAAAAAACTATTTTAAAATTCATATGGAACCGAAAAAGAGCCCAAATAGCCAAAGCAATCCTAAGCAAAAAGAACAAAGCTGGAGTCTTCACATTACCCAACTTCAGACTATACTTCAGGGGCACAGTAACTGAAACAGTGTGGTACTGGTACAAAAACAGATACTTAGGAACAGAATAGAGAGCCCAGAAATAAAGCTGCACACCTACAACCACTCAATCTTTAACGAAGTCAACAAAAGCAAGCAATGGGGAAAGGACTCCCTGTTCAATAAATGGTGCTGAAATAACTGGCTAGATATAGGCAGAAAATTGAAACTAGACCCCTTCCTTAGAACATATACAAAGATCAACTCAAGATGGATTAAAGACTTAAATATAAAACCTCAAACTACAAAAACTCTGGAAGATAACCTAGGAAATGTCATCCTTGACATAGGAATGGGCAAAGATTTCACGACGAAGATACCAAAAGCAATTGCAACAAAAACAAAAATGGATAAATGGGACCTAATTAAATGAAAGAGCTTCTGCATAGCAAAAGAAACTATCAAGAGGGTAAACAGACAACCTACAGAATGCTAGAAAATATTTGCAAACTACGCATCTGACAAAGGTCAATATCCAGAATCTATAAGGTACTTAAACAAATTAACAAGCAAAAAACAACCCTATAAAAAAGTGGGAGAAGGACATGAACAGGCACTTTTTAAAAGAAGACATACATGCACCCAACAAGTACACAAAAATGTGCTCAACTTCACTGGTTGCTAGAGATATGCAAACCAAAACCACAATGAGATACCATCTCATACCACTCAGAATGGCTATTATTACGAATTTAAAAAATAACAGGTCCTGGCAAGGTTGTGGAGAAAAGGAATGCTTATACACTGCTCATGGGAATGTAAATTAGTTCAGCCATTGTGAAAAGCAGTTTGGTGATTTCTCAAGGAACTTAACACAGAACTACCATTTGACCTTATAAGATCAAATAAGCAATCTTATTACCCATACCCAAAGATATATAAATTGTACTACCATAAGACAGATTCATGTGTATGTTCATTGCAGCAGTATTCACACACTCAAAGACATGGAATCAACCTAAGTTCCCATCAATGGTAGACTGAGTTAAGAAGATGTGGTACATATACATCATGGGATACTATGCAGCCATAAAAAAGAATAAGATCATGGCCTTTAGAGCAACACAGTTGGAGCTGGGTGCCATTATCCTAAGCAAACAAATACAAGAACAGAAAACCAAATGCTGCGTGTCCTCACTTATAAGTTGGAGCTAAACATTGCGAACACATGGACACAAAGAAAAGAATGGAACAGCAGACACCAGGGCCTACTTACGGCAGAGGTTGGGAGGAAGGGAGGATTGAAAAACTACCTATCAGGTACTATGCTTATCATCTGGGTGATGAGATAATCTGTTCACCAAACCCCCATGACATGCAATTTACCTATATAGCAAATCTAGACACGTACCCCTGAACCTAAAATAAAAGTTTTTTTAAAATCCCAATTATAAGCTGCTTTTTGGTGATGGGCAATGTTTTTTTTTTTTTTAATGAAGGAAGATCTTTTCTGAAGATTTCTTTTTAAATTTCTATTTGTAAGGAAAATAAGCATCTGTGATAATTTGTTCATAGTGAGGGAAAGGACATTCATCTGAATAAATGGACCCAGATAAATAAACTGAGCCACTGTAATTTGCTAGTAGTCTGAAACAAGTTCACATCACAATATTTTTAAGTCAGTGTATTAAGCTGCACCCATACTATAATGGCAAGACATACAAGAATTCTCTATGGCAAACTGTAGTGCCGTGGTATGAGTAGGATAGTAAAATTGAGTTTAGGATATCTGAAGGACACAAGAATGTGACAGTAGGTATATGGAAGCCACTTTCACCTGTAGTTTACATGAACATTATTTCTGCAAACTCAATACAAATCTCAAAGGAAATAACAGCAATAATGGCTAAGATTTACTGAGTGCTTTTTATCTGCCAAGCATTACATTAAGTATTTTACTGGGATCAGTGTATTTAATTTGCACATTCACTCCATGAAGAGATACCTTTATTAACCCCATTTTACATATGAGAAAACAACAGTTTAGAAAGGTCAAACATCTATAGTTAGTGATAGTGGTGGATCAGTGATGCTCATTATTTTACCCACAACAGTGTACCACCTTCATACTCATATTCTTTTGTCTATTTAAAAAAATCTAATCTTTATATTAGACTTCTAATACATCTAAATTCTCTTTGAATTGATTTGCTAGTTTATATTAAATAACGAGAGATGTACAGCTGAATCAATTCTTAGGGAAGCATCTGGCAAAGTTGCACTAGAACACTGTTGTCCTTTGTTTACAATTGGTTGTTTAGACTAACCAATACAAATAACTCAATGTAGAAAATAATGGAATTGGAAAGAGATAGTCATGGAATTTGTGTCTTGGCTTCTAGCCATAACATAGAGTATATATTAGTCTTTGTGAAATAGTGACATGGTAAGTTTGGTTCAGTTAATTTCATGTTTATATTATACTGTTTTACATGCTATATGTGTGTACACATACATAGGGAGACGGAAATACCATTTGACCTACTTAGCCGGTGAGTATTTTGCCAGTGACTTAGCAGTACCCACCAAAATTTAAATGACCCAGCATTTCATTTCTAGAAAACACTCTAGAGAATTATTACATATCTCAAAAGATGTGTAGAAAAATATTTATCACAGCATTGTCTGTTAGTGTATTATAGTGGAGAATTGGAGACAACTTTAATATCTAGTAATAATGGAAATAGTAAAATATATTACTAATATGACCCAGTCACACAAGTTTTCTTTCAAGCCCTCAAATTCAATAAGCTTTTTTCTGCTTCAGAACCTTTGAACATGCTCTTCTCTTTCCCTTCTCCCTATCATACCCCTCTCTCTGCTCTTTCCATGGCTGACTTACATAAAGGATCTCATCTTTAATGTCACCTCCTTGTAATTTAGAATTGGTCTAAAAGAGATAGAAAAGTTAGGTTAATATTTAGAAATTGGTGAAGATTTTTAGAGAGGGTGGGAAGCTCAGAAATAATATGAGGTTCAGAGATGGAATGAGGCTTGTGATACCGTGAGGTTGGGATGGGATGCGTACTGCGACTGGGTGACCCTTGGGAATGGGGTATAAGACAGAAGGCTTGGTAGGGAGTGTTAGACATACATTGAGACTTTCTGATGGGAGAGAGAAAGGGTAGAGGAGGTAAAAGATGGTATTATGGAGGGGTATGTCAGGCTCAGGGCAGCATGAATCTGTGGGATACATTAAAACTCAGGGATAATATGAGACTCTTCAGTGAGGAGTGTTAGTGCTGCTATTAAAAAATACCTGAGACTGGGTAATTTCTAAAGAACAGAAACTTATTTCTCACAGTTCCTGGAGGTCCACGATATAGGCACCAGTAGGTTCAGTATCTGGTGAGGGCCAGGAGGCTAGAAGTCCAAGATTAAGGCACCAGAAGGTTTGGTATCTGGTGAGGGCCAGGTGTCTGCTTCCAAGATGGCACCTTGAACTTTGCACACTGCAGCTTCACCGTAGAAGGGGTTGAAGGGGTCTAGCTAGTTCACTGTAGCTCTTTTATGAGGCACGAATCTGATCCATAAAGGTGGATCCCTCATGTCCTAGTCACCACCTAAAGGCCTCACTTCTTATTACTTTTGCATTGGGGATTAAGTTTCAAAATGAATTTTGAAGGGGATAGGACACAGACATTCAAACCATAGCAGGGAGCAAAGGATGGATTATAAAATGATAAATTTGCACCATCTCAGAAAAGCTTTCCCTGTCTGCTATAATCTATAGTAGCTATCCCTTCTTCCATTGTTACTACGACCTAATTATTTTATTTATTGTCATGAAGTTTGAGATCATATGTAACTTATTCAACACTGTATCCTAATCACCTAAGACAGTACTGGGAAACATAGCAAGTATTCAGTACATTTGTGAATGTCTTGACAGAGAAGGAGTCTGTGGTATATTGTTGGTTGAAAATTCTAATTTTCAGGTTAGTGCCAATAGTATGATGCTATTTTTTAAAATTGCTACATATATTTATCAATGTGTGTTTGTATTTGTGTGTGTGTGTGTATTTGAATTATATATTTCACTGAACCCAGAAGAGGGTCTGAATATTTATCATGTTTGAGATATTTCTAAAATCTTTACATGGATTCTACAATTCTTACTACAGTCTTATAAGAAATACTATTATTTCCTTTTTTTTTTTTTTTTTTTTTTTTTTTTTTTTTTTTTTTTTTTTTTTTTGAGACGGAGTCTCGCTCTGTCGCCCAGGCTGGAGTGCAGTGGCGGGATCTCGGCTCACTGCAAGCTCCGCCTCCCGGGTTCACGCCATTCTCCTGCCTCAGCCTCCCAAGTAGCTGGGACTACAGGCGCCCGCCACTACGCCCGGCTAATTTTTTTTGTATTTTTAGTAGAGACGGGGTTTCACCGTTTTAGCCGGGATGGTCTCGATCTCCTGACCTCGTGATCCGCCCGCCTCGGCCTCCCAAAGTGCTGGGATTACAGGCGTGAGCCACCGCGCCCGGCCCTATTATTTCCTTTTTAAAGAAAGGAGAACTGAGGCATACAGGTTAGTTACTTGCCTGAGGTCACACAGCTTGTAAGGGCCAGAGCTGGTGTTAGCAACATGTGGCTATTTACATTTAAATTTAAATTGATTACAGTAATATGAAATTAGAAATCCAGTTCCTTGTTCATACTAGCCACATTTCAAGTGTTCAGTAACTACATTTGGCTAGTAGCTATCTTATTTGGACAGCAGAGATAATTTAGCACATTTTCATCATTGCAGAAAGCCCTAGTATACATCTAGCTCTAGAGACTGTTCTTACCCATTGTGTAACATTGCCTTCTCTCATTCCAAGCTGTGGACTAGCTCCCCCTGCAAAATGGAAGTAAAGGTAGACACTTTCAGATTTTACTCTATACATTTCTTTTCTATGTTACTTATTTTCCTCCAATAAACAAGTGCTGTTTTTGAAATTTTAAAAAAATTAGTCTTTCCTCAAAAATAGAGTAAGAAAGAACAGTGAAAACATTGATAAAGGATAGCTGCAATTAATTTACTAATTGTAACCTAACTGATAGAAACTCAAAAAGATGTTTCAGTCTATTTGCCAGAAAATAGTAGAATTTTCTTCTTGTAGAGGTATACTGTAGAGTTACATACAGTCATACCACATAACGATGTTTTTTGGTCAGTGATGGACCATGTATACCATGGTGGTCCTATTCAGTTATAATGGAGCTGAAAAATTCCTATGGCCTTTTCATCATAGGTCATAGGTGTCCTAAAATGTCATAATTCAGTACATTATGTGTTTGTGGTGATGCTGGTATAAACAAACTTCCTGCAGTGCCAGTTGTATATAAATATAGCACATATAATTATAGACAGTACATAATACTTGATACTGATAATAAATGTTACTGGTTTATGTATTTACTGTATCATATTTTTATTATTCTGGAGTGTTCACTTTCTGTGTATAAAAAAATAGTTAACTGTAAAGTAGCCTCAGGCAGGTTCTTCAGGAGGTATTCCAGAAGAAGGCATTGTTGTCATAGGAGATGACAGCTCCATGCATGTTATTACCCTGAAGACCTTCCAGTGGGACAAGATACAGAGGTGGAAGCTAGTGATATTGATGATCTTGACACTGTGTAGGCCTAACCTAATATGTGTGTTTGTGTCATAGTTTTTAATAAAAAAGGTTAACACATAAAGAAAAAAGAAATTTTTAAATAGGAAAAAGCTTATAGAATAAGGATATGAAGAAAGAAAATATTTTTGTACAGCCATACAGTGCATCATTTTAAGCTGAGTCAAAAAGTTAAAAGTTTATAAAGTAAAAAAGTTACAGTAGATAGATTGCCTAAGTATATAGTGTTTATAAAGTCTACAGTAGTGTATTGTAATGCCCTAGGCCTTCACATTCAATTAACCGCTCATTGACTCAACCAGAGCAGCTTCCATTCCTGCAAGCTCCATTTATGTTAAGTGTCCTATGCAGCTGTCCATTTTTTAATCATTTATACAATATTTTAATGGTATCTTTTCTGTGTTGAGATATATTTAGATACACAAATACTAAACATTTTGTTACAACTACCCATAGTATTCAGGTACAGTAACATGCTATACAGCTTTGTAGCCTAGAAACAGTAGGCTATACTGTATAGCCTAGATGTGTAGTAGGCTATACCATCTAGATTTGTGGACGTACACCCTATGATGGTCACACGATGAAATTCTAGCAACATATTTCTCAGAACATATCCCCATCATTAAGAGACACATGACTGTAACGGGCAGAGATGTCTGATGATTCTTTCTGTGGCTGAGTTTTCAGGGAAGGAGAATATCATCAGAAGAGAACCCTTTGCTTATTTCTACCCACAGACTTTCCTTAGTCCCACTGC
Organism: Homo sapiens; assembly: GCF_000001405.40. Lineage (NCBI taxonomy): Eukaryota > Metazoa > Chordata > Mammalia > Primates > Hominidae > Homo > Homo sapiens. The sequence continues at coordinate 158,401,351 of NC_000003.12, forward strand.
TAGTGTAATCTGTTTTTCCAGGCTAGCATCAGAAAACTGCTCTTTAAACCATTTATTTCTTTGTTTATTTATTTATTTACTTATAGATTGCGATAGGACGGAGAAACGTCTGGGTAAAAAACAGATTGCATGAGAACGAGAAGAAATTGACCAAGAAATTGCATGTTTTGAGTATTCTCTTTTATTTCCCAAACTTAAGTGGCAGTAATTTATATAGCCACTTCAAGATCAGCATCCAGAACTCCTTTTCCTATTAGCAAATACTGGCTTTTAGTAATTCAACTAAGTGTATAGATTGCAGAAGCATTTCTGAATCACTTTAGATTTCCATTCAGGTAAAGAAACCGTGATATGTAAGATGTTTATGTTTTAAAATTGTATATAATAAATAGAGATACAGAGATTTATTGAAACCTATGTGATAAGGTCTTTGGCCAGTTCACAGAAACAAATTACCTTGAATTTCAGTTCAAATAAAATCATGGTTTAATTTTAATTTAATTTAAATTTATGAACTTAATGAAAACTTACTGAACCTTTCTGTGTGTAGATAACATGGCAGTGTGAAATATGTGGAAATGAACAGTTCACACTTCCCATTTGAAGACACTCAGTATACTAAGTGTTATAGTACAATTTTATGCAGGTGTAGAGGAAAGGGATTTAAGGTGGGGTAGGGGAAATTTAGGAAAAGTTAATGGAGAAGATGATGCAAGAGCTGGACTTTGAAAACAAAAAGGAATTCCCAAGGCAGGTTTGTTTGGGTTAGCAGAATCTACCTTGAGTAATTATAGCTAGAGTTTAATTATTTCAGTGCTTCCATCATTCATTTGACATATGCCGCCCTCAGAGTTTGACCATTCAATTTCTTCTGTAGTCAGAAAATATCTTACTAGCACTGAGAGGGTTTTTTCCCCCTTTCTACTACTTTTTATATTTGGCCTATTAAAAGCTGGACGTTTTAGGCAAATCAGACCCTCATCAGTCTACTTTTTATAAACTTCGTATGTCCATATTTATACTGGCAATGATCTGAAGAGAGGAAGTATAGGCACAGTATCATCAATATTCAAAAAGTTAAGGCAAGTATATCTTTAAAATTTTTCTTTAAATGGTTATTATTTATATAACTGTTGGAGCTGACAGATGAATGACTTTAAGAGTTGTATTATAGATCTACTAAACCTAAAAATAAACTAGTAGAATATTTTCTATGTAATTAGTCCAAAAGCTCCAAAATCAGAAAATTAATAGAGGCAGAATTATTTTATGTCCCTCATTATCTGTTGCTTAGTGTAGTCATTCACCATTTTGTATATTAATAAACATTAATATAAGCTATTTTGTAACAGTTTCTCTTTAAGTTAGAATATAAGAATTAAAGAACATTTGTCATTTGCTGACTCATACTTCTATCAAAGGTACATGCTGTCAGGACCAATTAGTTATCATTTATACTTTTCTCTGTTGTCCTCATTGGTTGGATCTAGATTTGCCTTTAAGCTGTATGTATGTTATTGATATTTTCTTTAAAGACTTCAGCTAGAGCCAGATGATAAAATGAGTTGTGCTGTCCAGCAGATACATTTACAATATTCAGCTGTTTGTAGGTGATTTTTCTAGGCTATAACAAAATAAAACCTAAAGTATCATATTCACTCTGCTGTTTTTATGGGTGCTAATACACTTTGAATAAAACCCTCAGTTACTAAGCATTTTTGAGTCCCAATAAGACAGTCCCATGACATTAGTGGTATCTTTATAACCTTTTTAACTTCTAGTTTCTCTGACAGAGCTCTACAATAACAGCAATGGGTTTGCCCTTGGCAAGCAAAAACTCATTCTGAGAGGATAATAGGTATTTACTATTTAGATAGCTGGCAATAAAATTTCTCTCAATGAGATTTTCCTGAGAAACTATAAACTGATTAAATTACTTTCTTTTAATGGACTGGAAAAGCGTGTAATAATAGTTTGTTGAAGCTTTGCATTCAGTGTCTTACTTTCTTTTTTAGAGACACTGAAGCAGTCTGGTTTTGGTGAATTATGGGGGTTGGTAGAAATTACTCTCCATAGTATAGCTTATTCTTGGTTTTTCTCCAAATAAAAAAAAATTTAGAAGTGAATTCTGTAAGGATAAAAAGGATGTGCTCATTAATATGTCCACTTCAAACTTTATTTTAATCAGAAGTAAAATTTAGCAGTTTTATGCCTCAGGAGTTCTGTTTTTAGGAAATATACCTCAACTGAGACATAAATGTGGAAAATCACTCTGCTTTTCAGATTGACACCTTTTAAAACTTATTTTAAATAAATGAAAATTAAGAAACAATTTTCTTTGTTGCTTAAAAACTAAAATGGAAGTTATTTTTACTAGCATTGATTATTAATAATGTGTTCCTATTTTATGAGTTATTTAACAAGAGACTTGTTTAGTGATCACTAAATTTGGACCTTATAAAATTCAGCATAGCAATTCGTTATATAAACTATAAGAAAGAAATTTCACACTAGTCTTGATAGAAAAGAAATACTTAAAATGTAACTCATTATTATAAAACTTGATTAAGGAGCTTCTCAAAATTCCACTTAATGTGAATTTTGTCAATAAATGTCAACCAAGATAAATAATTTATATTTCTTTAAAATGTGTAAACGTACAGAAAATATATTTGATAATTCATACTGTAAACATTTTTCTTTAAAGACAAATCCATTATAGTCCTTGGGGGTGACAGCTTGCAGAATATCTTTCAAGGCCATGAATTTTTCAGGGAAGTGCATCAAATTTAGTATTTTTATTGGTAGTCAGAATTTCATATTTGTTGCTATAATAAAATTGTGATTGAAATGGGACCTTGAGTATCTTGTCCTTATGTGAAGTACTTTGAATTTGAATATCACACTGATCCTAACTTAGAGCACATTCATTTTCTCTTAAGCCTTTGGCACTGACACATCCATTGCTGACATTGTTTTTCATTCCAGCAAATCTGTGCTGTTGGCACCAATAGGTACAAGGGACACTAGTCATGACAGTAAAGAAATGAAGAGAGAAACAATAATATTTATCTTCCCCTCTGAATGATCTAATTCAGTCACTGCTACAAACTATAAAATACTTGATATTTAGCTTTTATTGGGTCAATTGTTTTGTCGTCATGCTTTTTTCTCCCTCACTTCTCAGGGTTATAATAAATAAACATCAGTGAAATATTGTGAAATAATGGCTTGTCTAGTAAATTTACTGTAATTAGTTTTCAGCTTACCTGGGAAAAATTTAAATAGAAAATTGAGATTGAAGTAGAAACTCATTTCTTTAATATACAGTTCTACTTTAAATGTGATAATCCTGAAGTTATGTTGAAAGAAAAATTTACTGAAGTATAGCAAGGATATAAAGAATATACACTTGCATTTTAGTTCCTTATTCTTCAATAACACATGAATACGGGTTGATTACATTTTTCAATTTGTTCCATTTGTCCTCCCTCAAACTGGGTAATGAATACTTACCTTAAAAAGTTTTCTTTTTCTTTAGTGTTTTAATGGCCACTTAGCAAAAATTTGGTGCTACTGTAATGGTTTTCAAGGAGTAAAGTCATTAAAGGAAAAAAATCACTGTGATTATTGTTATACTCTGACTAAACTTCAACAGAAAGGAAAAAATGTAAATGTTTTCTGCATAAAATGTCTGAACTTAAAGCTTATTCTGGTAGAGAAAAATCAAGCTAGCAGATTTTTTGCATGAAAAATTAATTGCTGTATATACCTGTCCATCTTTTTAAGAATTATGACTCTTTAAGTCTCTATTATTATTAAATCAGAAACTGAAAGTTGCTTGTTTGTTGGGACCTCCATTTTCCAGTGTAAATTAATGCAGTTATCATGTTTTGTCATTCAACAAAATGCACACAAATGTGAATTTTAATTAAATGTTATACTGCAATGATAAACTATATCTACATACAGTTTTACATTAATCTTCATGCACCCTTCTCCCCCAACATTGGTGCCTGTGTGAATTCTGTTAATTTTATGAACTGGTAAACATTTAATACATGAAATTCTTTGTAGTATATAATGCAGTACTTCAGAACTAACAGAATGTTATTTTATAGCACTGTTCAAGGGTGCAGAATATTATTTTTGGCATGCAGTTTCTCTGTTAAACAGTTTTTACTTTGGATTTTTCTTTCTTTTAAAGAGATTTTCAATTTTAACATGAGGGAACTGGTGTCATGGGTAAGGCTTTTACATGGAAACAAAGTAGCAGATTGAAGTGGTTTCAGGGCTTTAATCCCTTGGTAAATTAGCCAGCAGGCTAGCCTTTTCATAGATGAGCTAAACAACAGGTTGATGCCATTTGGGCATTAGCAATGAGAACCACCTGAGGGAATAGGGACTGAATAGGAAGAAATGTAGAATGGGAAGAAGGCATGGCTGTTAGCATTTGCTAGATCGAGTAGCTAAAGTAATGCCCGTAAATGAATCATTGTATCTGGTATTTTAGGTTTCCCCTTGTACACTCTTAAATTTACATTATTCTTAAAATTCTCAAAATTTACTTTAAAGATAATATTACATTTTCTAATTAACATGATTCTGGAATTTTACATGAAAATTTATGTCAATAAGCTTATAAATATTTCATTTTATAAATTTGTACGGTCTCCTTTTTGAAGAGAGATTTGAGGTTTTCAACTTTGTTTGCAAATTGTTATCCCTAACCAAACAGAAGAAGACATTTTGAAATCTGCAAGTATAGAATTAATAGGATTTCAAGCATTGAAATATTATTGCCTATTTGAAAACTATGAATATTGCTATTATTGTTCATAAGCTTATTATAAAATTATTTTCTTAAAATGTTCTCACAATTTTTTAACTACTTGAGAAAAAAGAATTCATTGCCATATTGTATTATATGTATTGGGCAATGTATTTAAATAAACTATCAATAATGAGTAGTAACCAGCACAGTTAGCCACATTTAGTAGAAAAATTGGGAGTGTAACTTTATATAAATTGAAAAGAATTTATCTAATCTCTGCAAGAGCAAGTTTTAAAATTGTTCATTTTGCATGTTATTTAAAATTCTTAAGGTAATTGGTACCTTGATGTTGATAAATATTAAAATAATACATTAAGAAAATTGATACAGTACTAAAGTCATTAAAATAACCTGGTACCCTATGAAGCCCTCTCTCTAGGCTTTTAATTTTTTGTTTAGAAGGGGAGATTTTAAGGATCAATACGAAGATCTGTTGATAATATTATATTTAATTAGAGTAATCAGAAACCATGCTCAGAGCGTGACACCTGCCAGGGAGAGCTTCAAAAAGATAGTAAGCAGCATGCATTAGAATCATCTCTTTTGCTTGTCCATGAGCACTAATCTAGTGGAAGTCCCAAATGGGGCAGCTAGTCAGCTATTTTATTGACTTTGATCTGGTTTGGGGGGCAGTTTATTTTCCCATAATGCCATTGATCAATGATTTCCTTTCAGCAGTGATGTAATTAAAGGGCTTTAGTCGGCTTCTGCTGTGTTGCCTTGAAATTTATTATTCTGGAGATTTAAAGAAGATCGATAGGGTGCAGTGGCCCAGTGTTTAGACCCGAGTAGGAGGACCCTACTGAGAGTATAAGGCATGCAGAAAACAAGGCTTCAGGACACAAACAAGATGTTTACCTGGGACCTTGAGCTGACCTATTCACAACAGATCCTGTATAACCAGTAGCATTTTAGTACCTATTTTTATCACAGACTCAAAACTACTTTGTCCTCTTTGTTATTGATCCTTACAGTTTGTTTTAAAGCAATTGAAATCAAATAGTCCTGTTGTCAAAATAAGAATTAAAATTTAAACATATTTGCCAGAAACACAGGCTCCAAATGCCTTCGTCTTAAAATGGGACTAAAAAATGACTAATCTGAGGAATGTGGATGTCTTTAAAGACTCAGTAGGATCTATTAAAAACATCATGAATATGCCTTTTAAAAAATTAATCTTAGTAATCAGATTAGCTTTATTTTATAACTAATTTAAACACAAATTGCTTATTTTTATATGCATAGAAATCTACATCCAATGACAAGTATTCCTAAGTGATCAAAAGACCACATTTGGCTAATAGACTCATAGAACCTACCACTAAATAAAAATTAAGATTTGCCTCACAACTTACTTTATTTGGTAGATTAGTAAAAGAAATTCAGTGATTCTTTGTAATATGTAAACTGTGTATCCTGGGATTCTTATTAATCTGTTTTAATGAAGTAAAAATAAATTGAAAATAAAGGAGACAGATTTAAGTTCCAAACCACCATTTTCTGTGTTGCTTCATTAATAATAGTTCTTTTTAAAAAAAATAGCAAACATAAAAACACCTCATCAAGAAGTTCATTTGAAAATCCTGAGTACTTCTTTTATAGAATCTAAACTTATATTTGCATATTTTAGATTTTAAGAAATCCTAAAGTAATTCTTTTCTACTTTAACACAGCATCTTCCAGTCTTACTTACAGATCATAGAATTCTTGGGGGCCCAGTCTGAGAAATGCAAGGATTAATGAAAAGAACCCAGACAGACAAGAGACAGCTGTTCTGAATTCTAATCCTGGCTTTGCCTTTCATGGCTTATATGATTTTTACAAGTTAGATAATCTCTCTGGGTCGTAGCTTTCTTATCTGTAAAATGAGGAGATTGTGTAAGAGAGGTTGGGGTTGGTCAGGGAATGATATACAGTGTCCCAAGGAGCTTTTTCAAAATAGGCATTCCACCAGACACTTTTCCCCATACTGAGATTGGCTCTAGATACACCTTCCTCAGCTCGTTCACTGAGCCATTATTAAAACTTATTTTCTCAACCTTCTAACTGATGTATTTAGCTGTCGTTTTTAGAGAGTTTTAGTCACCAGAGACATATGGAAAATATAGCAGTTGTACTTAGAAGTCAAAGAGTAAACATAAGCATGATTTATTACTGCTAAATTTAGTCAACACTGGCATATTGAGCCTCCTGATAAAGGTAACAGGCCATCTAGCCATATAACAGAAATGGTAATGCAGACATAGTCTGATAATTTGCTATCTTGAAAAACACTAACTTATGAACTTATTACTAAAACCTCACGTTATAGCTAAGGAATAAGGAAAGGCAAATAGGCATCGCAGAAAAAAAATGAGCAAATTTAGAGATTTTGTTTACGTTTTATCTCCAGTAATCATTTAGAGTGAATTAAGATCTCTTAGCTTCTTTTAAAAACACTGATGACCTAGGAAAAAATATGTCCTATGCAGGGACATGGCTGCAGCTGGAGACCATTATCCTTAGCAAACTAACACAGGAACAGAAAACCAAATACCACATGTTTTCACTTATAAGTGGGAGCCAGGCCAGGCGTGGTGGCTCGTGCCTGTAATCCCAGCACTTTAGGAGACCAAGGTAGGGGGATCACTTGAGGCCAGGAGTTTGAGACCAGCCTGGCCAACATGGTGAGACCCCCGTCTCTACTAAAAATATAAAAATTAGCTGGACATGGTGGCTCAGGCTTGTAATCCCAGCTACTTGGGAGGCTGAGGCAGGAGAATTGCTTGAACCCAGGAGGCAGAGGTTGCAGTGAGCCGAGATCACGCTACTGCACTCCAGCCTGGGCAACAAGACAAGATTCCGTCTGAATAATAATAATAATAATAATTAATAAAATAAGTGGGAGCTAAATGATGAGAACACACAGACACGTAGAGGGGAACAACAGCACACACTGGGGCCTATTGGAAGGTGGAGGGTGAGAGGAGGGATAGGATCAGGAACAATAACTAATGGATACTAGGCTTAATAGGTGGATGGTGAAATAATCTATACAGTAAACCCCCAGGACACAAGTTTGCCTGTGTAACAAACCTACACACATACCCTGAACTTAAAAGTTTAAAAAATGCTGCATTTGAATTCACAAAATGCAAAGTGAGAGCAACTAGAGGGATATAAAGAGTCCAGCAAGTCACAAATATAGGTATACACAAAACTTGTTAGAGGAGCAGTTGAACAGAGAGGGACATAATGTTTTGTTATATTTGTTGTTTCTTGATTTTATTAAATCTATTTATTTTCTTTATTTGCTTTATTTTTCTTTATCACATTCACCACTCCCTAACATTGTATTTTATGTCTGATTAGTGGGTTAGCCTCAGGCTTTCTTACTAGAAAGTGAGCTCCCTAAAAGCAGGAATTTTGCCTATTTGTTCAATAACATGTCCCCCATCCTAGAAGACTGACTGGCACATGGTAGGTGCTCATTAAACTTACAGTCTCCTGAGAGCTATTGCCTATTATCACCAAAGAGAGTTTTGTGATATGAACTGTGCTTTAGGATGATAACTTTGTTGGGGTCAGAAGGTTAATGATGAGTTGTGCTGTGAATGAGATGATGAAAGCAAAAATTAGAAAAAACCATTAGAATAATAAAAGAGGGCATATGAAAATCTGTAAATCGGATCCTATTAATCTCCTGCACTGAACCCTTCAATGGCTTCCATCTGCCCATAGGATACAATTTCAGAATTCTTTTTTTTTTAGTAAAAGAGAATGATTTATCTGTTCAATTGTCATTTGATATAAGTGATAGCATTTAGAACACAATTCTAGGAAACATTTGTGAAAGGATATAGGAAAGTTTTACAGTCATAGTCTCATACATTCAAACAAAATCACAGTAAAATGGTTTCTTAACAGAATTGTAATGAAGTTACTATTTTTTAAAAAAAGCGGGCAATTTTCTTTGTTCATTTGTTTATTAATTCAGCTATTTGTTGTTACCTACTGGAATTCTTAATATAGCTACAAGCTTCCATGGTTTGCTCATGTCTACTTCTCCAGTCTCATCCTGGACCACTCTAACCCATTGGCTTGCTTTTTTAGTTCCTTGGTTTGTACCTGTTTTTCCATCTACCTGAAATACTTACCTCTTCCCTCTCTCCCAGATGAATTTAGGCTTATTATTAAAGTTTCAGCTTAAACTTTATATCTCAGTGAAACATTCCTGACACCTAACACTAGGTTATAACAGCTTCTCTCAAAGCATCACAAACTTCTTTCATAGTAATCAACAAACTTTTTGATTTAAAATGATTTTCATGATTGTCTGATGTTTCTCTCTCACGACTTTTATGGTAAAAAAATAAATAAGACTTTTATGGTCAGACCGTATCTGTTTTGTATACCATGTCTTCAACACCTAGCATAGTTCCTAGCATATAGAAGGTGCTCAAAAAGTATCTAGCTATCTAGCTGTCTATCTCTATCATCTATCTTTGTAAAAATCTTTCAACTCTTGTAATTTCAGCTATTCAGCATTTATAATTGCCCTTAGGATTTTTTTCTGATGCTTTGTAATATGAACTATAACTCAGAGAAAAATAGATAAATGTATAGTTCACCAAATTATTATAAAGCAGTATTATAATAGAATATATAATATTATAAAGCAATTATTGTAAATCAGTACTTGTGTTACACCATCCAGATCAACAAACACTTTGCCAGCACCTCAGAAGCCCCCATCTTCTGATAGTTCCTGTCAGAACTATCACCTTCTCTTTTATTATGTTGAGCACTTTCTTGCTTTTCTTTGTAGTTTCACTATGTATTGCTAAGTACTACAGTTAAGTTTTGCTTCTTTTGAATGGGAATCATACAGTATGCATTCTCTGGGTGTTCTGTTTCTCAGTGTTGTTCTTAAGATTCATCTATGTGCATGTAGCTGCAGCATGTTCATTTTGTGCTATATAATATTTCATTTTATGAACATATTACAAACTTTTTTTAACCGAAATTTCTGCTGTTGATGGACTTTTGAGTTGTTGTCAGTTTGATGCTAATATGAATAAGGCTGCTTTGAACATTCTTGAAAATGTCTGTGTCCTGGCACAGGTTGATCTTCTGTATACTCTATACCTAAAAGTGGAATTGCTGTGTTGTAGAGTATGTATAATTTTAAATTTACTAGGCAATGTCAAATTTTTCCAAAGTGGATATACGAATTAATTTTTTTCACCAGTAGTATGTAAGAATTCCCATTGCTCTGCCTTCTCACCAATACTTAATATTTCTAGACTTTTTTATGTTAGCCAAACTTATATCATTCTACTTTCTCTTTTTTTTTTGTTTGTTTATTTTTTAAGGCAAAGTCTCACAATGTCACTCAGGCTGGAGTGCAGTGGTGCCATCATAGTTCATTGCAGCCTTGAACTGCTAAGCTCAAGCAATCCTCCTACCTCAGCCTCCAGAGACACTGGGATTACAGGCACACACTACCACACCTGGCAGCATTTTAATTTATATTTCTCCAGTTACCAAAATGGTTTACCAGCTTTTCATGTTTATTAGGCATTTGGATTTTTTATTTTATGAAGTATCTACTTGAGTGTTTAGGCCATTTTAGTGTTTGTTTGTTTCTTTTTCCTTATTGACTTGAAGGAGCTATTGGTATATCCTGGATATGAGTCATTTAATTACAACTAATAAATATTTATGAATAACTGAACATAGCTCTTCCTAACCTACTTACCTTTTTCTCATTCACCAGAGTTTCAGGATATATATTTAAGATATAGAAAATTATCACTGTTCTTTCTGCTTTCAGTTGTAAGCCATTGATATCTTTGTTATCTGCCATTTTTATCCTAAAGATAGTTAAAGATGATACCTATAGAAAATTTCTTTCGTGTTTACAAGAAAAAATACTTAATTTCCAATTCGCCTAAAGACATTAGAAAGGGATTTGTTTTTTTCTTTTTTTATTTTTCTATCTTCAGTGCTTAAGAGTACTAGCTCATAAAACACTTTAGATGTTTGGTGAAAAGAAATGAGAGAGAAGGAGAAAACTAGAGGAAGAAGGATAAGAACCATAATATATGTGATTCGAATGTATTTGATTCTTATGTGATAATTCTTGGTATTGTTTGGTGTAACTGTGATGGACTCCACTACAATCATAAAAATAGTTTAAATGATTATTTAAGAGAAAAGTTTGATTCCTTTTCTTGGCTAAAATTTTGCCTATTCTTTAAGACTCACTTCAAGTGTCACCTTCTTTTGGGAGTCATTATCTTCCATCAGACTGTGTTAGACTTATATATTTTCTATACATATTAAGTGTTCTTTTTATATTTGTTTATGTTATGGTTTATGTTAATGTTAATGAGTGTAGAGGGGCATTCACCTCTCTCATTAACATTAAATAAGTCAGTACATGGTAAGCACCTCACTACCATAAATCATTTTCTTAAAGGGTTAAGATAAAAATTTAATAATCAGCCTGAGAGCAGTGGCTCATGCTTTTAACCCTGTCATGGAGAGGCAGAGGCAGGAGGATTGCTTGAAGCCAGGAGTTCAAGACCAGTCTGGACAACAAAGGAAAACCCCATCTCTACAAAAACTTTAAAAAGTTTCGCTCTGATTTTGGTTATTTCTTGTCTTCTGCTAGCTTTGGGGTTTGTTTGCTCTATATCATGCTCACAGATAGGAAGAATCAATATTGTGAAAATGGCCATACTGCCCAAGGTAATTTATAGATTCAATTCTATTCCCATTAAACTACCATTGACATTCTTCACAGAATTAGAAAAAACTACTTTAAAATTCATATGGAACCAAAAAAGAGTCTGCATTACCAAGACTATCCTAAGCAAAAAGAACAAAGCTGAAGGAATCATGCTGCCTGACTTCAAACTATACTACAAGGCTACAGTAGCCAAAACAGTGTGGTACTGGTACAAATACAGACACATAGACCAATGGAACAGAATAGAGATCTCAGAAATAAGATCACATCTGCAACCATCTGATCTTCAACATACCTGACAAAAACAAGCAATGGGGAAAGGACTTCTTATTTAATAAATGATCCTGGGAAAACTGGCTAGCCATGTGCAGAAAATTGAAACTGAACCCCTTCCTTACACCTTATACAAAAATTAACTCAAGATGGATTGAAGACTTAAATGTAAAACCCAAAACTATAAAAACCCTAGAAGAAAATCTAGGCAATACCATTCAGGACATAGGCATGGGCAAAGATTTTATGACAAAAATGTCAAAAGCAATTGCAACAAAAGCAAAAATTGACAAATGGGATCTAATTAAACTAAAGAGCTTCTGCACAGCAAAAGAAACTATCATCAGAGTCAGCAGACAACCTATAGAATGGGAGAAAATTTTTGCAATCTATCCATCTGACAGAGGTCTAATATCCAGAATGTACAAGAAACGTAAACAAAATTACAAGAGAAAAAAAAAGCCCATTAAAAAGTGGGCAAAGGACATGAACAGATACTTCTCAAAAGAAGACATTTATGTGGCCAAAAAACATGAAAAAAACCTCAACATCACTGGTCATTAGAGAAATGCAAATCAAAACCACAATGAGATACCATCTCATGCCAATCAAAATGGCAATTATTAAAATGTCAAGAAACAACAGGTGTTAGTGAGATTGTGGAGAAATAGGAACGCTTTCACACTGTTGGTGGGAATGTAAATTAGTTCAACCATTGTGGAAGTCAGTGTGGAGATTCCTCAAAGACCTAGATCCAGAAATAACATTTGAACCAGCAATTCCATTACTGGAATTATACTCAAAGGAATTACTGGGTATACACTGGGTATATACCCAAAAGAATATAAATTACTGGGTATATACCCAAAGGAATATAAATTATTCTCTTATAAAGATACATGCACATGTATGTTCATGGCAGCACTATTCACTGTAGCAAAGACATGGAATCAACCCAAATGCCCATCAGTGATAGACTGGATAAAGAAAATGTGGTACATATACACCATGGAATACTATGCAGTCATAAAAAGGAATGAGATCATGCCCTTTGCAGGGACATGGATGGAGCTGGAAGCCATTATCCTCAGCAGACTAACACAGGAACAGAAAACCAAACACCACATGTTCTCACTAATAAGTGAGAGCTGAACAATGAGAACACACAGACACAGAGAAGGGAACAACACACACTGGGGCCTGTCGGGGGTCAGGGAGAAGGAGAACATCAAGATAATAACTAATGCATGTGAGGCTTAATACCTAGGTGATGGGTTGATAGGTGCAGCAAACCCACTGTGGCACATGTTTACCTGTGTAACAAACCTGCACATCCAGCACGTGTATTCCAGAACTTAGAATTAAATTATTATTTTTTTAAAGCCAGGCCTGGTGGCACGCACCTGTAGTCCCAGCCATTCAGGAGGCTTAGGAGAGATGATTACGTGAGCCCAGGAGCTGGAGATTGCAATGAGCTATGATCATGCCACTGCACTCCAACCTGGGTGACAAAGTAAGACTCTGTTTCTTAGAAAAAAAAATAAGTTTGGTAATTATCCATTATTGAACTGGAAGGTTAATTATATAGAAACACTCTTACAATTAATTCTTACATTTAATTTCTTTCCAATTTTCAAGAAAAAAAATCTTTTTAATTTAGGCTTTCTCGAATTTGATTGTGTTCACAAAAAAAGTTGTAGATTTGAAGTGTTCGTCATTTTCTTGTAAGCAAATCCCTTCTCTAAGTGTTATTAACTTTGATCTTTATTAGATGAAATTAAATGAGAATTTGTTCAGGTTTAACTCTTCGAGGACTAGAAATGGATCTTCTAAAACTCCCACAATCTGTTGGATGTCCTTCATGATTTCATTGTTAGTTAAAAGTATCCTCCATAGTTCCTGTATATGTGCCAGGGCAAATGGTGAATGTTTCTCATCATTTTTGCTTGAAAATGGTGTGAGATAGGAAAGCAGGAAATATGACTTTCTCCTTTTTCTTTGATTTATACCTGTATGATCTACTTGTACCCAGAAGGATGGGGTTTGAGAAGTTGTCAAGCACTAATTTTGTTTCCTTCTGTTATATAGCTTTTTTTGTGTGTGTGAGGAAATGATCCAGCTTTAAAGATTCTACTCTGCATTTGAAAACTATTGTTTTTTATAGAATGTGAAGCATACTTTTCCAGTCATTTGTACTGTTACTGTTTGCCTTTTACAGAATGTAATAGGTTTTGTTTAGGGCTCTGGAGTCAGACTGCCTGAATTAGCTTTGGCTCCATTATTTACTACTGAGTGACTTAATTACTCAAATTCTCGGTGCTTCATTTTCCTCAGTGGTAAAAATAGGGTGTTAATATTGAACATTAAATAAGTCAATATATGGTAAGCACCTAGAATAATATAGAATAATTCAGTAAATATTGACTTTCAGTTTTTAAATAATTCTTATTAATTAATAGTGCTATGTGAGTCAATTGAAGCAGAATTTACTGTAGAACAAAAACTATTGGTTGTTATTTCAGACAGATATAATAATTTTACATTTCCTTCTGGGACAAGATGATGAGCCTGGCAAGACTAATACTTTATGTTATATTAAAATAAATTATTGTTATAATTGGTTCATGGAAGTACTCATTAATAGCAATATTTCCCTTTAAGATATGTAATTTGAACAGATTTGCATTGATTATTCCTAGGTTGTTTTTGCTTTATTTTATTAGCCCTTTATTTTGAAGTTTCATGGAATTTCAGCTGTGATAATATCTAGACTTATCTTTTTGTGTGTCATATTCTAAGTGTTCAGAATATGTGGCTACATTTTTTATTCTGAAGATCAGAGGGTATAACACATACTTGATACCTATTTTATTTGTGCTCTCAAATGTAATGCTTTCTTTATTTTGTCATTTTATATCTTGAATTACCACCCTATTGATATTTTATATAAATCGATTTCCTTCATTTACTTTTTAGAGTCTTCTATTTTTTTTTATCTTTCTCTTTTGCTATCTTTCTTTGTGCCTTTCTCAACCATTTTGGTAATTTCAATTTGTGTCAGTTTGAAACTATGTCCCCAAAATTCTTTGACACTTCTCCCACTGAGGACTGGGCCTGTGTCCCCTTCCTTTGAATCTGGCTTTGTGACTACTTGACCATTAGAATACAGTAAAATGATCTGTACCAGTTTCTAGGTCCAGGCCTTAAGAAACTGGCAGCTTCCACTTCTTGTCTCTTGGGCCACTTGCTCCTGGAATCTAGCCTCTACACTATGAGAAGCCAAACAGCCTCATGGAGAGACCACATATAAGTGTTTTAGCTGACAGCTCCACTGAATCCCCAACTGACAGCCAACAGCAACCATCAGGCACATCAATGAGCAAGGCTTCAGAGGAATCCAGTCCCTAGCCTTCAAGTAAGCCTCAGCCTTTGTGTTGCCCCAGTTGATGCTAGATGGCACAGAGGCAAGCTTCCCTGGCCAGCCCCTGTCCAAATGCAAATTTATAAGCAAACTTAATAATTGTGGTTATTTCAAGCATAAGTTTGGGTTGGTATATTCCAAAGCAAAGATAACCGATAATGTTGTACTTCTTTTTTTTCTTCATAGTAACAGTTTTAAGGAAGTAAATATTGTTAGAAGTAATTCTCAGAACTTACCTTTAAAGCCAATTAGTATTTTCTGCATAGGAATAACACTTTAGAACGTATCTGAAGATTTTTTTTAAGGTGAATAATAATGCATATTAGTAAAACAGAAGAATTTCATCACTTCTCTTTGAATTCATATATATTTCTTATAATTTTCACTGACTATAATAACTGCAGCTTAATATTATCATCATTGTTACTATTGTCTTATTTTATATAGAGCAGAAATGGTAAATATGAAGCATTGGTCCCCACTCTTTTAGGTAGGCTGCATCTATAACATATCACTAGTTGAACAGTGTACTTTTTCCTGCCGAGCAGATGTAACTTCAGAATTCTCAACACAGAACTTTATGCTGTTATTACCAGTGCAGTTGGAATAGACATCTGAGACCTCTAGTTTATCAAAACTTTTACATATAATATCAACGTAGGTATAATCCTTTTCCAACTCCTAAAGCTACCTTAATGCTATCATCAATCTGCTTTTCTGACAGCATTTTATTTATGTTAGAGAAATCTCTGCTTCACATGCAAATTGTTTTCCTTTTTTCTTCCTTTCCTCTCCTGTAGCTTTTATGTAGAAATCAGAAGTTTCCTACCTCTGTGGAAAAAATCACACTGAGATTTCTCTAAGGAGGCAATATAGTAAAGTAGGAAAAGCCATTATAATTTTCTGAAAAACGGTTTTCACTATGGAAAAAAAGATGAGACATACGAGTGATTAGGTCATTTGCAAATTTTATAGTGCATCTGAATGATTGGGTAGAGGAACTTAAATTAGCTGATTACACACTGTATGCCAGGGTGCTGTATGTTTAACACTTTAATTCATTTGATCTTCAGAACATACCTATAGGGAGAATATTAATATCAAAATTTTTATACAGATTTATTAATCAGTTCTTATTTATTAATATATATCCTATATATTATTTTATCCTATATATTATTTGAAGGATTCTATAGCAAAGTAATAAAATGGTGATATGTGACTTATTAAAAAAAATCAGAAAAAAGGAAAAATATACATTAATTAGTCAAGAAAGGAGAAAAATAAAACAAAATTCACATATCAGAAGAGCCTATCAAATTGCTTTTACTTGTTTCGGGTTTCCTGACAATCTAAGCCCAAAGTTGATTGTCAAAGAGAACTATAAGTTTTGCAGAATAGCTTTTCCTAGAAGGGAATCACATGAGACTTCATATATGTGATTTTCTTAATAAGTAAAAAGTGGTAAACACACAAGTGTTATCTTTTGTGGTTATTACTATCTTTTTATCATCATGATCATTATCATCACTATGTGATGTAGTATATAACATCCTCAAGATCATAATTGCAAGAAATGCAATCACATGTGTCACACACCTCTTAACTTTTATTGTCCATCAATAAAAGCCAAGGATATGACCATTAAAAGCAACATAGTAAAGTAAAGTCTGTTCAGAAAATATGCTCCAAAGAGATAGCACTCTCATGGGTCTGCTTGAATCTAGTTAAAACCTGTTCTATCTGGAGAAACAGGGAGAATACTTGTTTTTACAATAATACTTATTTATATGGACATTCTCCCAGCCAGGCTGTTTTAGTCATTGAGTCATTTCAGTCTTATATACTCTTAGAAGCCTGAAGTGCAGATTGATACTCTACATGATTGATTCAGGGGTGGGTTTTTAAACTTTAGAGATCACATAACAGATAATAGGTTGACATTCTTTTGTGGACGTTGAGGAGCCTAATGAGGTTCGCTCCTAGATAGCTAGCCCTTTACCTCCACAGAAAGGTAGGCCAAGAAGGGATATACCGGAATTTTTCTCAAGAATCATTGCTGCACCTGCCTCAGGACAAGAATACTTAAGTAAAACAAGTCCTAAAATTTTACAGCCTTGAGTAGAGCAGAATTTTTCACATCATTTTATACTTCATCTTACTAATTACTCGCTGTAGTGCTAGAAAATTCTTGGTAGTGTTGCTGTCAAGGTCAAGTTTGGGAAAAGTAGCTTCCCAGAGAAGTGACCGAGATTAATCTGTTCATTTGGTTAAAAAATTGAGATTAAATAAAGCATTGAGTGATACTTTTCTGTCATGAAAACTATTCAACGCTTCTGTTCACTTTTAAGTTCTGATCTCACCAACCAGTTTATTGTAATTAATTCCATTCACATGGTTTTACCTGGATGGATTCAAAATATGGTTTACTATAAGTACCTCCCGATGGAATTAGCTTTAGTCACATTGAGTGTTATTTAGTCACATGAGTGTTATTACAAGTATATTTAAATTATGTCAATTATGTTTCTGCCAAATTTTAGCAATTGTTAGAGTGTAAGTATAATCAATATAAATATAGGAATGTGTGAAATACTTCACATGTAGACTTCCACAAAGATTTCTCATGAAGTTAGTGTGAGATACCAGGGTCTTCCTGATTAGTACTTATGGCTGTGACCTCAGGCATCTTTTTTTCTCCATCAGATGGAAAAACTGATGCTCTAACTCTCAGATATGGTCATAGCATCCACAAATAGAGAGTGGCCATTTGTGGGGATAACTGAAGCAAATAATTGTCTTCATTGTCATAGGTGACAGTTTATTTGCAACCAGAAACTTGAGTTCTGTTTTTGTTCATTGAGAGAGTGCCCTGAGTTGTAATGTTGATCCAAGTTGAATAATCTAAGCAGAACACTTAACCTAATGACAATAAGGTTTGTAGAAGTCATTTTCAAACTCTAAAATCATGTGATTGATGATTTTTATTTTATTGAAGATTTGAAGCAATTACCTTGCTGTTTGGATGTGTACATGCCTCATACATAGGTAGAACAGGTAATTATGTGCCCTACTTTTGTGCCACCTTTATAGATTTGCACACATAACACTTTATTGTAGTACCTGTCCCCTCACAGGATAGACTTTTTTTATTCTAAAAACTCAGAGATATACAGCATACATGTAATAGACACTTTAAATCTAGCAAAAAAAAAAAAAAAGAGGCTAATGCAACACACTCAAAGTACAGCACTTGATATTAACACTCAGTCTTACTGTAACTTTTCCTACATTAACAGTCCTTTGAAATAGGTCAGAGTTATTCACTAACTCAAACACATACATTTGTTCATTCTCTTCCTCTGCCTCCCTCCACTCCTCCCTCTCTCCCTCACTGCTCTCTCCCCCCACTTCCTCCTTTTACCCTCCTCATAGGCAGGCTCACAAAAGCCTCATCCTACAAAAAAGTTTGAAGACTACCTGCGTTGCTTCACCTGTGTGGTATCACATTTTGGCAGGTGTGCTCACAGGGTAGCACACTTAGTCACAAATTACCTCAACAAATGTTATCTCCCATTTACCAAGCATTGTACTGGTAAGTAAAGATAGGTAAGCAAAATAAACCCGAACTCTGCCCTCCAGTTAGAGGGTTAAGTGTGGCACTCTTAATGAATAAGGAAACAAATTTGGTTGAAAGTAGTAAAGCTCATGAAAAGATTTACAGTGGCTTGCCTTGAGACACAGTAAATTAGCTAAACAGACAAGAATCTAAGTCAGAACCCTACAACAGTTTGGTAGCCTAAGGAACTATGATCTCTGATTAGCAATGTGAGAAGATTACTATTCTGAGAGAAATAGGTCTTGGTTCCTGGACCGGTTCTGCCACTAATTAGCTGTGTCACTTTGAAGAAGTCACTTAACCTGTCTGAGTTTCAGATTTTCTCATCTGTAAAAATGAGAGAAATCAACTAGATGGTCTCTAAGATCCTTTTTATATCGTGAGAGTTTATGACTCTCTAAATGCACGAAACCAATATAAATGAAATTCCTAATTTTCTTAAAAATACAAAATATACAAATTAATAGGTTTTTATATCTCTAAATTATCTATTATAAAGTACAATGGAAATGTCATTCAGAATAACAACAAAAATATAAAATAGCTAAAACAAACTTTATTGGTAATTTAAAATATTTATTGAGCACTTTCTATATGCAGACAACTCTGTTAGATGCTAGGAGACAGTCAAGGGTGCCTGCCCTCATGGAATGTACATTCTGGTGGAGAAAGTAAACAGAAGATGGTTATTTGTTCAACTAAGAATGTAATAATAATTCTGATATGTGCAGTGAAGCAAAAGGATCAAGTAATGAGAGCATATAACAGACAAGGCCAAATATTCATTCGTTTTTTTTCTTCTGTTCAACAATTTAAGTCCATTTTGCCTGGGAGTAAAGGGGTTTTCCCAAGATGTTAGACTTTCAGTGTTGAAATCAGGGAAGTCCCAGGCAAGCTGAGACAAGTTAGTCATATTAGAACCTTGGTACATTTTCAGAACAAAGAAGATCAGTATGGATTGACTCATAAGGAGTAAGATGATCGAGAATGGTCTGGATGGAGCTGTTAAGAAGATAGGCAAAGAATAGGTGATTCGTGGCCTTATAAGCCATGATAATTTTGAGGTTTTGCTTTTTATCCTAAGTCAAAAACTATTGTAGGTTGTGGCATGATTAGAAGTCATTCTTTGAGATCCACCTGCCTAAGAAGAATAGATTTGATGGTGATGGTAAATGTTATGGTAGTGGTAGTGGGAATGAGGTTATCACAAAACTAATTTTAGGAAGGCTAGTAAGATCATTGCAGTAATTAAAGTGAAAGATTCTGATGGACTAGGGTAGTGGCAGTAAAGATGGAAATAAGTGGACTGATGAAAATATTTTATATGTTAGATGTAGAATGGATAAAATTCAGGATTAATGGTTGTGAGAAGGTGAAATGATACAAACAGAAAAAATGGGCACCCAGAGAATTTGAGATAATAGAATATTCTTAATGAAACTATAAAATAAATATGTTAAAATGATTCAAGGCATAAAAGAAGAAATAGAAACCATCATGTACAAACACAATAGGATGAAAAATGCTTAGGCATGCAATTGGACCCGAATTTTAAAACTTCCTTGCCTGCCCACAGACCTTACCATCATAAACAACAAATGGCAGAGTTTATAGGTCATTTTGCAAATTTTTCTTAGAAAAATTCATAGCTAAGTAACTTTGAAAACAACTGAGCTTTTGCTGTGTGGTTCAGACATTATTAAATGTTATTCATCCCTATCCATTCCTACCCTCATAATAGAAGCTTTTTTGATGATACATATGTTTGGTTTTCATCAGAAATTGATTTTATTTGATGTATATAAACTAAGTCGGGAGAAGTTTCAGTTTTTCTTTTTTATTATTATTATTATTATTATACTTTAAGTTTTAGGGTACATGTGCACAATGTGCAGGTTAGTTACATATGTATACATGTGCCATGCTGGTGCGCTGCACCCACTAACTCATCATCTAGCATTAGGTATATCTCCCAATGCTATCCCTCCCCCCTCCCCCCACCCCACAACAGTCACCAGAGTGTGATGTTCCCCTTCCTGTGTCCATGTGTTCTCATTGTTCAATTCCCACCTATGAGTGAGAATATGCGGTGTTTGGTTTTTTGTTCTTGTGATAGTTTACTGAGAATGATGATTTCCAATTTCATCCATGTCCCTACAAAGGACGTGAACTCATCATTTTTTATGGCTGCATCGTATTCCATGGTGTATATGTGCCACATTTTCTTAATCCAGTCTATCATTGTTGGACATTTGGGTTGGTTCCAAGTCTTTGCTATTGTGAATAATGCTGCAATAAACATACGTGTGCATGTGTCTTTATAGCAGCATGATTTATCGTCCTTTGGGTATATACCCAGTAATGGGATGGCTGGGTCAAATGGTATTTCTAGTTCTAGATCCCTGAGGAATCGCCACACTGACTTCCACAATGGTTGAACTAGTTTACAGTCCCACCAACAGTGTAAAAGTGTTCCTATTTCTCCACATGCTCTCCAGCACCTGTTGTTTCCTGACTTTTTAATGATTGCCATTCTAACTGGTGTGAGATGGTATCTCATTGTGGTTTTGATTTGCGTTTCTCTGATGGCCAGTGATGGTGAGCATTTTTTCATGTGTTTTTTGGCTGCATAAATGTCTTCTTTTGAGAAGTGTCTGTTCATGTCCTTCGCCCACTTTTTGATGGGGTTGTTTGGTTTTTTCTTGTAAATTTGTTGGAGGTCATTGTAGATTCTGGATATTAGCCCTTTGTCAGATGAGTAGGTTGCAAAAATTTTCTCCCATTCTGTAAGTTGCCTGTTCACTCTGATGGTAGTTTCCTTTGCTGTGCAGAAGCTCTTTAGTTTAATGAGATCCCATTTGTCAATTTTGGCTTTTGTTGCCATTGCTTTTGGTGTTTTAGACATGAAGTCCTTGCCCATGCCTATGTCCTGAATGGTAATGCCTAGGTTTTCTTCGAGGGTTTTTATGGTTTTAGGTCTAACGTTTAAGTCTTTAATCTATCTTGAATTGATTTTTGTATAAGGTGTAAGGAAGGGATCCAGTTTCAGCTTTCTACATATGGCTAGCCAGTTTTCCCAGCACCATTTATTAAATAGGGAATCCTTTCCCCATTGCTTATTTTTCTCAGGTTTGTCAAAGATCAGATAGTTGTAGATATGCGGTGTTATTTCTGAGGGCTCTGTTCTGTTCCATTGATCTATATCTCTGTTTTGGTACCAGTACCATGCTGTTTTGGTTACTGTAGCCTTGTAGTATAGTTTGAAGTCAGGTAGTGTGGATGCCTCCAGCTTTGTTCTTTGGCTCAGGATTGACTTGGCGATGCGGGCTCTTTTTTGGTTCCAAATGAACTTTAAAGTAGTTTTTTCCAATTCTGTGAAGAAAGGCATTGGTAGCTTGATGGGGATGGCATTGAATCTGTAAATTACCTTGGGCAGTATGGCCATTTTCACGATATTGATTCTTCCTACCAATGAGCATGGAATGTTCTTTCATTTGTTGTATCCTCTTTTATTTCGTTGAGCAGTGGTTTGTAGTTCTCCTTGAAGAGGTCCTTCACATCCCTTGTAAGTTGGATTCCTAGGTATTTTATTCTCTTTGAAGCAATTGTGAATGGGAGTTCACTCATGATTTGGCTCTCTGTCTGTTATTGGTGTATAAGAATGCTTGTGATTTTTGTACATTGATTTTGTATCCTGAGACTTTGCTGAAGTTGCTTATCAGCTTAAGGATATTTTGGGCTGAGACAATGGGGTTTTCTAGATATACAATCATGTCGTCTGCAAACAGGGACAATTTGACTTCCTCTTTTCCTAATTGAATACCCTTTATTTCCTTCTCCTGCCTAATTGCCCTGGCCAGAACTTCCAACACTATGTTGAATAGGAGTAGGAGTGGTGAGAGAGGGCATCCCTGTCTTGTGCCAGTTTTCAAAGGGAATGCTTCCAGTTTTTGCCCATTCAGTATGATACTGGCTGTGGGTTTGTCATAGGTAGCTCTTATTATTTTGAGATACGTCCCATCAATACCTAATTTATTGAGAGTTTTTAGCATGAAGGGTTGTTGAATTTTGTCAAAGGCCTTTTCTGCATCTATTGAGATAAACATGTGGTTTTTGTCTTTGGTTCTGTTTATATGCTGGATTACATTTATTGATTTGCATATGTTGAACCAGCCTTGCATCCCAGGGATGAAGCCCACTTGATCATGGTGGATAAGCTTTTTGATGTGCTGCTGGATTCGGTTTGCCAGTATTTTATTGAGGATTTTTGCATCAATGTTCATCAAGGATATTGGTCTAAAATTCTCTTTTTTGGTTGTGTCTCTGCCCGGCTTTGGTATCAGGATGATGCTGGCCTCATAAAATGAGTTAGGGAGGATTCCCTCTTTTTCTATTGATTGGAATAGTTTCAGAAGGAATGGTACCAGTTCCTCCTTGTACCTCTGGTAGAATTCGGCTGTGAATCCATCTGGTCCTGGACCCTTTTTGGTGGGTAAGCTATTGATTATTGCCACAATTTCAGCTCCTGTTATTGGTCTATTCAGAGATTCAACTTCTTCCTGGCTTAGTCTTGGGAGAGTGTATGTGTCAAGGAATTTATCCATTTCTTCTAGATTTTCTAGTTTATTTGCGTAGACGTGTTTGTAGTATTCTCTGATGGTAGTTTGTATTTCTGTGGGATCGGTGGTGATATCCCCTTTATCATTTTTTATTGCGTCTATTTGATTCTTCTCTCTTTTTTTCTTTATTAGTCTTGCTAGCGGTCTATCAATTTTGTTGATCCTTTCAAAAAACCAGCTCCTGGATTCGTTAATTTTTTGAAGGGTTTTTTGTGTCTCTATTTCCTTCAGTTCTGCTCTGATTTTAGTTATTTCTTGCCTTCTGCTAGCTTTTGAATGTGTTTGCTCTTGCTTTTCTAGTTCTTTTAATTGTGATGTTAGGGTGTCAATTTTGGATTTTTCCTGCTTTGTCTTGTGGGCATTTAGTGCTATAAATTTCCCTCTACACACTGCTTTGAATGTGTCCCAGAGATTGTGGTATATTGTGTCTTTGTTCTCGTTGATTTCAAAGAACATCTTTATTTCTGCCTTCATTTCGTTATGTACCCAGTAGTCATTCAGGAGCAGGTTGTTCAGTTTCCATGTAGTTGAACAGTTTTGAGTGAGTTTCGTAATCCTGAGTTCTAGTTTGATTGCACTGTGGTCTGAGAGATAGTTTGTTATAATTTCTGTTCTTTTACATTTGCTGAGGAGAGCTTTAATTCCAAGTATGTGTTCAATTTTGGAATAGTAGATGTGGTGTGGTGCTGAAAAAAATGTATATTCTGTTGATTTGGGATGGAGAGTTCTGTAGATGTCTATTAGGTCCGCTTGGTGCAGAGCTGAGTTCAATTCCTGGGTATCCTTGTTGACTTTCTGTCTCGTTGATCTGTCTAATGTTGACAGTGGGGTGTTAAAGTCTCCCATTATTAATGTGTGGGAGTCTAAGTCTCTTTGTAGGTCACTCAGGACTTGCTTTATGAATCTGGGTGCTCCTTTATTGGGTGCATATATTTAGGATAGTTAAATAATTTAGAAGTTTAATTTTAAAAATTCATATTGAATAGCAAATTGCCAAGTTTAATCAAGACAACTTCGAATGAGAAGAAAGAGGAGCGGTGGAGATTTATCCTACCAGATAATAAGATTCTATGAAAAAACTATAGTAATTAAAATGGTGTCATCAATAGGAAGCAATAGAACATCCAAAAACAGCACCACACATGTATGAGGACTTGTTATTACATATAAGTGAGGGAAGATGGATTTTTCTAAATGATAGTGTTAAAAGAATTTATTGTTCATATGGAAATTTCAAAAGGCTTAGATATTAAAAAGTGAAATTTTCAAACTTTTAGAAGAAAATGTAGGAGAATAGATTTGTGATCTAGGGATAGGGAAGGATTTCTTAAACAAGACAAAGTATTTAAAAATACCCATTTAAAATATTATAAAATTAGACATCTTGATGAAAGGCAAAATAAACAAAGTCAAAAGATATAACACATACTGGGAGAACATAGTTTCAATGTATATAACTGACAAAATATTAATATCTGGAATATATAAAGTAGTCTTTTAAACCCTGCAAATCAGTAAGAAAAAAAAAATCTTAGAGGAAAATGGGCTAAGGATCATAGAAATTCTGGGGAGAGTAACTCTAGTGGTCAGTTTTTAAGGAGATACACAGCCTCTTTGGGAACCGCATGTATTTTAAAAAGATGCCATTTGAGATCAACCAGACTGCCAAAAATCAAAAAGTCCAACACTACCAGATGATAATAAGAATATGAAACAGAAGTATGATGAAATTTTAACAGCTATTAATTTGCGTGGTATTATAGTATTCTTTATGTTTTTAGTATGTTTGAAATATCCTTTTTAAAAAAAATTGAAAAGATCCAATGAATATAGTGAGATAGAAGTCGTGGAAAAGCAGTTTTGGTTCAGTGATCAAGTTAGAAGCCATACCGAAATGAACTGAAGAATGAATGAGTGCTGGAGAAGTGAGACAGTGTTTAGATAATGTTCTAAAAAAATTGTGTTTAAAGAAGGGAGCCAAAAAGGAATGGGGGTTAGCCTAGCCGGCTTTAAGCTTTTTTGATGAACTCTTTGAAAATCTAATTTATCAAAGGTTGAGACTAGTCAGTTGGTTCTGTTCCCCAATAAGCAGATTCATTAGACTTGTCCTTAGCCCCTAGGGAAGTTATGAATAAAAGAGATACTTTATTAGCATGGTTGGTTTGCTTTTCTTAGGATAGTGGTTCACTCCCTCTGCAATCAGACTTTTTCCTGAGACAGGCTCAGTAGGGCACGTATGACTTAGAGATACTTCTTGCCTGTGTAGAACAGGCTATTCCTACACAATGCAGCCCTTATTAAGCTGGAATCATAGAAATAATAAATGATAGCCAACCAACCAAAAAAAAAGGAAAGGAGGCTAGACTGAAGTATCACCACCTAGATGAAAGCAACTACCAAACTTTACTGAAAGATACAAATTATTTGAATTAATGAAAACATGTAGTGTGTTTTTAGATGGGAAGATTCAATATTGTGAAGATTTCTATTTTCTCCAAATGTATGCATTACTTTAACGCAGTTATTCAAAATCCCAACAGGATTATATTGCTTATTTGTAGGTGTGGCTTTATTTGTGTTTGTGTAGGGAAATACATAAAAATAATCCTAAAGTTTATGTAGAAGGATAATTATATAAGTATAGCCAAAAAACCTTAAGTATAATAATCAGATTGATTTCGCTTGACCAAATTTTTTAATGTATTTGTTAATTGGTACAGAAATCACCAGTTAGATCAGTAATATGTACTAGAGAGTTCAGAAAGAGACCAAATTATATATGGAAATTTAGTGTATATGAATTTTTTACTGGCATTTCTTAGTGTATTTCTTTTTCCTTATTCATATGTTTATATCACATAAATTTATTTTTATTCTGCTTTTTTGCATCTAGTTTTCTATCAGAATCACCTTTCCAATTTGTTACAGAATTTTAGATAACATAATTCTATTGACTACATAATATTTGTCCAGGCAGTATAACATCAACCACTTGCCTATTGTTGAGTATTTATATTATTGCTTTTTTCTATTAAAATAATGTTCAATGACTATCTTCATGCATACTTTTTTCATTTTAAATTTGTTTCTTTGATTTACATTATTTGAAACTGTTGTATCAAAGAGTAGCAACTATTTTTGGTTCTTGAGATATACTGCTATATTTCTGTCTATGAAACCACAGATAGGAAAGCATGTAACATCATCTCCCATTTGGAACATTATATTTTAAGTCTTACTTCCACCCCCACCTCCAACCAGAATGGTAATATTGTTTGTTCTCCTTCCCTCTAGGAAAGGAGTCAAGCCTCTACTCTCAGTATTGCATATAGATAAGTCTAATACACCTCCAGCCAGATTGTTTTAGCCATAGTTAGCCTACTGATTTCTTTGAAACACCACCATTATACAGATTTTAAGGGATAATGCATATCAGTTTGTTCAATACGGTAAGAAAAACTGAATAGAAAATAATTTTATCCTCATTGTTAATCTATTAAAGGGATGAGGGCACTACTCTTAGGAAACAGAATGCTGGTGAAGAGCAGAACCGTTCTGGAGCTGAACAACCTGACTCTGCATCCTGGCCCTAAGGTCACTTAATAATTTTGTGACCCTGAGCAATTGTTAAACCCCTCTGTGCCTCAGTTTTCTTAACTGTAAAATGAGTATGAAAAACCATAGAGAACCATATTAAATCATTCATTGAATCAGTTAATACATGTAAAATGTTTAGAAAGATGTCTGGCACATATAAAGGGTATATAATAAAGGCTGATTATTTTAGTGGACTGCGAATTGGCACATAACGTGTATTATAACCTAGTCTGCCTCCCTGTGTGGCAAAGGCTAGAAAGCAAAAATCTACATGTTTGATAATCTTTTGTATCTAAAATTCTGGATATGAGTTAGGTCCCACCAGTTATGTGTATTCACATGCAGTTTTTTTCCACATGGAATTTTGAAAATGGAAGTGGTGTGGTAGGCTATCTACTTGCTGCTTCAGCTGTTGCTACTAGCGAGCACAGCTATGGAGACCTGAGGTATTTCTCTAGCAGTGTGCCAAACATCTAGCCACTAGCTTTATGCAGGTCGAAAGGCAGGTGCACTAGTAGCTTCTTGATTTGCAGCTGTAGCAGGTTATTCTTGAACTTCTCAGTTCAAATGGCAGCCTCCTGATTTCTCACCGCCCTGAGAGGTAGAGGGAGCAGCGCCCTAGCAAGCTAGTTCTGCAGTGTTGATTTAGGCATCATTATTAGAGGCACAGCCCAGAGCTGGTACTTTCAGCCCTTCTAATAATTTTATTATTCATCCAATTTCTGGTGTTTAATCCACTTTTGTTTAAAAAAATGTTTGAATTAAAGAGAAAGCCTGACCAATAGGAAAATGATATACACATTAGGGCATTTACACTATGAAATATTATGCTGCTGTTAACAAATAATAAATTAACTCTCCGTCAGTTAACCTGGAGAGATTTCCATGATACGTTTTGGAGTGTGAAAAACAAAGTACATAAAATCTATGGATATGATTTCAGTTATAGTAAAAGCAATAGCAAAATTTATGTATGCGTGTGTATACATGTCTTGTATTTTATACCTCTTTTATATAGTCTATGAAAAGTAATTTGAAATATTTCTCATATAAACATTTGTGTCTCTTCAATGGATCAAAATATAATGCTGTCTTTTCATGGGGAATCAAAATTCAGCTATTTTATCTAAAAATATATAGTAACTTTTAATGTGTCTGGAATCTATATATGTGTGTGCATATATGTATATGCTTAAGTGATCTTAAAAAAAAACAACAAAAATAAATACAATAGAATAGTATCCAACCTGAAAATGAAGGAAATTGTGCCAATCTGCCAATAACATGGATGAAACTTGAGGACATTATGCCAACTGAAATGTCTGTCACAGAAAGACGAACACTGCATGATTCCACTTATATGAGATGGGTAAAATAGTCAAATTCGTAGAATCGAGGAGTGAAATGGTGGTTACCGGGTTCTGTGGGGAGTGGGAAATAGGAAATTGGTAATCAAAGGGCATATATTAATAGCTTTAGTCAAACAAGATGAATAAACTCTAGAGATCTGCTGTAAGGCATGGTACCTATAGTAAACAATAATGACTTGTAGCTTTAAAATTTTAAGAAGGTAGATCTCATGCTAAGTATTTTTAACACAATAATCATAAAAACCACACACACAAAAAAAATAAAATAAAATAAAATAAAATAAAATAACCAGGAAATTTCTGTTTCTTGCACTTGTGATAGTAGTGGTAATGGTGATGGTGGTGGCAGTAGCTGTAGTAGCAATAGCAGTGACAGTGGTAGTGGCTATTGTTATTTAAACTTTTTTGCATCATTTATCTTTCCAAAATGGAAAAACTTTCAAAGCAGCGATGGCAGTCATCTTTAACTTGTGATACAGTTTCCCCAGAGCTCAGAAGGACAGCAGAATCTTTGTCAACGAAGAGCTCCAGGCAGCCACTAGCATTCGACTGGAGCTGATCTGCCAGTTTTGCCTTATATTTGTGTTTTTCTTTAAAAGTTAGCTGCTCTCTGGCTACCTATTACATAATGTACCTAATATAAATTATTGGTTAAGGTGGGTACTAACCTCAGAAAAAGGAAAGAAAGGGGAAACTGGTGTCCAGACTAATGTGAAGTCATTGGAACCATCTAAGAGAAAGAAAATTCTGCGTATGTTTAACAAGTATTTCTTGAAATTCTACTGCTTACCTGTTGCTAGGCAATAGGGAAATACAGATATGAATAAGATACCCTCTTCATTCTCAAAGGACTCACAGTGGGAAGACAAACTACAAATAAACTCTTTTCTGTACCACACTATGAGCATATTGAGATCATGTTTCATTCACTATTATAACTGTATTACCTACCACAGTACCTGGTACAGTATATAGTATGTGCTTAACCAATATTTTTTGAATTAACAAGATGTAAAATATCACATCCAGTGTGGACTGAAGAGGAATTGTTAACCTGAAAAGGTTAGGAAAACTCTTTGTTGCTATTTTGGTGGTATCAAAAAATGGTTCTATAGTCAAGTAAGTTTGAGAGTCACCATATTTTATTTCCCTTTTAAAGAGTCACAAGACACATTAGCATATTGTAGATTCTGATGAGTTGTACAGTAAAGAAATAGCTTAATTTTGTCCAACTAAGTATTTTCCAAATATATTTGACCACAAAACCCTTTTAGCACCTCATTGTGTGGAACAGTTTGGGAAATACTGGTACAGCTATTTCCTGAAGCTAATCTTTAATAATTGTTTTACATTGCTAGAACACTGTGGTTTTGATAATAGCATTTAAAATCTTGATGTCATCAGCTTGGTATTCTGAGTAAATGTTTAAATAACTTAAAGATAAATCTCCACAAAATTAGATCTAACAAGGAACCTCTGTAATCTCCATCTTAACAGCTAACATAAATTTTCTATTCCAAATAATAAAAGGCAGCACACTCAAAGAACAAAGCATTTGAAACAACCCAGATTTTCTTTTTTTGAAAAAATTAATGGTAGATTTTAAAATGAAAATAAGTTATTTAGAAAGTTTTCTTTTCATTTATTCTGCCTATTTTTAAAATTAGACTAAGTTTCTCTATTAACTTTACCACAATACACTGCTTATAATGAAGACGTGTAGTACTAAAAAAAGTGGTGGCAATGAAAATTTCAAATAGAATATTTTTTATTTAATTGGTCCTATATTAAATCCTTTTGAGTTATTTCATTTTGTGGTATGTTGCTTAACAAGATTTCACATTAAATAAATATTTAAATATTGTGAATTTTAAATACCTCTTTGGGGAGAAATTCTGGTCATTCCTAATGTAGGTAAAATAGGATTTTCTAAATTGTTTAATACTGAGAATGTTGATTTTTAGGCATTAATTTCCCCTTATACATTTGTGTTATAACTTAAGTAAATTGTTTTGCCTCTGAAATATATCTTAGATGACCAAAAATAACATCACAAAACATGTTTGTTATATACTTAATTGTTTTGACCATAGAATTAATTTTAAAGTCAAAAGGGGCATTGCTTTTTCATCATTTCCAGTTCAGAATATTCAGCATGTCACAGATGTTCATGAATAATGTCCATTTAAAACTGTTGGCAAAGAGTGCTGGTGAGTTGGCTAGATGAATTAAATGTTGGGGGGATCTGACAGGCAGCACGCTGCTTTGTGATCATTCCAAAGTTCTAATAATCTCCCTCACCTTCTCTGCCTGCCACTAATGAAAGAGAATAGGTGATTGCACCTCCGGCTATGTTCTGCGCCTAATGACTCCTCCAAAGGCAGATTTATGAAGAAAAAATTAACTTTGAATGAGGATTGAATTGGCCCTGACAGTCTGATAGACTGTGACACAGATTCTGTGGCAAAACAGACGTAGCTCTAATTGATTATCAATATTTTAAGCAAAGTGATGAAAATAAGCATTAAGTGATGAGAAAGGCAGTCTTAATACAGTAGGCAGTAACCAGGACATAAGAGAGTCTATGGGGAGTTTTGCACTGATTGCTATTACTGAATTTTATCTGTCGATTTTTACCTTTGCTTCCTGGCAGCCATTGTCCCTCCTTGGTGTACTATTTTTTTTCCTCAAAAATCTATGACTAGAATGTTAATCTCACTGATAACACTGACAAAGCTATCTGCAGTCTCTTCCTCTGGAGAAGTTTGTTTAATATTTAACTCATTTTGAATTGAGGTTAGCTTTCGTAGTTTTGAAAGAACTGAGACTTTTTATGAAGATTTTAGATTAACAAATTTCATTCACATACTGTTTCTAAATTTAGTACTATCCATGAAATATAAACTAGCCTAAAATATTGCATATTGCATGTCACATATTTCTCATAATATCAGGCATTATATCCTTTACATAATTTGTAGCATTGACATCATTTGTAGCCTTCATCTTATGAATAAAATGAAGACATTTATCTAGAAATACTATATATATATACACACACAGAGTGAGTCTATGTATATATACTATAGTTACTTACAAAATATATTTTCAAACTAACAACAGAAATTCAACTTAGATAATTATATGTTCATGTGATGCTTCGTAAGTTAATTTAATAACACTTGAAATTGTTATATACCTTTTTCCTTATAAGTTATATTTAGTCCTCTATATTAAAACAGAGAAAAAAGATCACTTAAAAAATCAGTAGCAATTTCATTCAGTGTTAAAATTGATGAGCCAAGAACATACTATATAACATCACGTAATGCTGTGCTTGCTTACTATTAAATAGGTTTTAGATAAATTAGCTTATTTAACACAGAAACTATACGTATTTTTTCTTGTGGCAAAATACTCTGAATTATTAGTCATCAGTATTTATATTGTTTTGTGAAATTAATTTCAGCCAGAAATTGTGCAATTATTGAAAACTTGAAATTCTCCAGGTTACTTTGGAGAAAGTGAGTCATTTTTATTTTTCCAAAGGTCTCCCCAAGTAAGTTATTAGAGGCAAAAATAAGGTAATACAGAGATGCTACAGTACAATGCTTCTCAATCTTTCTCATGTCATGAAATGCAAAAGGATATATTTCGTTGGTACACCAGGTTAAACTGGTGAGGCTGCTCTTGGCCAAAGGCTACTGCTCTCAAACTCCAGCCACCTCAGACCCTGCCTGGTTGTCTGGAGGGCTGAGAGGATGATATTTTAGCACACATATTACTTAGTAGTAGCTAAATAGTTGGGAAGCTCTGAGTGTATTGCAGATAGAGAACTACATTTATAAAGCCCAGATTGAATAATAATGGTTTGAAAGTTAAATCTATCTAAAATCTGTCCAAATATCTAAAAACAATTCTAAAAATCATCCTATCTAGAAAGAGAAGAACAAATATATCTCTAGACATAATTTTTGTTAGATGGATTGCTGATCTTAATTGTATTTTCCACTTAATGTTGGTTGTAATATCTGCTAAGATTATTCAAATTTTAATCTTTGTTTTGACCCCTATTAAAGCAGAATATATATTTAAACTTTATTCTCTGAAAAATGTTAAATAAAATAAAGTTATCTCTTGGCAGAATAATATTGTCACTCATTCTTAGAGAGTCTAGAATGATTTTTTGAAACTCCAAAGACGTTAAAACTAATCAAATCCAGCTCTTAGTTGACTATTTAAGAAATAGCAGCTCAGATCACAATTAGATCACTGCTATGCTAAAACTAAAATCCAGTTTTCCCGATTCCGAGGCCATTCCCTTTCAGCTCTACTCTGTGATGTTTAAAAATCTTCATATGAGAACTTCCAAAATGTTATAAATTATAAAATTCACATATTCTTTTATAGCTGTAAGAAGTAATTTGCTAGCAATTTTCACTTATACATTAGGTGATGCTTTTAGGTAGGGTTTCAGTAAGGTAATGTCAATTTTTCTAATTCTTTATTTACAGTGTCTTCCCAAAAAAGCCTGACATTTTCTGTTTTAGTGTTCAAAATATCCAGTGAAAAAAAATGGAAAGCTATTCATCGTGCTGAAGTTTACTTTGTGCTAAAAATTATTTTATTATAAAGGAATTATATTCTAGTAAAAATAGATTAAGAAACATTCTAGTTTGGATAAGAATTCTACAAACACCGATATTGGGTACTTTGTCCTCTGTCATTCCATTTGTTAACATTCCAACAGACAGAAGAAGCAGACAGATACATTATTCTTTTTGCGCCACCTAGCGAAACTCGGGTGCTGTATATTTACCACACTATACCCAACTTGCAATGTGTGTTACACTTAGCTCCTGCTCATTACACCTGTAAGAAATTCACAAAAGAAAAAAAGAAAGCTCTAACCCCACTAACATTGACTTTTCATCATATTTTGGTAAATTTTTGAAGACTGAAATATTATTAGTAAAAATATGAATACTTATGCTCAATTCTGAAGGCATTGCCTTGAACAAAAGACATCACATGGGGGTAAAGTTTTTAATTATGCTCTTCCAGTTGTAAATACAAGATTTTACCAAATGAAAGTACATTCTGGAGTAACATTCAAAGTACTGAAAAGAGATGGGATGAAATTAGATTGAAGACTGTACAAAATATTTTAAGGATCTCAAACTCATTAAGTGTTTTTTATTTAATGAGGTTTTCTTTTATCATAAATCAAAAATATTGGTAAAATAACTTGTGCCACACTTATGCTTTGAAATGAAAATAGTAATGTTGTGTAATGCTAGACTGACTGATTTGTAGTTTGAAAGAACACTGTGTTAAAGCTTCTATTTATCTATTTTTTTAAAATTTGTGTTTCAAGTGTTTGAAGTGAAATCTCTTGCATTTTTTTTAATTAATACTACACAAGCATTCTGCTGCTTAACTTGTAGGTCTTAATTTTTAATAATATTAAATTTCAAGGTCATGCTTTCAGAATGCTGACACAAGATAAAATAATACTATTGTCAGTGTCATTGTTTTATGTTGATGTAATAAAAAGTACCTAATGTAAAAAAATAGAAAAAATAATTTATCCAGTAGGAGAAAATTGTTCCTTATGTATCTAAATTTGTTGTGTATGAGGAAATATAGGACTTGTGGTGGCTGTAACTATAGTTCTGAAGATTTTTATTTGATTTGACATATGATTACTCTGAAAATTCATAAGATTTACTGCTCTTAAATATGTGCTATAAAGATATAGATATAAATATATGTGCTATAAAGATAAAGATATATAATTTAAAGGTATATATTTACTTTCACTTTGAAAGTATATATTTCTAATTTTTAATATTGAATTATACCCTAAATGAATTTTTTAGTAAGGGAAGACTTTACGCTTAGAAAATTGTAGATAAGCATGTTTATACATGAGTGCAGATATATAAAACGTACATCTTCTAGTTAAAACATACATCTTTTAACTAGAAGATGAGGTTTTAACTTCTTTTAACTAGAAGATGTGTGTTTTATATATCCACACATATATCTTAAAAAGAGAAGTTTTGAGGAGTTATGCCAGATTTTATATCTGAATATTAATATTCATATGGCTAGAATGGAATGTACTAATTAATGTAATTTTTTGAGACACTGATAAATCTCAGAATGTCCTTTCTTGTCTTAAATGTTTCTAAAACATTTAAGTAACATGAACAGAATTAAATCTTTAATGTATTAACATTCCTCAGAGTCATCATTTTGTGAGTTAATTTTTACTTTAGTTCAATAAACATTTATCGAGGAGCTAATGAGCCATGTCTGATATGACACTATGCTAAAATCAGTAAGATATCGGACCTCAAGTAGTTGGCAGTCTAGTGGGGAAGAAAGACACTTGTTCAATTGGCTATAGTAGAAAAATACAGTTTTCTCAGACCTAAGAGGAGGAATTAATGTGGACTGAGATAATAGGGCAATGCATCATGGAGCAACAATTAGTGTTGTTGAATATTATGAGTGTAGATAAAGCAAGTATGAACTACAGAGCTAAATTTGTAGTTGTGACACAGCATCTCCAGAAACTTTAAAAATATATATATATATCTTCTCAAATTATAAAGTGAAAAAGATTCAGCAGTAGTCTGCTTAAAAGTACATGTGCCCACACGTGCATGCATGCACACATACATATATACACACCAGATTCTATACAATTTCTCGGAAATATTGGAGAAACCACTTTACATATACTTAGTACATATTTCCCTAAATGAAATTTTGTTGTAAGAAAAGGATTCATTACTAGAAATTTGTACATTGATTTTTTAAGTGTACAAATTATATCATAAATAGAACAGACACATGCATTTTAAACAATAATTACTATATTTAAAAGCTAATATCTATAAAGGTATATAGATAATATTGTATATTTTATATAAATACAATATGCTACCCTGGGCTATAATACTATTGTGAGTGGTTGGCATATATGAACTCATTCAACTTTTACAATAACCCTGTGGCTTATGATGGAAGTATTATTATCAATACAATTTCAGATGAGTTAACTAAGACACAGAGAGATTAAGATACTTGTTGCAGATCTCATAGCTAGTAATGGATAGAGCCAGGATTCAAACCGAGACAGTCTGGCTTCAGAATCCATTCTTTAAATATCTCTGCTATAATACCTCATAGTAATTCATTTTATGGCTAGATTAATAGATAATTCTATAGAAGAGGCCATATTGAAGAAACGTCTTCCAATTCTTTTTATAGATGTACACACACACAAAAAAAAAAACCTTTGGATGGGGATCTGAAGAATATACTATCCTACCAAATTCCCGGGGTAGTGTGTTATATGTAACCAGAAATCAGTATAAATAAGTAATATTTTGCTATTTGCTATTTTGATGGAATAAGTGTTTTCACCTATTATAGCTTATTTTCTCACAAGTATTTTATTTCCTTTTCTAAAATTGAAAATGGTTTAATAATGGTTAATTTAGTAAGCACACATTGGCACTGGGCTGAGTTTTGAGGAGGCAAATGTGAATAAGAAACAAATATGTTAAATAAATGGTTACAGTATAACTGGCAAACCGAATCCAGCAGCACCTCAAAAAGCTTATTGACCATGATCAAGTCAGCTTCATCCCTGGGATGCAAGGCTGGTTCAACATATGCAAATCAATAAACGGAATCCATCACATAAACAGAACCAGTGACAAAAACCACATAATTATCTCCATAGTGCAGAAAAGGCCTTCAATAAAATTCAACAGCTCTTCATGCTAAACACTCTCAGTACACTAGGTATTGATGGAACATATCTCAAAATAAAATAATAAGAGCTATTTATGACAAACTCACAGCCAATATCATACTGAACGGGCAAAAACTGGAAGCATTCCCTTTGAAAGCCAGCACAAGACAAGGATGCCCTCTCTCACCACTCCTACTCAACATAGTGTTGGAAGTGCTGGCCAGGGCAATCAGGCAAAAGAAAGAAATAAAGGGTATTCAATTAGAAAAAGAGGAAGTCAAATTGTCCCTGTTTACAGATGACATGACTGTATATTTAGAAAACTCCATCATCTCAGCCCAAAATCTCCTTCAGCTGATAAACAACTTCAGCAAAGTCTCAGGATACAAAATCAATGTGCGAAAATCACAAGCATTCCTATACACCAGTAACAGACAAACAGAGAGCCAAATCATGAGTGAACTCCCATTCACAATTGCTACAAAGAGAATAAAATACCTAGGAATCCAACTTACAAGGGATGTGAAGGACCTCTTCAAGGAGAACTACAAACCACTGCTCAAGGAAATAAGAGAGGACACAAACCAGTGGAAGAATATTTCATGCTCATGGATAGAAAGAATCAATGTCATGAAAATGGCCACACTGTCCAAGGTAATTTATAGATACAATGCCATCCCCATCAAGCTGCCAATGACTTTCTTCACAGAATTGGAAAAAACTACTTTAGAGTTCATATGGAACCAAAAAGGAAACCACATAGCCAAGACAATCCTAAGCAAAAAGAACAAAGCTGGAGGTATCATGCTACCTGACTTCAAACTATAATACAAGGCTACAGTAACCAAAACAGCGTGATACTGGTACCAAAACAGATATATAGACCAATAGAACAGAACAGAGGCCACAGAAATAACACCACACATCTACAACCATCTGATCTTTGACAAACCTGACAAAAACAAGCAATGGGGAAAGGATTCCCTATTTAATAAATGGTGCTGGGAAAACTGGCTAGCCATATGTAGAAAGCTGAAACTGGATCACTTCCTTACACCATATACAAAAATTAATTCAAGATGGATTAAAGACCTAAATGTTAGACCTAAAACCATAAAAACCCTAGAAGAAAACCTAGGCATTACCATTCAGGACATAGGCATGGGCAAGGACTTCATGTCTAAAACAGCAAAAGCAATGGCAACAAAAGCCAGAATTGACAAATGGGATCTAATTAAACTAAAGAGCTTCTGCACAGCAAAAGAAACTACTATCGGAGTGACAGGCAACCTACAGAATAGGAAAATTTTTTGCAATCTACTCATCTGACAAAGGGCTAATATCCAGAATCTACAATGAACTCCAACAAATTTATAAGAAAAAAACAACCCCATCAAAAAGTGGGCGAAGGATATGAAGAGGCACTTCTCAAAAGAAGACATTTATGCAGCCAAAAGACACATGAAAAAATGCTCATCATCACTGGCCATCAGAGAAATGCAAATCAAAACCACAATGAGATACCATCTCACACCAGTTAGAATGGCGATCATTAAAAAGTCAGGAAACAACAGGTGCTGGAGAGGATGTGGAGAAATAGGAACACTTTTACACTGTTGGTGGGAGTGTAAATTAGTTCAACCATTGTGGAAGACAGTGTGGCAATTCCTCAAGGATCTAGAACTAGAAATACCATTTGACCCAGCAATCCCATTACTAGGTATCTACCCAAAGGACTATAAATCATGCTGCTATAAAGACACATGCACACATGTGTTTATTGCGGCACTATTCACAATAGCAAAGACTTGGAACCAACCCAAATGTCCATCAATGATAGACTGGATAAAGAAAATATGGCACATATACACCATGGAATACTATGCAGCCATAAAAAAGGAGGAGTTCATGTCCTTTGTAGGGACATGGATGAAGCTGGAAACCATCATTCTCAGGAAACTATCGCAAGGACAGAAAACCAAACACCTGATGTTCTCACTTATAGGTGGGAGTTGAACAATGAGAACACATGGACACAGGACGGGGAACATCACACACTGGGGCCTGTTGTGGGGTGGGGGGCTAGGAGAGGGATAGCATTAGGAGAAATACCTGATGTAAATGTTGAGTTGATGGGTGCAGCAAACCAACATGGCACATGTATACCTATGTAACAAACCTGCACGTTGTGCACATGTACCCTAGAACTTGAAGTACAATAAAAATTTAAAAATAATAAAAAAAGGTTACAGTGTGATAGGACTACTGCCAAAGTGCATGTACGACAAGAGCAACTAGCTCTGTCTAGAGTTAAGAAGAGAGACTCAAAAATTGTAGTATTTCAAGAGTAAGTAATGCCTTCCAAACCTAGAGCACAAAAAAGGCAAGGGGAGGGAGAGCACTGGGACAAATACCTAATGCATGCGGTGCTTAAAATCTGGATGATGGGTTGATAGGTGCAGCAAACTACCATGGCACGTGTATACCTATGTAACAAACCTGCACGTTCTACTCATGTGTCCCAGAACTTAAAATAAAATTTTTTAAAAAGGCACATAATTGTGAAAGAGTGTGGTATATGTAGCAAGTTGGAAAAAGTTCTTCGTGTTTGAAGTGTAAAGGATATGAGATGAAGTGGCAGACTGGGAAAAATGAGTGAGAACCACTTGGTGAAGGATCTCGTAGGTCATGCTAAGGAAAATGAGATTTTCTGATTGTTCTTAGAGAGCCCTTTCTTGGAAAGATGATTGCTTCTAATGAACCTGCATTGCACAGATGATGCTGTTCCAAGTCAATACCTCTGAGAAAAGTAGTCTAAATTTCTTTGCTTAGTTTTCAGTCTCCAGGGGATCTTTGGACAAGATAAAGAAGTAGTTCAGGCATACCTTTCCCAAACGAACCAAAATTATTGAAAATTTAAATTATTGAAATTTACATTTTAATTAAGCTGTTATCTATAAATCTCCCAATTTCTGCTTAAAAGTACATTTGCCCACACATGCACGTGTGCACACACACACAAATCCACACCAGATTCTATAGCATGTTTCAGAAATATTAGAGAAACCAGTTGGGCGCAGTGGCTCATGCCTGTAATTCCAGCACTTTGGGAGGCTGAGGTGGGTGGATCACCTGAGGTCAGGAGTTTGAAACCAACCTGACGAACATGGTGAAACCCCATCTCTAATAAATATACAAAATTAGCTGGGTGTGGTGGCGCTGCCTGTAATCCCAGCTACTTGGGAGGCCGAGGTAGGAGAATTGCTTGAACCCAGGAGGCAGAGCTTGCAGAGACCCGAGATCACCCCATTGCATTCCAGCCTGGGCAACATGAGCAAAACTCCATCTCATAAGAAAAAAAATGAAAGAAAATAAATATTAGAGAAATCACTTTCAGGTGTTTGAAGTGAAATCTCTTGCATGGTTTTATGTTTTTATTAATCGTACATAAGCATTCAGCTGCTTAACTTATAGGTCTTAATTTTTAATAATGTTATTAAATGGCCCAAAAAGAATAATGTATCTGTCTGCTTCTCCTACAGTCTGTTGGAATGTTAACAAATGGAATGATAGGACAATTTCTATGATTCTCTAAATCTGGGTTATGAAGTGTATCTTTACTTTCTGACTTCTTGGCAGTATTCATTGAGTCATATATTAAGCATCTGTTGTTTAGCAATATATTGAGTACTAGGGTTAAACAGATGAGCTGAAGAGACAAAGTCTACTAAAACGTTTTGAAGATCTACGATCTTATCTTGGCAAAATACAAACAAAGACTTTTTTAAATATATTGGCAACAAGATATTAACAAAAGAAAGAACCAAACACCCAAGGTATTGTGCTATCAGTAGGGTTTTTTTTTTATTTTTGGAGCAAGAATATTCCTGCATCCTGGATCATGAGGCCCATAATAACATGATTAAGATTTGGGGTCACAAGATGTGTTATTTAACAGATAATCTCTCCAATTCCTAATAAACTTGTGTATTCTCTTCTGTTATTCTCAAGTAATACTTCTCAAAGTGTAGAACCTAGAACTGCAACATTAGCATCACATGGAACTTGTTAAAAATGCAAAATCTCAGAATACAGCAATACAGTAGAAGAATTATAACTTGTGTGCATCTGATAACACAACTTCAGGATACATAAAGCAAAATTGACACGATTGTGAGGATAAACTGTGAATCTTGTCACCATGGTGAGAGAAGTATTAAACTAAACAACAAACTTACAGTATGCTCTAGTGAATACAAAGGACCCTGAACTCAAGATTTAGGGAATATACAGGCATACTTCAGAGATACTGTGGGTTTGATTCCAGACCACCACAACAAAGCAAATGCCACAGTAATGCAAATCACAAATTTTTTGATTTCCCTACCAGTGCATATAAAAGTTATGTTTATACTGTACTGTAGTCTATTAAGTGTATAATAGCATTGTCTAAAAAACAATGTACATGACTTAATTAAAAAATATTTTATTACTAAAACATGCTGACAAGTCATCTGAGCCTTTAGTGAGGAGGGTCTCACCTTGATGTTTATGGCTGCCCATTGATGAGGGTGGCGGTTGCTGAAGGTTGGGATGGCTGTGGCAGTTTCTTAAAATAAGACAGTGAAGTTTGCAATGATTGACTCTTTCATAAAATATTTCTCTGTAACATGCAATGCTATTAGATAGCATTTTACCCACGGTAGAATTTCTTTCAACATTGGAGTCAATCCTCTCAAACTGTGTTGCTGCTTTATCAACTAAGTTTTTGTATAATACTCTAAATCATTTGTTGTCATTTTTAACAATGTCCCCAACATCTTTAACAGGAGTATATTCCATCTAAGGAACAATTTTTTTTGTTAATACTTAAGAAGCAATTTCTCATCCCTTCAGGTTCAGTCACATCTTCATGCTCCACTTCTAATTCTAGTTCTCTTGCTATTTTTACCACAAACTGCAGTTACATCCTCCACTGAAGTCTTGAGCCCTTCAAAATCATCCATGAGGGGTTTGAAGCTACTTCTTCCAAACCCCTGTTAATGTTGCTATTTTGACCTCCTCCCAGGAATCACAAATGTTCTTAATGGCATTTAGAATGGCAAAATCCTTTCCAGAAGGTTTTCATTTACTTTGGAAGTCCATCAGAGGACTTTCAAGTCTTATTGTTTAAGAAATACATTTTATAGGGCTATAGCTGCCATAGCCCTAGAAAATGTATTTCTTAAACAGTAAGACTTGGAAGTCAATTTTTCTGTGATCTGTGGGCTGCAAAATGAATGTTCTGTTAGCAGGCGTGAAAACAGCATTAATCCTCTTGTATGTCTCCATCAAAGCTCTTGGGTGACCAGGTATACTGTCAATAAGCAATAATATTTTAAAAGAAATCTTTTTTTTCTGAGCAACAGATCTCAACAGTGGGCTTCAAATAATCATAAACCATGCTATAAACAGCTGTGCTGTTATCCAAGCTTTGTTGTTCCATTTATAGAGCACAGGCAGAGTAGATTTAGCATCATTCTTAAGGACCCTTAGATTGTTAGAATGAGAAATGAGCCCTGGCTTCAAGCTTAAAGTCACCAGCTGCGTTAGCCCCTGACACGAGAGTCAGCTTGTCCTTTGAAGCTTTGACACCAGGCATTGACTTCCTCTCTCTACCTATGACAATCCTAGATGGCATCTTCTTTCCTAGAAAGCGGTTTTGTCTGCATTGAAAATCTGTCATTTAGCGTAGCCGCCTTCATCAATGATCTTAGCTAGATCTTCTGGATCACTTGCAGCAGCCTTTCCATCAGCATTGCTGCTTCACCTTGCACTTTTATGTTATGAAGATTACTTCTTTCCTTAAACCTCACAAGCCAACTTCTGATAGCTTTAGACTTTTCTTCAGCAGCTTCCTCACCTCTGTCAGCCTTCACAGAATTTAAGAAAGTTAGGAC
Organism: Homo sapiens; assembly: GCF_000001405.40. Lineage (NCBI taxonomy): Eukaryota > Metazoa > Chordata > Mammalia > Primates > Hominidae > Homo > Homo sapiens. Next base: position 158,443,533 of record NC_000003.12, read on the forward strand.
TTTGCTCTGGATTAGGCTTTTGGCTAAGCTTAATGGTATGGCTGGTTTAATTTTCTACCTAGACCACTCAAACTTTGTCCCTATCAGCAATAAGGATGTTTCACTTTCTTACCATTTATGTGTTCACTTGAGTAGCACTTTTAATTTCTATCAAGAACTTTTCCTTTGCATTCACAATGTGTTGCACTATTTGGCACAAGAGGCCTATCTTTTCCCTCATCTCAGCTTTTGACATGCGTTCTCACTAAGCTTAGTCATTTCTGGCTTTTCATATGAAGTGAGAGATGTGTGGCTCTTCCTTTCACTTGAACACTCAAAGGCTATTGTAGGGTTGCTGATGGGCCTTATTTCAGTATTGTTGTGTCTCAGGGAACAGAGAGGTACAGGGAGAGGGCAAGAGACAGAGGAACAGCCAGTTGGTGGCACAGTCAGAAAACACACATACACTTATCAATTAAGTTAATTGCCCTATATGGGCCTGGTTTGTGGCATCCCAAAACACAGCAGTAGCATCAAAAATCACTGATCACAGGTGACAGATATCAACAGATGTAATAATAGCTAAAAAGCTTAAAGTATTGTCAGAATTACCAAAATGTGTCTTCACAGAATTGGAAAAAACTACTTTAAACTTCATATGGAGCCAAAAATGAGCCCACATTGCCAAGACAATCCTAAGCCAAAAGAACAAAGCTGGAGGCATCACACTACCTGACTTCAAACTATACTACAACGCTACAGTAACCAAAACAGCAAGGTACTGGCACCAAAACAGAGATATAGACCAATGGAACAGAACAGAACCCTCAGAAATAATACCACACATCTACAACCATCTGATCTTTGGCAAACCTGACAAAAACAAGCAATGGGGAAAGGATTCCCTATTTAATAAATGGTGCTGGGAAAACTGGCTAGCCATATATAGAAGGCTGAAACTGGATCGCTTCCTTACACCATATACAAAAAGTAAGTCAAGATGGATTAAAGACTTAAATATTAGACCTAAAACCATAAAAACCCTAGAAGAAAACCTAGGCAATACCATTCAGGACGTAGGCATGGGCAAGGACTTCATGTCTAAAACAGCAAAAGCAATGGCAACAAAAGCCAAAATTGACAAATGGGATCTAATTAAACTAAAGAGCTTCTACACAGCAAAAGAAACTACCATCAGAGTGAACAGGCAACCTGCAGAGTAGGAAAATTTTTTGCAATCTACTCATCTGACAAAGGGCTAATATCCAGAATCTACAAAGAACTCAAACAAATTTACAAGAAAAAAACAACCCCATCAACAAATGGGCGAAGGATATGAACAGACACTTCTCAAAAGAAGACATTTATGCAGCCAAAAGACACATGAAAAAATGCTCATCATCACTGGCCATCAGAAAAATGCAAATCAAAACCACAATGAGATACCATCTCACACCAGTTAGAATGGCAATCATTAAAAAGTCAGGAAACAACAGGTGCTGGAGAGGATGTGGAGAAATAGGAACACTTTTACACTGTTGGTGGGACTGTAAACTAGTTCAACCATTGTGAAAGACAGTGTGGCGATTCCTCAAGGATCTAGAACTAGAAATACCATTTGACCCAGCCATCCCATTACTGGGTGTATACCCAAAGGAATATAAATCATGCTACTATAAAGACATATGCACGGGTATGTTTATTGCGGCACTATTCACAATAGCAAAGACTTGGAACAAACCCAGATGTCCATCAGTGATAGACTGGATTAAGACAATGTGGCACATACACCCCATGAAATACTATGCAGCCATAAAAAAGGGTGAGTTCATGTCCTTTGTAGGGACATGGATGAAGCTGGAAACCATCATTCTCAGCAAACTATCGCAAGGACAAAAAACCAAACACCACATGTTCTCACTCATAGGTGGGAATTGAACAATGAGAACACTTGTTCACAGGAAGGGGAACCTCACACACCGGGGCATGTCGTGGGGTGGGGGTAGCGGGGAGGGACAGCATTAGGAGATACACCTAACATAAATGACGAGTTAATGGGTGCGGCACACCAACATGGCACATGTATATATATGTAACAAACCTGCATGTTGTGCACATGTACCCTCGAACTTATAACAACAACAACAACAACGAAAAAAACGAAGTATGCCTACACAGTTTTTCCAAGTACCAATTAAACATTTCCAAAATGGACCATTTTTTAATAAAGCAAATCTAAACAGGCCAATGATTATTAATAGACTATATTCTTTGATCCTTATGAAATTAAATCAGAACATCAATGTAAACAATATAAATAAAGTTTAAAGCATTCTTCTGAGTAACTCATGGGTTCACCAAAAAAATCACATTGGGATAAATATATTTAAAATTCTGTGTTTCTAAATAAACAGTTTGAGATTTTTTTAAAAAACAAAATCTTGACCATATTCAGCCGTCAGTCTGTTTTGCAAACTTTCCATTTGATGCTGACACATGCTGAAGTTTGAGATCTACCGCCCTAAAGTACCATAATTAATGCCTACTTGAAAATATCTATTAATAGCAACAAAATAGATGATAAAATATTGATAATGATTAATACTAAGCCAGGAAAATTACAAGTAGTATCTGTTTTTAAATGCAGAGTTGATAAATACCATATTCAGTTTTAGAGGGCAGATTTTCACTCTCATAGCCTAATAAAATAACTAAGATCTTCATTTTATTATTTAATTTGATTCTGCTTTTATTTTCTGATGTTGTTGCAAGGTTTTTTTTGTTTAAACTCTGCCATATAGAATTGAAATGAGAGAAATTTCAAGAGTACTATACTGTGTTACTTTTTTTGGATATATGATTTTTTTCTGTTTGATATATTTTTATTGCCTATAAAATATGTGGATTTAAAGGTCTTGTTATCATCAAAACCATTTCAAGTATGCTGAAAACCTATATATTTTTATATATAGTGTTTTATTAATGAAATACATTGACTTACTAGTAAAAATTTGCCTGTAATAGAAAGAAATGCATTTGAAATTTCTTATATATTGTGTTTCTTATTTATTTTTAATCCAGGAAAATTTTATAATAATTATTTTCATGATCTTCAACTTGTTTGTATTCAGTTGTTTGTATGTGGGACTGAATTTAGTTACTTGAGTGCCGACATAGATTTTGATTATGATTTTTAAATACCAGTTTTTCTTATCTCTTCTACCTTAAGCTGCCATTACTATTGCTTAATTCATCCTTCATGTGAAAGAACAGAACGTGCCTCTTCATTAACAGGCTAGTAAAGGTCATATGTTGGTTCCCTTTACAGTTTACCCTGGAGAGTAAATGCAACAGTTTCATTATGTGCCTAGTTTTTACAGATCTAGGGGAAAACAAAACTCAAAGATTGCTCCAAAACCAGGTCACACATGCAGGGTGCTACAATGTGTCATCCAACGAAACTTGCATTATTAATTTTGAATTATATTTGCTGTATTCTTTAACTAGTAGGGGTATCCCAACTAGTAGGGCCATGATACAACTCTTCAGTCTGAATGTGGTATATTAAAAGTGCATTTAAAACATGCTTTTAACAGGATTAAATCGAGGCATGGCATAAAGCTCCTTTGGGGAAAATTTGTGGATTCAGCAGTGGAAGTCTGCATTTTATCAGAAGTGTTAGCCTTTTTAGTATAGAGGGTGTATATATTATAACACTGATAGCAAGCCATTGGTCTTAGACTTAAATGATGAGTCTCTCAAATCAGGCAACCAAAATTATGATGTACTTAAATATTGAGCATTTCATATTCCTGAAAGAAAAGTCAACTTCAGAATATTAATTTATTAATAACATAATTATTTGCTTTCATCCTTATTTTACAATGGGATTTTATTCCTAATCTTTCTGACTTCATAATTAAACTTTAACAAAAATAAATTAACTATAATTAGAAACACTAGTAGAATTAGATTTGTTTTATATGTTATTTCCACACAGTTTTTAAAAAGCCATGATAGTAATGAAAAGAAGAGCAGACAGAACTGTTATAACTCTTGACTCACTCACTTCTTTGGTATGTAATCTTAAGCAAATTATTAAGCCTCTCTGAAACTTTTTGATGATTATATGAAAGTATCTTAAAGTACTTAGCACAGTGTCTGACACATAGATGTAGGCCAGCATAAGTTGTTTCCTTTCATGAATTGAAGCTAAGAAAACACATGATATAAATAAAAATATGTAATTCTGTTTTTAAGAAAAGAAACACCCTTTTTAATGCAATAATAATGTAAAAATTAGGAAAAGAAATGACTTTTTCGATATCAGAAACTATCACATCCCATCCTTGATTTCTGAGGTATATAATTAATTATTTCTGGATTTTCGTTCTTATTTTTAAAAAGATTGCTTACCAATAGTTACTCTTTAAAAAATATATATACATTGATAGAATGTTTGGAGTTACTGAAGAAAATAAGCATTATAAATCATTTAGTGGAGTCTAAGATATGATTTTTTTTCACAAGGAATAATTCTGTAGCTCCAAACCCCAGAGTTTTTCTAAAATGCTGAAACATCTGTCTTGGAATGGGAGTTATCATAGTGGCCAAACCGACTTCAAATTGACATCAAGTTGATGTATATGCTGTAAGTCGAAGGAACACAGAATGATGAAATTATTTTTATTTTCCATATCAGCATTCTGTAAAAAAGAAAAAACAATCCAGTAGTGCCTTTCTTTGAGAGAATAAATATCACAGCACTATCCTGTGTTGTTATTGGATGTTTTCAATTTTTTTTACTTTTATTCTTGTATTGTAGTACATGGCATCTTAATTACTGTAGCCAAGCAGTTTATTCAGGTTATAAAAAAATGTTGGGTAAGCATCAGACAGCAGCAGGACTGGAGAAGATACATATAAGCATGTACAAAGATACATATAAGCAAAAGGCTTATACAAAAGGCTGTAAGACCTTACGCATTTAAAAAAACTATCAGCTATTCACTTTTTATCTCAAATTTTAATTGAATTTGTTGATTTCTTCCTTGTCATTAGAATGCTTATGGTTCTAGCAGAAAAGTTGGGAAGAAAAATGCCTATTCAGGTGAAGAACATTAGGATATACTGCATACAGCTGAATTAGACCAGCACATCTGTTGGACATACTTAGTGTGTCACTCAGCAGTGAAATAGATTATCAAAGCTTTTCTAATAAGTGACATAGAAAATTCCCCAACAATAAAAAGAAAGAGCACATGAAGTAAATCTTTGCTAGTTTGGGTAATGTTTAAAGCCTATGTGGGCCATAAGATTTAAGAAAATCTAGAAGACGTGACACAGAATAAAATAGTAAAGGAAAAAGCTTTTACTTTTGGAACTGTTATAAAGTTTACAAAAGGGGATTTGATGTAAAAGCAAATGAAACTCATTCAATATGCTCCAACTATTTATATTCTCACATTAGTGCTTTAAAAAGTAGAAGATAATATAAAGATACCATATCATTTTGTAGTTTAGATTTGTCATGCTCATTCAGCCCACATTTTTCATTTTTCAATATCATCATTTATTACTAGTATTATTTCTAACAATTTGCAGAAATAAACATAATCGATCTTTTGAGTAATATATAACTTAAAGCACGAGATGCAACAAATCATTTCTAGACTTGAGAAAAATTATTCTTATAGTTTCAGTGTCTCTAAACATCCAAAGGAGAACTTAAAAAAAAATTTAATAATGAAATATCTTTATCCCTCTTAGAATCTGAGTTAGGGAAGAAATGAAAATACGGTTGCTGAAACCATTGTACTAGATTAGCATTTCCTGAAATGTATTCTTTGTTTATTTATGTTACAGGAGAAGAATAGTTTTTTGGAAAATAAAGTTGGGAAACATAGACTAAGTTAAATAATTCTCTTTACTGCAGAATGTCTGAGAGCTTTAAATTTGCAGATAAGCATAGTGGCTCTCCATGAGGGAGGATTCTGTATTGTGTTGCCCAATCTTATTCCACTGTGGAACCTTGTTTAAATGGAGAATCGTGAGAAATTTGTGTTCTGTGCAATATGCTGTGAGTAATACTGGGCCAGAGGATCTTTATATATATATATTTTTATTATTATACTTTAAGTTCTAGGGTACATGTGCACAACGTGCAAGTTTGTTACATATGTATACATGTTTCCTTCTAACTACAGACATTTACATTTTTCTGAGACTTGACTGCACTGAATATGATTTGTGCCGTAATTTCTTTCTTGAGTTCTAGTCATTTTGAATTGGTAAATTCTCCCTGGCAGTAGATGGCACCCTCTGGGGACATATAGCTGTCCTCGGTTAAGTGTCCCTTGGATTATATGGAAACATACCTCCTGGTTTCCTACTACTGCTTATTCTAAGGCCCTTCTAAACTGGTTCATTGCAACTATAATTGACGTGTCCTCCTGGCTAAGTTTTCCTACAAAAGGTGCTTAAGTATCATCCCCTCCTAGATGTCTTCCCTGACCATATTCCTTTCCTTAATTGCTTTCAGAATACCTGTATACAGGGGTTTGTTTTTCCATTTCCCCTTGTAGTTCATGCCTTCTTCATCTTTCCATCCTCAGCATTTAGCTCAGTGATTAGGAACAATGATAAGGAGCACAGTATTCTGCTGAGGAATTTTCTAGGTTATCTGTTTTATGCTTTGTAAATCTGTTTTGAGTGGACAAATGAAGAAACTAACAAAAAATAACTTACTTGTAAGGTTATCCGATGAAAGTTTTTATTTTTGGAGCATTTGCTGATAATAAACCATGGCTTTCTTTTTTGCTTTTTTTTTTTTTTTGCTTTTACACAGCCAGTCTTTGCACTGGCTGTGTAATAATTGCAATTTCATATTTGTAAAATAATTTTTCAGTTGTAGTTACTATGGACGCATATGGTGTTTGAGGCAGATACAGAATAATCATTTCCAATATTGGACATGACTAAACATTTTTACCTGTACATTTGTATTGCTGGCATTTAATGGTATAAATTGGTGAGGAATAAGAACTTAACGGATTTCACTTCTGTGCTGTGCATGTAAAGAATGAGGCAGAGGTACCTGAGGAGAGCTGATATTATGACCATAGTTTTATAGTCTTTATATATGCAGAAGTAGCAGCTATGTCCATATGTAAATTTTTAATGAATTTGATAATTATTACTAATGAGTTTTTAGGTTATCTGTTGTTCTGAGGTCTAGATAAAACTCAGTAAAAACTATATGAGAAAACCTTAAACACCGTGGCCTATTATGCTTTTTTAACATTATATATTTTATGTTAATTATATTTTTTCTCCAAAAATCATTCTTTACAGTTTCTTTTTATTTACAGTAGCTTACTATTGTGTTCTAAATGTTGTTGTTTTCTATTGTTATTTGAAAGTTCACATCCAGAAAGTCTTGGGTATACTCTTTTTAAATATATAAGAACTAATTAGGCTTTTGCAATTGTGATGTTCTTAGTAATTATATTTCCTTGAGTTCAAAATTTTTCTGCTTTTCTCAGTCAAGTTGTAAATTTATAATTATTTACTGTGAGGTATGTATGCCACTCCTTAGTCCAGAATAATATTATTTGTCACATGTTTCTATATATTTCTTCTTATATAACTAAGTTCATCTCCTTTTTCCTTTTAGTTGCTGATAACTAAAAGTTGTTTTCTCCATACTAACAGCATGACACTTTTTTCCTGCTGAGACATTAAAAATAACAAAAAGTACTGATGTTTGCTACCAGATGGCCTGATAGATTTGGAAAATTGATTCAGCATTTACTGCTTTGTACTTGGGAGGAGCTGATATTATAACTATTATTATATAGTCTTTAAATATACACAAACAGCAGCTATGTTAATATGTAAAATTTTTAATGAATTTGACATAGTTATAACTAGTGAGTTTGGGGGGTATCTGCAGACACTTATTATTGCTCTTTTCTTTCCGGTGTGACCTAGAAAGAGACCCTGGCACTTCAGTCACCTGGTTTTTGCTCTCTATGTTAAATTACAACTGCCTTAGTACTTAACATGAAACTTCAAAGGAAATGAAATCCTAAATGTAAATATCCCCTTTCTATCTTTGTTTATTATCTCAAAACACATAGCATACAAACTCATAATGCCTTTATTCAGACACTTTCTTAACTGGAGGAACTGTTCACTCCAGTGGTGCTTTTTAGAGACATGGGAATTATTGAAGCATGGTAATATAACATATGGGAATTAGAATTACATTAAATAGAACCACTAATCACTATACCACTTTAGGTGAGCTACTGTATTTTAGAAAATGAGGAAGAAACTTTAGAAAATGAGGAAGAAACATTATTGAATGTTTCCCCAGTCCCAAAGGCTCATGGGATTTAATAGTGTTTTCAAGAGAAACTCACTAGATACATTTTCTAATGCCATCTTAAATATATGAGACAAATAGGCATATCTTGATGATTGTTACAAAGCAAGAGACTTTTTGGATTTTCTGTGATTTTGAATAAAGTATATTCAGATAAAAGTTTCCCCATAAATAGTGACATGTGCATGGAAGCAATAAATTATTCCCTTATTTTGATTACTGTTTGCTTCCAGGTGAATAAATATGTAAGAAACAAGATAAAAAGAGCATTAAATTAATATTAAACTGTGATTCACAGGCTCTGTGTATTGGTCATTCTGACCATTGACAAATTATTTAATTTTCGTGGGCCTTTCATTTGTTCACTAATACTATACACATAGTAATGACTTATGTAGATAAAATATTCATACTTAGAAATTATTGGAAAATAGTACTTGTCAGCTTATACTGTATCTTTTTTACTCACACTGATTTTTAAAACATGACAATATTTAAACTGAATGAACATGAGAAAGAATAAGATGTCAGAAAATGTTCTTACATGTATTTTGATGACTAATCCAATAAAGTTTACACATATGTGAAATGATAGGATGAGCAGTGCTGGATATATTACTGGTGTTGTGATTACAAATCTTGCCAGTTTGCAATCATTGCTTAAAATATTTTGACACAGCAGTGTTTGTGAAATGCCATAGTGTCTTGGTCATTGTCTTAGTGTTAATGTGGAAAGTACTAAGAATTATAACAAATTGAAATAAGCAAAAATACATTTTGCTAGATGTTTTTATTTACAGTTAATTAGAACATTTCTTGCTTGGCCCCCAGATTTATATTAGAGCATCACGAAACTTCTTCAAAACTTGAGAGTATAATTTTCTTAACTTTGTAGATGGAATATTGGAGTTCATGTGTATTTTTAAATACAGGTAATAAAGTGGAAAAAGTGTGACCACTGCAGTTGGGTAGAAGCCCTGCTGTGCCACATTCTAGTTAGGCAAGTAAACTAGTAGTTCTCCATGCATGCTTTCTGCCCTCTTTCTATGCATTTATATACATACACTTACGTACTTTGGTTTTTTTAGTAAATGAGATATGCTACATATGGTTATTTAACTTGCTTTTTTATTTAATATTTGTCTTGAAAATCTTTCCATATTAATATATATCAGGCCATCTTATTCTTTTTAGTGGCTTTTGTATTTCATAATATTGCACTGTGTTTAGCCTCTTCCATATTTAGGTTGTTTGCTTTTTTGTCATTACAAATAGTGCTGTGCCTTGTGTATATATTTTCAAACTCCTGTGCACACATTTTCAAACTCTTGTGCACACATTTTCAAACTCTTGTGCACACATTTTCAAACTCTTGTGCACACATATCTATAGAATAGGCTCCTACAAGTGGGATTGCTTGATGCAGGGTATATGTATTTTCAATTTTGTCAGATAGGCCAAAAGTCTGTGTAGCCCGGAACCTTTTTTTTTTTTTTTCGAGTCGGAGTATTGCTCTGTCACCCAGGCTGGAGTGCAGTTTTGGGATTCTAGCTCACTGCAGCCTCAAACTCCTGGGCTCAAGCAATTCTCCTGCTTCAGCCTCCCAAGTAGCTGTGACTTCAGGCACATGCCACCAAGCCTGGCTAATTTTAAAATATTTTTCATAGAAACAGGGTCTCACCATGTTGTCCAGGCTGGTCTCAAACTCCTGGCCTCAATTGATCCTCCCAAAGTGCTGAAATACAGGTGTGAGCCACCACACCTCACCAGCGTTTTGAATAAAAGCTTATCTTTTTAACCTTTTCGGGTTCTCTTCTTCTTCTTAATTCCCCGCAGAAAATTACTGATTTCCTCTAGATTTTCTAATGTATGGCCCTGTGGCTTTTAAATGTTTATGTTTGTGTGTATGTGTATTTACTTTTTAAAATTTCTTCTGCATCTCTAATTGTGTCACTTTACTAATTTCTTATGAATTTTATTACAGTCTTTTTTTCCTTGATTAGACTTTCTAAAGGCTTGTCTATTTTTGAGCAATTTGATGAGTTTGATTAAATATAAACTATTCTTTTCTTTCTTTGTGAGTAACCTATTTTTTTCTCCAGGTGTTCTTGAATGCTTTTTGGTATTTCTTGGTATTTCACAGTTTCACCACAATTTGCTTATGTGTATCTACTTTGCATTTTCTCAGGTTCTCTTTGCAACCTGAGAAACTGTGCCTTTCTAAAGTTCTGAGGAAATCTATTTATATTATGTCTTTGATTATATCTTCCCTCCATTCTTTCTTTTAATTAAGAACTTCTCTTTGATAGATGTTAGAACATATAGATCTTTCTTCTGTCCTAACTCTATGACCTTGAAAATTTTTTTTAACTTCTCTGTTTTTCAGTTTCCTCATCTGTAAAATGGGGGTAATAATTGTAACTATGTCATAGAATCATTTTGAGAATTCAGTGAAATATATACACATGTACAAACACTAAGGTACATAGTAAACATTCAATAAATGTTAACTTCAATAATGATAATATTGTCACTTAACTTTTTTTGTAAGCCTCTTTACATTCAGGGAAAATTCGTTGGTAAGATCTTCTAACACATTCATTTAGTCTTCAACTGTATTCATTCTGTTCATTTCATGTATGGAGTTCTCTTTTGATGGTCAAAATTTAGTTACCAAGATGCAATCAGTATCTTCCCACATCGCATTAAGGATGTTATTTACAGTGATAGTGATTCCAAAAACTTCTGTTTACCTTATTAACCAATTCCTCTACTTAATTGTTTTATGGTGTTATTGTTGTTTGTGTTGTTCTTGTTTGTTGTATCTCTTTCGTAAGATTGGTTTACCTCAACTGCCTGGTAATTCTAGGTTGGTTGTTCATCTTTATATTTGACAATCCCTGTAATCCTGTCATTTCAATTCATTGTGCCCTGTCTCCATTGATTGTGTCAGTAGCAAAATGTGTTGTTGGTACTGACATACTGGTAGGTTGTCATGACTTTTAGGGGTCAGTAATTACCTGCCCTTGCCTCACTGGCTCCAGCACCTCTTATACTCACCACATTTACCTGTTGTCAAACACTGCCTGCACCCCTACTTATCACATACAAGGGAGGTACCATTGTTTTGCTGCTTTAATAATAATTCAGTTTGATATTTGCCCCAAGGCTATCTCCTGTGCTTGGTATCCATTGACTCTAAAATTAGAACATTCCTAGAACTTTTTCCATGTTTGTATAGTCATCTGAACGTGATTGGGCTTTGATTTCCTCTAATCATTTTTCTATGCTTTTGTTCTCATCTGCTTTCTGTTTAAGAATTTCTCAACATTTGCAGTATATTCATGGTGATGCAGTATCAAAGACTGGGCTACATATAGAAAACAACTTTGGGATGAGGGTTGTTAAAGCCCTGTAAAGAGATTTTTCCCTGAAAATATTAATACAGCCTTTTCTGAAACGGCATGAGTCGGACACCCTGTCAGTATTTTCCAATTCTTGATTTGATGATTCACAGCCATAGGGTATATAAAATACTTCCCCAAATCATTTAAAATCTAACTTTAGCAAACAGCTACAATAATTGAAAAAGCCAATCCCCTATGGAATTTTAAAAATAAAATTGGTAAAGATGTGAATAAATTCTGGTGATATACTACCAGTGACACATCCTGAATCATGCCCTGATTAGCCCCTTGTCACCTCTGCAGCTGTTCTTCTGATCTCCATCATCCAAGTGAAACAGCCATGGAGGGATTCTTTTCTGAAAGGAGACTTCACTTTGGAAGGGGCAACATGGCCTGGTGCGGTGGCTTACGCCTGTAATCCCAGCACTTTGGGAGGCCGAGACAAGCGGATCACCTGAGGTCAGGAGTTCACGACCAGCCTGGCCAACATGGGGAAACCCCATCTCTACTGAAAATACAAAAATTAGCTGGGCATGGTGGTGCATGCCTGTAATCCCAGCTACTCGAGAGGCTGAGGCAGGAGAATCGCTTGAACCCAGGAAGCAGAGGTTGCAGTGAGCCAAGATCTTGACATTGCACTCCAGCCTGGGGGACAGAGCAAGACTCCATCTCAAAAAAAAAAAAAAAAAAAAAAAAAAAAAAAAAAAGGAGCAACACAATTTTTGTATTAATTTTCTAAATCCTTTTCGTTCATTCGTTTAGGAAACATTCCTTGAACACCTGCTGTATTAGGCAAAGTGGACATAACAAACAACCCCAAAACTTCATTGCCTTAAAATAATATACATGTGTTTTTTGCTCATGTCACAGTATAATGCAAGTCATGAGGAACGCACTTCTTGCAGAATTTAGAGACCAGATTCCTTTAACCTTGTGGTTTGCCCTTTTTGAGTCCTTGATTGAACCAGTAGATGGGGAAAGAGGGTGAGGATTACGTGAGGGTTTTTTTTTTTTTTTAATAGGCCAGCTGTGGAAACAGTATACACATCACTTAGGCTCACATTCCATTAGCCCAAACTCAGGTAAACAGCCACACTTAAGTGCCTGGGAGACTAGAAAATGTAGTCTGGCTAAAGATACATGAAGTAAACACTGACAATTTCTGTCACAACTACTATGCGCCCAGCTCTCAAGGAGACAAGTATATGTTCTTCAGTGAAGAGAATAAAGTGCTGTACATCCCATAAAGAGGGTATTAAAGTACCTATGGAAAAAAGAAGCAACAGTTTTATCCACTTGGGGACAAAGGTTGTTGATTGGGGAAGGCTTCACAGAAGAGAGTGATATTTGAAGTAAAACTTTCTGGTAGGATTTTTTCAGCAAGAAAGTGAGAATGGGCACCCCAGCAGTAACAAAGGTATAGCAATTCAAACAAAAGGTACTGTGGCCCAGCAAGGCTAGATTATATAGATCCTTGGAGTGAGAAAGGAGAAGTAGTAAGTGATGACATTGAAAGGTTACATTGAGATCAGGCTGTGAAGCACTTTTTTAAAATTTTTTTAAATTCATACATAATAGTTGTATGAAGGGTTTTAAATGGTATGTGAAGGATTTTAGGGGTGTGCGTGTGTGTGTACATGTGTGTATGCAGCAAGGCACCCTCAAGTATTTTTAGCAGACAGTGACATCATATTTGGATTTTAGAAAGGTACATTTATTTATTTAACAATTATTGAACATATCTGTGTCCTAAATACTGTGCTTACTGCTAAGGATACACAACACTAAACATGTTCCTCATTCTGGTGGTAATATGGAGGGTTCATTGGAAGTACTCGTATTAGAAGTACAGAGATCAAATAGGAGCTCCTTTCTTGTTCAAAGTAAAAAGAAATGAGGTCCCGAATGTGAGTATTGGCAATGAAATGGAAAGGAATGAATGGATTCTAGATATAATTTGTGGAGTTGGATCCAAAAGAACTGCTGGTTCCGGTACAATCAGCTGGTACTGCATAAGGATAAGAGTTGAAGGAAAATGTTGCAGAGGTTTTCAATCTGAGAGATTAGTTGGCTGGTGAAAATAGGACATACTAAGGGAAGAGCATCAGGTTTGAGAGATAGATTGTGAGTTCAACTGTGGATGTGATTTTGAAATATCTGTTTGGCAGTGTCCAGGAAGTAATTGGAAAAAAACAGTTCTGGTGATCAGGAGAGGGACCATAGATAGGTATGGCTATGATAGACATATGTGTTACAATTTAGACCTATATACAGCCCAAGAATAGAACGCCAAGAAGGCACAGGTGAGCAAAAGAAACAGCAGCCCAAAAAGGCTGACAAATAATTATCAGAATTAGGAGAGCATTTCCAGAAAGATGTGGTTGGTTCACTGTTTTTTTGTTTTTCGTTTTTTGTGTTTTGTGTTTTTTTTTGTTTTTTTTTTTTGTTTGTTTTTTAATATATATATGGGATAAAACTGAGTAACCTAAATTTGGCTCTTACAGACTTTGGGAGGACCACTGAAAATGCTATGGGGGCAAAAGCTGGTGGGAACAAGAAAAGGCAGTAGCTTGGTTAAAAGAAGAGTAAATGTTTTACAGGATTTGTGAGACTTTAATATATTTATAGTCTGAGGGTAGGGAAGAGAGTTTGAACCTTAAGCAAACAGAATCCTGAAGGGTATGAAAAGGAATATGTTCTAAAGTGCAAATGGGTGGGTTTACTTTCCAAAACAAGCCAAAGAAGGATTGATGAACGTAAAAGTTTGGAGTCACATGGCAGTGAGTCTGAGAAAATATAAGGGAGTGTGGGGAGTTGGTATGGGGTTATTGCCATTTGTAGTAAAGACAGCATAGTAAGTTGTAGGAAATGAAAATGGACACTAACTATGGATGCTGACTAAGGAGGAGCAATATAAAAACATCCATGTTAATTTCTAAAATATTGGTTTTTGGTAGAGTCAATAAATAGCATGTATACACTGTTTCATAGGGAGCCTCTGCAGCAAAAATAGAAAAAAATGGTCAAATGTGTTATAGGTTGTTACAAAATTAATTACAGTTTTTGCTATTTTAATGGCAAAAACCATTAAAATAGCAAAAACTGCAATTACTAAAAATGGCAAAAACCGCAATTACTTTTGCACTAACTTAATAGCAACAGCTTAGCAAAACAACAGAGGAAGTAGGATGTCTATAAGCATGGAATAGAAATGACTTTCTTGGCGTCCAGGGTGGGTAGTGAAGGAAGCGAAGCCTAGAGGGGACAGTTAGCCGGGGAGAGTGGAAGAACCAAGGGACTGGAACTTGTGTACAAGATTAGTAAAAGATGTAATTACTTTGGTAAATGAAGTGCTTAATAGTAGATCTGGTATCCGAACAGGATCATGAATCATTAGAGCAGGTCTGACCACTTGTTCGTTATGCTCTTTGGTGTCAAATTTCATGGCACATCTAGTAAGATTCAGTATCCCTGTTTGTAAAATGGGATTGCCACCTTTTTGAGAATACAAAAATTTGCAGAATAAATTAAATCACATATGAATGCCATGAGTTCTTCCTTTATTCACACTTAAATCATAATATTATAAAGCAGTCAGAAAGACAAAAAGAACATTTTTTCCAGATTTCCTTAATAGTCAATGAGGAGTTTATCCTAAGGACTCAATTTAAGTAATTGTTCCCTTCAAGTGAACTCAGATTCTTTATGGAGGACATACTGATTGTTGGTAAAATTTTCAAGTGTGTGCTTTTAAGATTAATTATTATCTATACTATTTCAACATAATTCAAAAGATTTTCTATTTATGCACATGTACACACAGACATATATTTGGAGCTCTTGATTGACAGTTTGAAGCTCAATTACATAAAATATTTAACCACAGCACCAGAGCCATTTGCAGTTTAAAAAAAACATATAAAATAATATTCCTATGAATTGTCCATGTATAGCAACAAATCAGTAAGAAAGGATAAACTAGCATAGTGAAATAGATAAATCAGATTTAGGCAGGCTAGTTTATTGAATTTAAATTGTGCCCAGTTGGCCCAAGAGCTATATATAAGCAATCCATCTTACGTTGTTAATGGAGGTTCTTGAAATCCACCTGATGTTTGCATTATTAAATTTCAGTCTAATGAGCCCTGCTAATACATATTGAAGATGGTTGTAAGGAGTAGAATGTGAATCTGAGCGGGATAATTTGAAAGAAACATAAGCTGAGCATTTTACATGACTCAAGGGGTATATCTACAATTACACATATAACCAAAATTGAATTTAAATGGAATTTCTATTATCCTTGTCCTTCTACCAGGGAGAATAAAGTGTAAATGAAGTAAAAGTCTTTAGAGTTACTGGTGGTTTGTTTTTATTATCTAATTTAATAGATTCTTGCAATGATATGGAGTGGCATAAAAGTTTTAATATTTCATGACTTTAAATGCAGTCTAAGTATATATAAAAGCTTGTAAATGGAAACAGATGTCTGTGTAATTGGATATAGTACTTCATAACACCATTATATAAGTTTTATACTTTAAGAAAGTGTCAATATTAATGGTAAAGAAAAATCAAACTTTGAAGAAAAATAGTTTTGTGTGTGACATATATTTTATATAAATTTCCCCTTTAAGCCAGTCATTATACTTCTAAAGGATGTGTTGATTTTGCATAGGAAAAATATATGCAGCAAAAAATTGAAGAGTAAGAAGGTTTATTTTTTAAATCACAGTTTACATTGCTATTATTATTATAATAAAGGCTCATCCAAAGTTTAATGCTGGCACAGTTTGATTCTTTTTCTTTTGACAAGGCAATACTTTTTTAACTTAATATTTCATCAACTATAATGCTATTAGAGACTTATTTTCACTTAGTTCACTCATCAGGCAGTGAGACGGCAATAAAGGAGAATCGCTCCTTTGAGACATTAATGCTTTGGAATAAATGATGTGCTAGAACAGAAATTTAATTAATTTACAGAGTATATTGATAGTCCCTTGTTACTGTGCTGTATATTTTTAATCTTCCTCAACATCTGTAGTAAAGTGTTTGAAAACCCCTGCAGTTGAGCAACTAGTAGATAATTAAGTAATAAGGGAAGAGGTTTCTAGAGGGAAAGAGATTCTTTTAACCAAATGCTGTCATAACATGAATAAAGAACCACTACTATGATGTGCAATGAACAAAAAAGTATGCTACCTAATTTGATACTGTTCCATAGGTATTGCAAGCTTCTTACATTTAAAGTGCGAACTGTACCTTAAGAACTTTCCTCCAAAATTTAAAACAAATGCATTACACTGATACATCAGATGACTTTTAATGACAAACAACTTTTCCCAATTCATATGTCATCATTTAAATGTGTCTTGCTTAAATTCATTTTCCCTTTAGTACAGAGATTGTCTTGAATGAAGCTTCAAAAATTATAAATAAATATTCTGAATATTTATTCTGAATAAAGAATATAAAATATGTATTTCAGATGTTCAACTGCCTTGTTTCTTTCTTGTGATTACTTCGTGGAAAATAAGTAATGAATTTCTAGTCCCTTTAACCAATATTTTCACTTTGAATATAGGCATAAAATAAGTACAAAAATTGTATTGTTTTTGTTTCAGCAAAAGCTGATGAAGCATTGAAAGCCAAAGAAAGAAATGAGGAAGAAGCAAAGAGAAGAAAGGAGGAAGGTAAAGGCATGTGTTCATTTTTCTCTGAGAAATCACTATTTGGCTGTATTTCCTGAATAGACCGTAGAATATAATCTAATGCCTTAAGGGTTACTTCATGCTGTTTCATGAACCAAAACTATGACACAATAGCACACTATATTCATTGTCTTGGACACTAATGTTTGCTCTCATAAGATTAGTTTATAAGCATGCTATTATATATTCTGGGAAATTGGGAGGAGATAAGATTATATAGTAGTGCTGATGTTGGTTTGTTCCTTCTGACTTTTATAGTTAAAAAATTATCAAAATCAGTCACAGAAATAGATTGAACCTTATCCATAGATTTTGAAATATTTCAGTAGTGATGAAGAAAAGTCCTCTTGCCAATAAAACTTTTTTAAAGTTGAGAGAACATTGAAATTCAAAATGTCATAAATAGTCATATGAAATCCATGTCTTCATTTTTAAAGATATTCTTTTTAAAAAACAACATTTAGGCCATTCCCCCAAAATATTATCTAAACAAATCTAACACATTTTTATCTCCTCTAACAAATTTTTATTTTCCCCTTAATTTGCTATCTGTGATTTATGTGAGTGAAAATTTTGCCTTTTTTTCTTCACGGGGGATTATATACATATACTGTTCTAAATTACAGTGCTTAAAGCAAGATTCAGGCAAATCTTTCTCAGTGAGTTAAGTTGATGATCTGCTTAGAATGGCAATCATGTCACTTTATTGGCTAATTTCACAGGGTAGCTATTTCCTCTTGTGAGCTTTTGAGAAGTTGAAGTCTGATAATATGTGCCAGAATTTGGACTTTTGAGTGCTGTAGTCAAAATCTGAAAGTTGAAATTTTTGCCTTAGTAGGTACCTGTGTTTTATTGTAACAACCAGAAGATAATCTGAACTTCCCAGCAACTACATGGAAGCTGAGATTCAGTAAAACCCAAAGTATAATGGTTTAGAATGCTTAAAACCCATCAGAGCCATCCTCAAAACCAAGCGAAAAAAAAAAAAAAAACTGTAGATTTAAGTGGCAGATCCCTACAAATAAGTAGATTCAAACTAAATGTGGATGAATTTGTACACATATAGTATAGTGTTCTTACCTTACTTGACCCCCAAATATCCTGGCTTTATGCTCTTTTCCGGGATCAACTAATTTTATGGTATACTGAGAAAAAAATGAATTTCAGTAGCAAGATTCCTCAGTAGAATTACCTTCTTTTGGATCTCTTGGCATTGTTAATGAAAGCAAGCTATCTGATTTCAGTTATCCTTATAATGTGCCCATAGTACAAACAGACATAAGACTAAATGCAAATGTGTCTAAGCAAATTATAATTTTTAAGTACTGCTATGTTGTGTGGCATTCTGATCAATGTAACTAATTAATAACATAATGGCCCTTATAAAACTCTGTGGTACCGTAAATCACGTGTATAGTACTTATGACCAAGCAATACAGTGAAAATATGTTGTAGTGGTTATTAGCCTAATCCTATTAATTCAGATCTTAATTGGAATCTTAATCAGTTGAAAATGAATGGCAGTGAGAGTAATCACAGATATTGAAATTTCAAGGTGATTTGTTTTTATGAAAAAAATAATATGAATGCTTATCTTAGCAAAAGAAACTTTTTTAATACTTCAGAACTCCTCATTTACATGTTGACAGTTGATATTTCTACAGCTCTCTTGTTTTCATTAAATTAGCTCTAAGCATCTTTTAAGACATTTGCTTAAGAATTTCTTAAGTAACTATAGATACTTGAACATTATAATTCTTTGTAATTTTTAATTTAGACTTTTCACTAAATCACACTGACCTTATACGTAGTCTGCAATATACAGTACCTTTTTTCTTTCAGTTCCTGAGAATTGTTGAAAAAGCATATTCCTCCAATCATAGCTGTTTTAATTAGCATCTTTAAAAATCTAGCATTCTAACTAGAGTATAAACTACAGGATTACAGAGGACTTAATATCCACAATGCCTAACACATAGTAGAAACTCAGTTTCTTGAATTGTTGCATGATGAATGAATAAATCAATGACCAATTTCCCTTTATTCTTTTAAATTCATGCTAAGTAGCTTATTTTGAGCTTGCAACGGGATTCCAAATAATCTCATTGAAAGTATAACCCAACTTTGTTAAGGGCTTTTCTAAGACAGGCCGTAACTATTAAGCTATTGCTGTAATAATTTAGAGCATGCAAAATTAAACCAAAGAATGTCAAAATACTGTCAAAATTTGCTAAACTATTTGCTAGATTCTTTGTTGTTGTTTGCTTCCAAATTTTTTTTCTCTTGAGTTGTCTAGATACTTGAATGCTATCAAATTAACAGTTCCCTGAGAGTGATTAATGTATAAGCTACATTTATTTTATTTCATATAATTAGTCTAACTGCAAATTGAAACCTTAGATCAGTATGCATGTGTGTATATAGTTCTGTATCTGAAAGAATAAAAATCCTTTATTTTCAGTCTGTAAGCCACTAGTAATTCACTCTGTCACATCATTTATACAATTCATCTCTTAATTTCTCATCATGCTGATGTGCAATACAGAGTTGAAAGCATTGCGAAAATGTAGATAAATGTTGTCTACCCAGCTCCCTTTATCCACTCTCTGTTATCTCAGAAAAGCTATTGTATTAGCATAGCAAGATCTGTGCCATGCAAATTCATTCTATTATGCAGTCTTCCTTTGAGTGTTCTTAAATCAATAACATAATTATGTTTGCAAGTATTGCATCCAAAATAAAAGTCAGGCTGCACACCAAAACTGGTCCAGGATGACTACTTTGCCTTCCAGCCTTTAACCAATGGGGGCCCATTTAGAGTGCACTTCATGTCCTTATATAGTTCAGTTGATTTTTCCACTTAGTGAATATCGCTAGTACATTGGTGATAGGCGCTCACTCTTGAGCCACTAATTCTTTCCACTTTAGTTGTTATAGGAATGTTATATCTTTCAGTAAAGGTCAACTAAATATTTAAAGTTTAAGTTTACAGTGTCCCTTTTTTTCTAATTCTAGATTATAATTTAGGAAAACTGAATAGTATTAAATCTTTCAGTTCTGGTTTCTTTCTTATTCTTTGACTTAATAAATAATTGACTTACTCTTTTTCTCTGTATGTGTTTGAAAATGTTCTAACTATACTTTTAAAGTATATAATTAAAAAGCATTTAACTTCTATTTCTCTCTATTATTGAATGCATTAGCATAACTGCTTAGATTTTCTGTGTATTTTTATATTTAATTTGGTATGCATTTAAGGGTGCTAATTATGTTTTAAATCCATTGTAAGCATAGTAGTCTTTCTTTGCATTTGACTTCTCTCTAATATGAATTTCCTATTTGTGGTATAAGTATAGTAGCTTTTGAATTCTTTTTCCCCTTGTGTTTATTCAAAACAGCTCTACCCATCTGTTAGTTTTTTTACTTCAAATATTTTTTGTTTCCAAAAGTGTTAGGCAGCCCTTTCTAAATTATTCATGGGAATGGTGGACAGTGAAAATATGAACATAATAAAAGGCAGTTTAAGTAAAGACAGAGCAGTCCTCAAGTCTCATTTGTTTAAGTTTAAATTCATCAAATCTTGCCAGAGCTGATTGACAAGAAGTAAAATATATTAGCCTTAATTTTATTTTTCTTTTTTCTTTCTTAATAATCATTCAGTGAAGGTGAGGTAAAGAGTACTAGTAACTGAAAGGCAAGGTGGTTGCCAGACAATGTTCTAAGTATTCTACTTATTAACTGTCTTAATCATCATGAACTCTATACGGTTTGTGCTATTATCCCTGTACAACAGGGAGGATAGGAAACAAAGGCACAGTGCTTAATAGCTTGCTCTGTAGCTGATAAGTGGTGAAGCCAGGATACAAACCCGGGCAGTCAGACTCCAGTACACATTTCCCTCTTTAAATAGCCTGCATAAATCACAACCCTTAGAATCAGTGCTCAAAAATAATATAATTCTCTCTCTTATCCTTTGCCTTCCTCTCTGGAGCCTGCCCTCCAGCTCCTAGGAAGTTGCTTACTGTAAAGTTTTCCTGTCCTAACTTAGATCTAGATCCATACTAGGTTGCCTCACTTGAGTTTCTGGGACACCGAATAGGTGAGGTACTCCATTTAGAGGCACATTTTGTCAGGGTGTCTATGTCCTTTTTGCATAATCTCTATCTGCTTTTCCCCTACGGACTGCCTGGTCAATGTAAGATACTCATAGTGTGTCCTCCACACCTAGCCTTCAGAATCTGGACCAGAGCCAAACCTAAGCATCTAGTTTCTCAGGTTCCTTTCTCTGAGGTTTTGCCTGGCCCCGTGCTTTGTAGTTTCTAGCATAAAACACACTTAGCACCAAGTCTGAGCACACCCAGAGAGAGAACTGTTATAATCCCTTCTTTCCCTCCACTGTGGTTCATCACCTAAGACCCATAGACCCTAAGACCCTTTGTTCCTTCTGGATACCCTTTATAAGAAAGTAGGAGTGAAGTTGAAAGGAGAAGTTAGCAGGTACAAGGGCATCATTTAGGAATCACTATTTATTCAGTTTGCATGTAGATCCAAGTAGGTTAGGCAGAAGTAACGTGATTGTCCTTTCTAGCCCTCGTCCTGAATTGGCTACTCATTGTAATATGCAATATTATTTCTTTCTTACATTTACACATTTGAAAATCCCCCCTTCTTTATCTTACTTTATTAGGTGGTTCCATTGTAAGATTTAAAATGTCCCTTTAAGAAATTTGTGTTTCCTGTGTATCAGATTTAATAGTTCTATTAATATATCTGTCATAATTTTAAAATATTTCTATAGTTTTTTAACATATTAGCTCTAATGTTAGAGTACTGTTTTCTTTAAAAAGAAAATCTGCTTAGCCTGAATACATTGCTTCATTGCATATTTTTCCTCAAGTTCTTATTTAGTAAAGAAAAAAGAAAATTCACTCAAGAGAACTCAGTCATTTATCCTAGCCATCTGTCTTATTTCCCTCAGCAGTGATTTGTCCTTTGTAATACTCTTGATTATATGTCTGCAAGAACTTGATTGATAAATATTTTTAACCTTTCCCTTAGATTCAGTTTTTTCTATTCCATATTACATAGCATCAACCTGTTTCTCAGTTTCAGCGATTCCAGTAAATGTGTGTTAATTCATTTTTAACTTTTTAACCAAGCAAGGAATCCTTCCTTATTTTCGTAATAGCTAAGTCATACTATTTTTGCTTCATACACATTCAGCTATACTCTTTATGGAATTGGAAGCCAATTTAGATCGCATTTTACTTATTTTCAGTAAGATGTTTATGTACATGAAATGCAGATATACTGATATCTATTTAATCATCATTAGGCCTCCAGTGACTGGCTATCGTGTGTTTCCTTACTGATTTAAATATATTCTGTTTACTACAAACACAAATTTCAAGACCAACTCAAAGCTACAGGCTTTCTATTCAGTCAGATACTTGCAATATAAATTAAACATTAGGAAGCTGACATACATATTGAATGCCCACAGGTGTACAATCCTGAGAGTAACTTAGAGAAGCTAGTACAATCTAAGGAATCAATTGTGCTCTACTTGAAATAGCCCTAGCTAGCTTCCTTTGGCTGAAGTAACAGAATGAGGTTCAGAATCTCAGCTCTGCCATTTCCTAGCTCTGTGACCGAATAAATCACTTAACCTCTCTGCGACTCTAAAGTGGGGAACATGATAAAAGCTGCCTGGAATCATTATAATATGAAATGGCGATAGTATTTTAAAAGCACTTCAGGCCGGGCATGATGGCTCACATCTGTAATCCCAGCACTTTGGAAGGCCAAGGAAGGAGGGTTGCTTGAGCCCGGGAGTTCGAGACTAGCCTGGGCAATATAGTGAGACCCTGTCTCAAAAAGAAAAAAGATTAGTCAGGCATGGTAGTGGCCATCTGTAATCCCACCTACTCAGGAGGCTGAGGCAGGAGGATCACTTGAGCCCAGAAGTTCGAGGTTCCATTGAGCTGGATTAAGTCTCTTAAGAAAAGTCTCTCAAGTCCAGAGCTGCTCTCTAGTCTCTTAAGAAAAAAATACTTCATAACTAAATATAAACTATTGTTGTTACTCAGAATTGCAACACAAAAGAGTATGACGATTATTCTTTTATCTTTCATCCCTTTAGTGACTTTTATCAACTCAAAAAATATTTCCTGAATATTCACTACATCCAGGATACTGCTCTAAGCTGTATGAAAAATCAGTCAAAGAGAAAATCAAAGCCCATATACTCAAAGAGCTTACATTCTAGAGGATAAGGGGGAGACAGAAAATAAAATGAAAACAAATCATAAAATACACTAAATTCAAATAAGGGTTATTGTTTTCACATCCTGTGTGACCTTAGGTAGTCCCTTTGAACCAAGTTTCCCCATCTGTTAATAAGTATGATAATAATCTATCTACTATCTAAATATGTAGTTACATAGTGCGTATGAAACCATTTTATAGACTTTATAAAATATTAGTTACTGCTTTTGTTTGTCTGGTTTTTAGCACAATTTGGCATACTCACCATAGTATGCACCTTTAGGGATGCCGAAATGAAAGATATGGTTCTCTGTTGCTCTCAAAGAACTTACAGTCAATTTAGGAAAACATGGCAAATGAACCTGAAATGGTAGCAGAGTACATGATATAGTAATGTATAGTTATGGGCTAAATTGTTTAAGGTTACTAAATGAGACAGAGATTTACATTAAAGCAAGATGTATATTTTTTCTGTTTTCACTAGATTGACGTTATTGAAACTTCAGAAACTGTATTTTGTGTGTTTCTATCCAAGATGAGTATAAAATTTATTTTACTTGGCTAAGTTTTCTGTGTTCTTGTAGTAACAATTAAATACCAGCACAGAAGCAACTCCATTTGATCATATTATTACTATTACCTGTGAGGAAAAATTATTTTTTTGAGACGGAGTCTCGCTCTGTCGCCCAGGCTGGAGTGCAGTAGCACAATCTTGGCTCACTGCAAGCTCTGCCTCCTGGGTTCATGCCATTCTCCTGCCTCAGCCTCCCGAGTCGCTGGTACTACAGGTGCCTGCCACCATGCCCGGCTAATTTTTTGTATTTTTAGTACAGATGGGGTTTCACCTTGTTAGCCAGGTTGGTCTCGATCTCCTGACCTCATGATCCGCCTGCCTCGGCCTCCCAAAGTGCTGGGATTACAGGCGTGAGCCACCGCGCCCGGCCAGAAAAATTATTTTCTACAAATACATTTCATGATCTTTTTCAAGCTAGCTCTAAATAACTCAAGTATTAAAGCCTATACCACTTACCATAGGAGACACTTTTATTGAAAAATTTCTGTCATTAAACACAAGTTTTTATTTTCTCAATTTTAGCAGCATTATCTTGATTCTGTTATCCTGAGATGAAAACACTCCTTGGTGACTACACTCCTGCTTTCTCTCAAAATCGTTCGATTCAGATGTTATTTTTAAAGAAGTTTGGCACAGTGATTAAGAGTAATTATCTGCAGCCAAATTTCCCAGATTCAGTGCCATTTACTAGCTTTATATCCTTAACTCATGCCTCTGTTGCCTCCTCTATAAAATGAGGCTAATGAAAATATTTGCTCACTGGAGTGAATGTAAAGCACTTAGAATAATGCCTGACAGGTATTAGGTAATATTATTATATAAGTGTTTGTTCTAGTATACTTCAACTCTCTATAAAATTGTACCTGTTTTTACCTTCACAGCATCTTAATTTTAGTATAAAAGTATGAGATTCTCTTTCTTTCTTAGCATAAAAAAATGAATTGCCTACTGAAAAAATTTAACACCTTTACAAAATTAATTAAAAAGTTAATAAAATTAAATCACAAGGCTAAACAGTGGATAAAATTTTCACTAAGATTTATTCTGATAAGTTTGTATCCAAATAACAAGGAAAATATATAGACGAAGAATATAGTCGCAATCATTATTTGGTATATTACAACTTTCTTTTTTATTTTAAAAGTTTCTGTGACTCACTTCTTGTGTGTCCATTTCATTATATGAAGGAGAGAATATATCACACAAAAAACTTTGATTTTGTCCATCTGTTTACTCTGACAGGTATCACCCAACAGGTCTAGCTTCTTCTTAAGGCCAGTTCTTGATAATGATAGTAACATATCATCTATATGAGGGAAAATACTTGTCTCTTTACTAAGCCAGGAAGACCTACATCTAGTTGATCTAAAAACTACATTATGTTTTATAGTTAACTAGTTTAAAAGATGGCCAAGAATTATAATTTTATAATAGTTATTTAATTCAATCATCCTAAAGTCTACTACATCTTCTAATTTTAGAAATGCTACTAAAAGAGTGCCTTTAAAGGAAACTGTGCTGCAAAAATGATTCCCATGATGCATATATGATTCCTGTCTGTGGAATCAGAAGCTGAAGATGGATTAGTTAATACCATGCAAAGTCTTATACTATACTTCACCATAGTCTTTGCAAAATGAAACAGTATAGCAGAGATCAAATAGAATGGTTATAGCTAAAGCCTGTATAATATGTTTGAATGATCTACACTTATTGAGAAGAAAACTGATGTTGAGTTAAATAAGCTGGCAACACTGTCTACCTGTCAAGTTATCTTACATTTAATTTTTAGCAGAAATAGGAGATATATCTATTTACTAAAGATAAAAAACATACCAGTGTTCACATCAAGAGAACAAGTTGGTAAGTGCCTGAATCAGGCTCTGTTGATATAAAATGATGATGATGACTTAGCCGAAGTAAAACTATTCTGCCTTAATTACAGGACTAGCATTTGGAAATTCTAATTACCTATTAACGGAAAACAGGTGAAATTCAAGTATTCTTTGAAACTTATGTTAGCATTAGTAAGACTCAAGTCTTATTAATAACTTTAATGATGTCAGAATGTGTTCACTATAACAAATTATTAGCTCTATTAAAAGAAATTTGACCAAAACCCAGTTTGAGCGTGTGAATATTTATCACATTATCATACCTCATAATCTCTTTGCCCCTAAGATACATGGCTGTAACATATTCAGAGATCATTACTCTAAGGATACTAAATTACTGATTACATGCTAATATGTATTTTAAATAATGAAGCCAGGTGTGTAGTTTCTAAATAGAAGATTTTATCCCCAAAAAAGTTGTCTTTCCCAATACATATTGTTAGCATCACTGGCGGACTTATGAACTTTGATATTACTCTTAGAGGTTTAGAGTGGGTATCCAAGAAGAATTGTATTATTGAAAATTTTATGGAAAATTAGCCTTGTTTTTCTCTGCTCTTAGAAACACACACACACACACACACACACACACACACACACACACATATATATATATATATATAAAACCATCTTCAGTGTAATTGACCTTTTCTTGAAAGTGTATATAAGTTTATTTTAGTTTTCTGGGATTAAGTGGTATGCTATGTCCTTTATTTTCTAAAACCATGTTACAAGATGATGGTGGGGGGTGGGAATGGAGGATTAATACAACATATGTGATCAAAATGTTTTCTAAACTACAGTTGTTCCAGTATAATTTAGTTGGTGTAAAATTAAGAAATTGAATGGAGAATATAGTTCAAAGAAAATGGTTTATGTAAACCTTGATTGTTTGTGCAAATTTAATATGATTTGATAACTTACCACTGTTTTAAAATAGAGAAAGCTGAATTTATGTATATAAAACCATAATCTAATCAATTCTTAACATTTCCACCCTATTGTAAACTATTATAATTCAAGATGAACAGCAGGACCCAATCGAAATCATCTCCAACGCCAAGAAAAAAAAATTATTCTCTGTCATTCCCTATTAGACTGGGTACAGTGCATTAGACAATACATAGGGCAAGAGAGGTTGAGGTAGAACCAAAAGTTAGACTGTACTAGAAGAGATCCAAAGTTCAAGAAACTCACGCAACAAGAATCAGCATCCTAGGCTGGAAAACCAAGCACAGGCTAAGGTAGAGGATTTGGACAATGTTGGACTAGAGCCCAGGCTTTAAAAGTATGAGGCCATAGAGCAAGATTATACATCTGAAGAAGATGCATGAAATGCTGGCCCTAGCCCCAAGAGGCAATGTGTTACTGAGTCTTTTGCCTTCTGAGTCAAGGGCTCTTTTTGTACTTTCTCCTTAAGGCAGAACTAGTCCCAGGGTGTTGCCAGTGAAGACAAGTCTGCAGTATGATAAGTAGATTAGGATATAAACTGCAGGCAGAAACAGAGTGATTTGGATATCAACAACACTTCAGTAACATGGTGACTTTGGGTGAATCATTCAACTTCTAAGTCTTTATTTTTCCATCCGTGGAAGAATTTAAACATTAAATTAATATACATGAAGCCCTTATCACAGAGCCTAGTATATACTGAGCATTCAGTAGAAGTTAGCTATTGTTATTATAGCAAAAGCAACAGTAATGATGGTATACCACTGGCTAGAGAAGGAGAGATCAGGGTAATGGGATTCAGGCAGTTCCTTGCTCCCTCTTCAAAGTAACAGTATCTCACTGTGATTTCAGAGAAAATAATTCTGCTTGTGATAAAGAACATTAATTGATAAAAATACCTTTATAATTTTAAGTAACATACAACTCAGATGCCTACCATGTATTTCTGTATACTGATGGTGAATTCACAGAATTTGCTGTGAATATACAAGTTGGGATGACTCAGACTTTCCTAAGCTATAAACGACTTCTGCAGACTTATTGGGAATGGTAAGAAATTGTTGGAATGAGAGGAAAGGAAAGAATTTAGTCATCTTATTGAATCCTATCCAACCAACGTAGACATTATTGCTTGTGATTTGGATTAAGCCCAGCTGTAGTGCTTCTGATGCTGGCAGAGTAAACACCAAAGTCCTAAGTACACTAAGACATTTTAGGAAAATACCACATTATGGTTGTTTTTTGTGAAACGACAAAAAATACTTTATGTAAACAGAGAATAAGTCACTCTGCAAACAATTATTTAAAAAGCACTAAAATATAGATCACTAAAAAATAAAAACTTTATGTAACAGCAACATTCTAGGTACCTTAGTCATTTTTATTATATTTAATTATACCCAGCCCTTGTTCCTACCTACCATATATCAAGTTGGTTTTTAAATCCAAGTTGTTTTATAATTCCAAGATAAGGTTGTTTTTTATTCATTATCATTTTTGAGAACTTTGCAGGTCAGAAGTGCTACTGAACAACACCTACTTTGGGAATTGAAAATAATATCTTCTGTCTGTAAAATAACTTGAAATTGTGTTTTGTTAGAAAAAAGAAAATATTCTCACAGACTTTCAACTTCTAAAGCATCATGTTTTTTAAATACAAAACATACAAGAGGTATATTGTACTTTGCAGTCGAGTACACATATGCATATGTATACAAACCTGAAAAAAATACAAAATAATACTTGTCCATTTCCAAATTTTTTTCTGATCCTATTGCATCTTCAACAAAACAAAACAAAAGCAACCCACTAATGAGTCATAATGCTCAGTTGGAAAAACACTGCTCTGAAGTAGTTTTCTACTATGTTTTTTCCTTACCCAAATCACTCTCATACTGTAAATATAAAAGGATGACTGCATAAATGTCTTCTTTTGAGAAGTGTCTGTTCATATCCTTTGCCCACTTTTTGATGGGGTTGTTTGGTTTTTTTCTTGTAAATTTGTTTGAGTTCTTTGTAGATTCTGGGTATTAGTCCTTTGTCAGATGAGTAGATTGCAAAAATTTTCTCCCATTCTGTAGGTTGCCTGTTCACTCTGATGGTAGTTTCTTTTGCTGTGCAGAAGCTCTTTAGTTTAATTAGATCCCATTTGTCAATTTTGGTTTTTGTTACCATTGCTTTTGGTGTTTTAGACATGAAGTCCTTGCCCATGCATCACTGGCCATCAGAGAAATGCAAATCAAAACCACAATGAGATATCATCTCACACCAGTTAGAATGGCGATCATTAAAAAGTCAGGAAACAACAGGTGCTGGAGAGGATGTGGAGAAATGGGAACACTTTTACACTGTCGGTGGGACTGTAAACTAGTTCAACCATTGTGAAAGACAGTGTGGCGATTCCTCGTGGATCTAGAACTAGAAATACCATATGACCCAGCTATCCCATTACTGGGTATATACCCAAAGCATATAAATCATGCTGCTATAAAGACACATGCACACGTATGTTTATCGCGGCACTACTCACAATAGCAAAGACTTGGAACCAACCCAAATGTCCAACAATGATAGACTGGATAAAGAAAATGTGGCACATATACACCATGGAATACTATGCAGCCATAAAAAATGATGAGTTCATGTCCTTTGTAGGGACATGGATGAAGCTGGAAACCATCATTCTCAGCAAACTATCGCAAGGACAAAAAACCAAACACTGCATGTTCTTACTCATAGGTGGGAATTGAACAATGAGAACACTTGGACACAGGAAGGGGAACATCACACACCGGGGCCTGTTGTGGGGTGAGGGCAGGGGGGAGGGATAGCATTAGGAGATATACCTAATGTAAATGACGAGTTAATGGGTGCAGCACACCAACATGGCACATGTATACATATGTAACAAACCTGTACGTTGTGCACATGTACCCTAGAACTTAAAGTATAATTTAAAAAAAAAGGATGAGAAATGTCCTTTTTTCACCTATGATTATATTTAAACTGAAGATAGTAAATTACTTCACATGCCACTGGAGTTGTTTTAGGCAAGTTTTTAATGTCAATAAATATAGTAATATAAAATGAAGTTAAGCAATTCAAAATTAGAAGCAACTAGATTTCTTTAAATTGGCATTCTATGTGAACTCAATAAATACTTCTTAACTGATTATAGATCATTTCCTTACAAGTGACCGTGAGCTTCTAGAGGACATTAAGTATTCTTACTTAGGATATTATTATCTATTAAGTCTATAGTTAATGTAAATTTACAGGTTTTGTATGATATGTTGTATGTGTAGGTGATATATTTCTTCACAGCTTTGGTTGGAGTTTATTAAGCTAGGTCAGAAGTACCTTCCCTTGTAGCACTATTTTTCAACACAAATCACTAACCACTAATGGAATTCATGTTAATGTGAATTTGATAATGAAGCCAAATCTGGCTTCATGATGATTTAAAATACAGATACTTTGGAGACACTGGGTTTGATTCCAGACCATTCCGATAAAGCAAATATCTCAATAAGGCCAGTCACACTAATTTTTTTGTTTCCCGTAAAAGTTATGTTTACACTATACCATAATCTATTAAAAGTGTGCAATAGCATTATGTCTAAAAACCAATGTACATACCTTAGTTGAATACATACTTCATTGCTAAAAAATGCAAACGATCATCTGAGCCTTCAGCAAGTTGCAGTATTTTTGTTGGTGGAAGGTCTTTCCTCAGTGTTGATGGGTGCTCACTGATCAAGGTGGTGGTTGCTGAAGGCTAGAGTGGCTGTGGCCATTTTAAATAAGACAACAATGAAGTTTGCTGCATTGATTGACTCTTCCTATCATGAAAGACTTCTCTACAGCACATGATGCTGTTGGATAGCATTTTATTTATCGTAGAACTTCTTCTTTCAAAAGTTGGAGTCAATCCTTTCAGCCACTTTCTCTGCTCATCTGTAGGAAGCATTCATTCTAGTTTCAGGAAATTGTAGCCATTCAGTCATATCTTCAGGCTCCACTTCTAATTCTAGCCCTTCTCCTTTGCCTAGCTGATACCTACCAATCCTTCAGGTCTCACCTTAAATACTGTACCTACAGAGGAACTGAATTCTTATGTCATAGTTTGACCAAATCTCCCTGTGATGCTCTATTCTAGTACCTTATGCTGTCCTTTCATAGCACTTATCACAGTCGTTGTTTTGGAGGGGAGACGGGGGTGGTTGAGATAGGGTCTTGCTTAGTTGCCCAGCTGAAATATGGTGGTATGATCTCGGCTCATTGCAGCCTCAACCTCCCAGGCTCAAGACATCCTCCTGCTTCAGCCTCTAGAGTAGCTGGGACGACAGGCGAGCATCATCACACCTGGCTAATTTTTTTTATTTTTTATTTTTTTGTAGACATGAGGTCTCACTATGTTGCCCAGGCTGGTCTTGAACTTTTGGGCTCAAGCAATCCTCCCACCTCGAACTCCCAAAGTGCTGGGATTACAGGCATGAGCCACCATGCCCAGTACAATTGTTAATCATTCATTTTCTTCAACAAGTATTTATTGAGCCACCTCCTATATGCCAGGCATTGTTGTCATCCTGGGCCACAGTAGGAAACAAAACATGGAGTGCACATTCTAGTGGAAAGAGACAGATAATGAATAAACAAACAAGTAAATGCATACAGACATACCTTGTTTTATTGCACTTGGCAATAATGATTGCACTTTGACAATGTTTTTTTACAGATTGAAGGTTTGTAGCAACCCTGCATTGAACAAGTCTGTTGGTGCCATTTTCCCCAAAAGTATATGCTCATTTCATATCTCTTTGTCACATTTTGGTAATTCTCACAATATTTTAAACATGCTCATTATATCTGTCATTGTGATGACTGATCAGTGGTCTTGGATGTTACTGTAGTAGTTGATTTGGGGCATGATGAACTGCAACCATATAAGACAATGAACTTAATAAATAGGTAAGCGTTGTGTGTGTTCTGACTGCTCCACTGACTGGCTATTCCTCTCTCTCTCTCTCTCTCTCTCCCTGGCCTGGAGGCTCCCTATTCTCTGAAACACAATGTTGAAATTAGGCCAATTAATAACCTTACAGTGGCCTCTAAGTGTTCAAGTGAAAGGAAGAGTTGCATGTCCCTCACTTACATCAAAAGCCAGAAGTGACTAAGCTTAGTGAGGAAGGCATGTCAAAAGTCCAGAGAGGATGAAAGCTAGGCATCTTGTGCCAAACATTTAGACAAGTTGTGAATGCAAAGGAAAAGTTCTTGATTGAAAGTAAAGGGCTACTCCAGTGAACATATGAATGATAAGAAAACAAAACAGCCTTATTGCTGACAGGGAGAAAGTTGGAGTGGATAGAAGATCTAGATAGAAGATCAAACCAGCTACAACATTCCCTTACGTCAAAGCCAAATCCAGAGGAAGGTCCTAACTCCCTTCAATTCTATGAAGCTGAGAGAGGTGAGGAAGCTGCTGAAGAAAAATTTGAAGCTAGCAGAGCTTGATTTGTGAGGTTTAAGGAAAGTAGTAGTCTTCGTAACGTAAAAGTGCAAGATGAAGCAGCAAGTTATGTAAAAGATCTAGCTAAGATCACTGATGAAGGCAGCTATGCTAAACAACAGATTTTCAATGCGGAGCAAACAGCCTTCTATAGGAAGAAAATGCCATCTAGGATTGTCATAGGTAGAGAGGTGAAGTCAGTGTCTGATGTCAAAGCTTCGAAGAACAGGCTGACTCTTGTCAGGGGCTAATGCAGCTGGTGACTTTAAGTTTGAAGCCAGTGCTCATTTCCCATTCCAAAAATCCTAGGGTCCTTGTGAATTATGCTAAACCACCTGTGCCTGTCCTCTATAAATGGAACAACAAAGCCTGGATGACAACACATCTGTTTATAGCATGGTTTACAGAATATTTAAAGCCCACTGTTGAGGCATACTGCTCAGAAAAAAAGACTTCTTTCAAAATATTAATGCACATTGACATGTACAAGGAGAATAATGCCTGCTAACCCAGCATTTGTTCTCCAGCCCCTGGATAAAAGAACTAATTTCAACTTTTCAAGTCTTAATATTTAAGAAATATATTTTGTGGGGCTAGAGCTGCCATAAGCGGTGATTCCTCTGATGGATCTGGCCAAAGTAAATTGAAAACCTTCTGGAAAGGATTCATTGTTTTAGACGCCATTAAGAACATTTGTGATTTATAGGAGATCAGAATAGCAATATTAACAGGAATTTGGAAGAAGTTGCCTCCAACCCTCATGGATAACTTCGAGGGGCTCAAGACTTCAGTGGAGGAAGTAACAGCCTTTGTGTTGGAAATAGGAGAAAAACTAGAAGAGGAACCTGAAGATGTGACTGAGTGACTGCAGTTTCATGATTAAACATGAACAAATGAGTAGTTGCTTCTTATGGATGAGCAAAGAAAGTGGTTCCTTGAGATGGAATCTACTCCTGGTGAAGACAGTGTGAACACTGGAAATTACAACAAAGGCTGTGGAGCATTACATAAACTTAGTTGATAAAGCAGTGGCAGGGTTTAAGATTGACTCCAATTTTTGAAAGCAGAAGTTCTACAATAAATAAAATGCTATCCAACAGCATCACATGCTATAGAGAACTCTTTCATGACAGAAAAATCAGTTGATGCAGCAAGCTTCATTGTTGTCTTATTTAAAATGGCCATAGCCACACTAGCCTTCAGTGACCACCACCTTGATCAGTGAGCAGCCATCACCACTGAGGCAAGACCCTCCACCAGCAAAAAGATTATGACTTGTTAAAGGCTCAGATGATCATTTGCATTTTTAGCAATAAAGTATGTTTTAAATTAAGGCATGTACAGTGTTTTTTAGATGTAACACTATTGCACACTTAATAGACTATAGTGTAGTGTAAACATAACTTTTATATGCACTAGGGAAGAGTAAATGTTACTGGGTCTATTGCAGTACTTGCTTTAGTGTGATGTTCTGGAACCAAACCAAGAATATCTCCAAAGCATGCCTGTAATGTATGAAATGATGACAGGTCACAAGGAGAACCGTGGAGCATGGTGATGGGATAGGTTGCGGGAGGGATTTATATATATATATATATATATATATATATGAAAGCCCTATGATAATATAACCTTTGAGCAAAGTCGAAGTAAGAATATGAACACCTTTCAAAGTTAATACTTTCCTGTTTTCTTTTTTTTAACAAGTTGCATTCTTGCACATCTATATTCTTAAAATTCAAATTGTTTGATGTTGTATCTGCTTGATAATTCTTCAAAATAATAGAGCTATGATCTCAGCACTGTACTTCAGCCTAGACGACAGAGTGAAACCCCCATCTCTAAATATTAAAAATAATAAAAAATAAAATGCAAATATTATAATATCTTGCAAACCAGCATTAGTGAATTTGGATTATATAGGATCTTATCACTCCTACCACTTTGATATTTTTTAAGTTAGTATTTTCACTAGACTATCACAATCATTTTACACTGTTAGACCTAGGTTTTGGGGTTTTTTTTTCTTTTTGTTTGTTTTTTAATTCTTAAAGGATGTTGGACTTTTTGAAATATTTTTTTCTATGTCTTGTTGAGATGATCATGTGGGTTTTGTCTTTATCTAACCTACATCTATAAACATTTAAAATAATGGTGATTTATTTGTAGAGATAGTAGAGAGTAAAACAAGCCTAATTTATTATACTAAAACTAGATAAATTAAACTCTCAGACATAATGAATTGAGACTGTCTTAAATAAACATCAAGCAAAAATGGAATTCTGACTATTATTCCTCTCCCCCCAAATTAAGTTATAGTTTTGTTTCAACATCCATCTTTAGTATCAGTGTAGAGCCATGTCATGAGTTATTGTTTATTTGTAACACCAGCCTTGTCTATCCACAATAGGATATCACTTTTATAACCTCCCCCTCCCTTCACTCCAATTATTTCTTTTTCAGCAGTAACTTAAACTAATAAGGTCAAACTTGGAACATTTTCTAAAGAGGCCAGGAAAACCTAGTTAGTAGAAATGATTGTGAATCAGAAGTCTGGTCAGTTTCATCCCAGAAATTCTATATTTTCTTTTCAATATATTTGAAGTCCTCAGTAATAGTTTATCAGTCAGGTGTTTACTAAAAGAAATATATCTAGGGAAAAGAGTTGAGAGTACTATTGTATTCATTAATATATAGAAGGTTATTAACTAAAGATACAAGGAGAAAAAGCAAAAAAAAAAAAAAAAACCTTACTGACAAAAATAAAATAGAGATGTAGGGAAGATGTCAACATCATATGGCATTTTATTGTTGTGGATTAATTTTTGTATGTGTATTTTTGGAATTTACCAGTGATGATAGATTTTTTAAATCAATTGGAATAATGAGAGCATACCAAATAAATAAAATATGTTACTGCCTTGTGGACACAGTGATCAGAATATCTTTGAGGATTCTGATATCTTGAGTATGCTTTTAATATCTTGATTATGCTTTTAAATATAGTATTATTTTTAAAATGTTTTTAAAATAATTAAATATAATATAAAATATAAATTAATAAAATAATACAAAATAATATATGGATATATGGATTCCCAGAACAAAAGAATCAGGATAAGCCCAATGATTGTTATTCAGCCTGCCAACACCAACCCATAGATTGGAATTTGCGAACCACTGCCCTATTCCATTCATTTTGTAGCTAATAACGTGAGATAGTATATTTTTTCCAAATGAGTTTGGTTTAACATATCCAAGTTATTGTTGTCTCTTTCAGTGGAGTCAGTTTTCAAGACATCCAATAAACTATAGCACCACCCAATTTTGGTTTTGGTTTTACTTTACTAAAAACCATTTAACCAAGCTTGATACCCCTCCTTGTTCACCAGATATGACTCCAAATGCCTACAGAAATACTGACCTTACTCGGAATAGTTACTTTCAATATTTGATGATAATATTTTTCCACTAATGATGTCACTACACTAAACTAACAAGGCATTTTTGTAATAAATAGCACAGATTTGTTTGAGCAGTCATGTTTGTGATATTGCCTGTAGGTATTAAATGGCTAATTTAACTGATCCATCATACCCTTAACATTGGCCTAATTACTAACAGATTTTGAGGCAATAGATATCAAATACTATTCCAGAAATCTTGATTACACTTCATTTTCTCTTTATTTTAAAAAGTACAGATTTTGCTCTCAAGCTTTCAGTATTTTTATTGAGAAAATGTTTTCCTTAGCAAAAGTCAAGAGTAACCATTTAGCACACCCTCAAGTCTGTCTTTCACATGCATTTGTTGGAGGGTTCACCTTTGGAACCAGGCAGACTTCCCACAGCATAGAAAACTACATGGGGATGAAAGGAATCAAGGTCATACAAATAGGAAATGAGGTTTTATTCCCCTTAAAAATTAAAGTTTTCCATCTGTTAGTATATTTGGATATAGTAAAATTCTAGCTGTAGTTTAAAGAAATCTGTGCTATTTTAGAAGTTTTAGAAGCAATTATTATGGAAGAATAGTGATATATCAAATTAATACAAATTATTTTGGATTTTTTTAAAAAGAATAAGAAGCCCTAAAGTTCAGAAGCTCAACTAAGTGTATGTTTTTAAAGTTTTATTCTTTTTTCAGTTATTTAGTCTTTAATCATTTAATTAATCTATAATTTATTTAAAGTCAAAAAGACATTTCACAGATCTTTCATATATTGAAAAGCCGTATTTGAAGGAAAACTTTTTACTTTTGGTTAGAAAGTGCTCTGAATGCGAAATTTGGTTTTTTCTAATTTTTATATTATAGTCTCTTAGATGGAAATTAGGTAAATTATAAACATCATGGCCCGCATATCAGTAACTGACATTTGGACATACCTGCAGTGTACTGAAACCATATTCAGTTGTGCATGTTATATGAACTTGTCTATAATTTATTTTACCTTGAAAGTGACTATCACACATGAAGAATACTACCATAATTTCTCTTCCCCTGCAAAATAAACAAAAACTTTGTGCATTTTTCTAAACTCTCTTAGGTTATATTTATATTTGTGACTGATTACAGAGCATCACTGGCATGTCTTTAAATGTATTGTTTAATTCATTATCATAAAGTACTATCCAGAATATTCACTATTCTTATGTGAATATGCAATCACAGGTATATTCACGTAAGAACCACATGAATTTCTCTGGGGAAAGGGAATAGTGACTCTTGATACTGCTCATCTGAATCTAATTCAACAGAATTAAGATTTTCAAACAAGAACATGAAAGGAAGGACAAGCCTGAGCTTTCAGAAATGACCTGCAGAAGAAGCAGAAAACCACCTTGCTATGTGAGGAAGGAGGGGCTTGAGCTTTATTCTGGTGGGCTGATTTGTGGGCCGCTAGGAAGTAGTGTCGTTTATATTGTCATGTGACTCAGCCCCAGAAACCAATTTCCTTAATTGGCATAGATTGTTCTTTATTCAACTTACACCTAAGTCATGTTACGTATTAAATAAAGCCTTATTATTGGTGCCCATCACTTCCTAATCCCCATCAAGCTAGAGTCAGTGATCCTGCTCTGTGCATCCAGGTTACCCTGTACTGTTCTGTTCGCATAGCTAAACCCTAACCACAGATCATAGGCAATCACTGAATAAACTTTGTGATTTTTTTAGTGTTCTCTTATCTGAAAAATTGGGAAATTGAGTCACAAATTGGTTATTTACACAAATCACACAAGAGAACAGAAACTATATCACATAACTGGGAAATTACTGTGAGTTTGGAATTCAGTTTGGTCAACAGCATTGAAACTTTTTGGAATTCAGTTTGGTCAACAGCATTGAAATTTTATTTTTTAATCATATCAGCTGAATTAAGTTACTAGTTCCTGAAAGAGGTAGAGCACAGCAGCTCACAGACTGGCTGTGTCACAAACTGAAAGAGGACAGGAATCAAGCAAAAGAAAGTAATTTAAAAACCTAATTGAGGTTATTTTAAATGTGAATTTGTATACAAACAAATGTTGAAAGCTTCTTGAAGATACTTACAGTGTACTGCTTTTCTTTCTATACTCTTATTCCATTTTCTATTTGGATGAACTCCTCTGCTTTTTGTCATTTAAATGATAATAATGTGGGCTCTACTAGAATGTGAGCTGCTAAAGAGCAGAAACCATTTCTGTATGTAGACTTTGGTTTGCCCAGCACCTAGCACAGAGTGATTTGTGTAATAATTAGAAAATGAAAGATTATGATTCCGTAAGGAATCCTAAAAACTCAGAGTAAAGAGTTCATTTTGAAAATGCAGAATTTGATTCTTTTAATCTAGAAAGGCAGTTTAATAAAGTCATTAAACTGATTTATTGTTTGAATGTACTTGTCTTTGTTTTTCCCTCAATAAAAATAGTTTTATTGAAATTATTAAATTCTTTTTAATAGTGAATTAACAAATTAGTTTGATAAAATTCACATTTACAAAGAGAAAGCTACCACTCAGCAGAAGAAAAAACAGATAAATTAATAGCATTGCTGAGGGTCTTATCCAAAAAATAAATTAATACCAAATTGAAAATTATAAAATCAAAATGTATTTGCATTTATGCATATTTTAATATGATTATGTTCAGTAATCTCTTTTGCCTGCGTAACATAAATCTTAATCCAGCAAATATTCTTCAACTTTTAGTTTTCACTTTAATTATTATTACTTCACTTTAAGAAGCAATCAGTTCCCCTAAAACAGCCCTTGGATTTTTCAACAGATGGAAGTTTATCTTAGATCAAAACAAAGCTTCTGTTTCATTGTAGTCCTGCCTAAAGGCAGGAGAATGGACAAGAAGACTTCTTAAAGTCCCCTCCATCCCTTTGTTTTATTTGTAATCTCACTGCTCTTTAGTGAGATAAAATAGATGGAACCTCCAGTGCCATAAAAGAAAATAGAAATCACGTCATCCTCAACTATCATACTCTGTAAGTTATTTTTACCTTTGTTATTGAAAAGGTAGGCCTTAGAAGTATAGTAAACAATCTAATACTTAAAGTTATTATTTCCCAACCCATGAAAAAATGTTTTTATTTCTCTACTTTATAGTTATGGTGTCCCTACATTATTTTTATTGTAATTGTATTGCCAAATCAGATATGAGATTAGATGTTGGATGTTACATGTAATCTGCACAGAAATCAAATTATTTAACCTCTAAGCCCACAATACCCCCTCCTGCTGGTTTGCTGTTAAATATTCAGTATTTTCTTGTCATGAATACAAATGGAGGACAAATTAGAATCTACAGACAGCTGACCTGAGCTTCAGATTAGAGACTGGGGGGCTTGTGCTATTTTAAATGTTTTAATTATCATACTCCCAGTAGCCATTTGAAGGACACACATAAAATCATTTTCAACAAAAGAAAAAGAAAAAGCTCATCCTCCTTCTTCCTCTTAATATGAATGTTTGACTGTGATTACATTTGCACTTCCATTGGACCTATGCTAATTTACTGCATTAAATTAGGTCTATTAGTGGTAGTAATTTTTTAAACACTAAACATTCTCAGTAATATTTTCAGTTGGTGTGTTTGCCTTGTTGCAAGGATGATTTGTATTTCTCATCTTATTTCATAGACAGTAGATCTTCGGTGTTTAAGTATAAAGCAGATACTTTATTTAAACAACAGATCTGGTAATTCCCATTGAATATGGTAAAAATATATGGGAATAATGGACTAATTTAGATGTGATAACATGTATTTGCATTAGCAAAGAATAGAGAACCCATGTGAAATGAGCTGAAAAGATCATTCTGGGAATGAAAAATATTTAATGTGTGACAGTCTGAGATTTGTCTTTAAATATTGATGCTTACTTGAAAACTTTCACAATTTAAAGGGGTTACAGATTACAGTGTTGTATTCATTGATTAAATAAAAATGTTTATAGGTATTTATAGAGCAAGGAAATAAATGTAATCTTTAAAAAGACAAATTTAAGTTTGTTCATTTAAAAAGTAAGTTTATATTAATTTTATTCTCAAGAATATATTATTCTGGTGCCTACAGTCTTGAATTTGCATTTTTTTGTTTCTTTTATATATTGGTATAATGTTGATTTGATTAGTTACGCCTGACTAGTAAGCAGTGAAACATTTTTATATACTCTTGGGAAATAAATTTGGCAGAAAAGCAGCATGAGTAGATTTAATTATCACTCTGAGACCTTTTCCTTTTCTAGCTTAGTGATCCTGAAACTCCATGTGTCTCACTGAAATCTGTGCGGACGCTAAGCTTCGCTTCCCAATTTGTTCCTCCATGCAGTGATAAGCCAAGCAATTACTGGTTTATTGATTTTTCATCATGGCAAATTTAAAGTTGATTTTTTCCTGAAAAGGCAGGGGTGATTAAGTGTTTCCCCTCGGTTTAGTACAAGAGAGCTATGTGGCAGAATCTAATATCCTGAGGTCAACCTCTGCAGGCAGATAATACGGTGTCTTGGCCACGTGTTAAAGAGAGAAATCAGGGCTACAAATGTGATAGGATATATGTGGAGACAGTTTAATTTGCTCCATTTATATGAACAAGTCATGTGGCACATGCTTGGAAAACATCATTTTGAATGGACTTAGAAGTGAAGCCCATGTGGGCAGAAAGAATAAATGAGTACAAACAAGAAAGATGTTATGGGTTATTAAGGGAATTTCACTATCATTTTTAAATGAAAATAAGTAAACCGTTGGCATATAGGATGTTCAAAACATGGAGTGAAATCCCCATATTACCATTGTGAGGATTTGCTGGTCTGTAAAGTGCAAAAATAACCTGTCTTGTAAGAAAATTATGATTAAGTTAGGCATACTAGTTTTAAATATATGTATACATTCTAATATTTGCATGCAGTTCTCTGGCAGCAGTATATTTTTGTGCTTTTGAAAGGTAGAAATTTGTAAATCAAATATTCAATGCATGATTCCAAAGTAGTTTATGACTCAAACAATTTTTGGAAATGATATTTCCTAGAAGTTACTAATTATAAATAAGAGTATACATAAAGAGAGACCTAATTGTGGTGAACTTTAAACCTAAAAATGGTGAGAAAGCTCATCTATAACTCAACTGAATACTTACTGTAATTCTTCAGTAAAATGAAATGGTTCTAGTTTTAGCTTTTCCAGTTATAGCAGGAAAATATGTTTGCTAGAACATAAAATATAAGATGCAGATTCTCTACATGCTAGTTTTTGTTTGTCTATTATATGAAAGCTAAATATTTAACAAAATGTTTAACAAATCTAACCTGGTCCTAAATCTATAGAGCCCATTTTCCAACT
Organism: Homo sapiens; assembly: GCF_000001405.40. Classification (NCBI taxonomy): domain Eukaryota; kingdom Metazoa; phylum Chordata; class Mammalia; order Primates; family Hominidae; genus Homo; species Homo sapiens. Next base: position 158,485,042 of record NC_000003.12, read on the forward strand.
AGTTTTGTCATTTTTCATTATGGTTCCTCAATATTTACTCATTAGCAGTTTACATTATTCTTCCTTTATCATTATGATTCCAGAAAGATTCTAATTATTTTCTCCTGGTAACCTAAGAATGAAGATTGTAGGCTGTTTTATGTATCTTGTTTACTAAAAAGTCCACTTGGATGTGTCATAATTACCTGAAGTTAATTGTATGTTGTATTTTTGGTGAATCACTGAAATTATTCCATTGTTTTAATATTAAAATATTTTTATTTCTAAAATAAGATAAACATTGGAATCCCTTGGAAACCATGGTGCTAAAAGCAAATATTTTATTATATACACAAAACCAAGCTTACTTTAATATATCTTTTAAAATCTAACACAAAGGATATAAAATGAATATATTAAGATAATTCATAGCATCTATTATCTCACTAGCACCAAGGCAATGTATAACACCACGGTTCTGCCTCTGATTAAGTCTTTTCCTGTGAATTAAAACCCATGTGGCTAGATTGCACTTGACATTCAGGAATCTCTCTCCCACTTAGTTTATCAGTATTTGAGCTCGAAGTTTTGTGGTTTTTATTTTTTCCTACATATGACACTGACTGTCTTACTACTTTTTTAACATTGGTGAATCTGCTATCTCAAAGTTACATTTAGAAAGATATGTGAATTATTTTTAGTTGTGTAATAACTTTACATGAGTATATTATTTTCCAATACAGGTTGACTTCAATAAATTAGATAACTGTGATTTTCACTGACTTCCAGTTTTCGTTTAGACATTTTCCTCTAAAACAATAAAAATTACAGAAAATTTTCTAACTTTAATTAAAAAGAATTTTCTACCTGGCTTGATGTGAAGTCATATGCGTATAAAAGATTCATATAGTATTTAAAATAATTTAGTTCGGCATGATTTTTAAAGGCTTACCTGTAAATATGAAAGAAAAAATCATAACGTTCATTCAAAAGTGCTTGCTTGACTATTTAACAGCCATACAGATTATCATTTCTCTAAGTATTTAGCAATACTCTACCACATCCTCATCCCTTTTTTAGAACCATTACAGATATTTTCAGACTAAGAAAATGCAAATATATTGTATTACTCTTTTAAATGTTCATTCCTCTCCCAGTCTACAAGTGTTAGTTGATCTAATGACTAATTGATAAATCACATTCTAATGTCCCTTACCTGACTTCTAGTGTTGACTGAGCAGCATTGACCTCTTACAGTTAATGGTTGTTCAAAGGGAGAGGTCATTATGGAAACTGGATCACTGCCTTGCTATTTCATTCACATCCTTCTGTTGGCAAAATCCCCTATCTCTTCCAGGCACCATGTTAAATGCTAGGGCTGTGAAGATAAATTAGGCAAGCTTCTTGTTCTAAAAAAGTTTGCAGCCTATTGAGGGGGAGGGGGAGGAATATGTCATGTGCATAAACATGTATAAAACAAAGTAGAAATAAGCTCCAGTAAAGAAATGCTGGTAGACTGCTTGTGAGAAGGGAGAGATTACTTGCAGCTGAGAGAATTGGGGAATGCCTTGAGGAAATTGCTTACATTTTTCAAATCTGTCAGTATGAACAAGCTTGGAGTAAACATATAGGTGGTGGGGGAGGTGGGAGAACATTTTTTAAGTTTATATTAAATGCCTTTACCAGTGCTAGAACCAAAACTTAGGTTACCTAATTTTAGCTCCACAACAACCCTGTGAATTATGTATTATTCTTATTTTATAAATAAAGAAACTGGACAAGTTAAGTGACTTCCTCAAGGTCCTACAGCTAATAAATAGTAGAGATTGCACTGGAAAATTATTTTCCTAGCATTATACTCAGAGCTCTTTTTACTGTGTTACAACCAACTAGTGTAGCCCACACAGCAACTGGATCTGGATCTTCCACCGCAGCATGTAACTATACCAGTTACATGTTTCCCAAACCTGGCAAACATCAGAATCACTTGAGAGTTGTTTTTAAAATATCTCGATTGCAAACACCTTATATTTTTCCTAATTTTGAGGAGTCAGCCCAAGAACCTGTGTATGTTCTTAAAGTTTCTCAGCTGATTCTTATTTTCATTCAATACTGTTGCACAGATAAGCACTTGGAAACAACTGCTTTAAGCAGTAGAGCTAACCAATTACAAACATGATTTACCACATACTACAAGAATGAATATGTAGTCATGTACCTATATTGAATCACATTCTTTTTTAACCAGTAACTGATTTAAATATTCAATTTATAATTTGGAAGTGCCATGATTTCCGATCAGAATATTTCTGGATCTCTGAAAAATAGCAAACTATACTTCTTTGATACCATGACACACTTTTTATTTTTCACGTGTTTTAACATCTCTGAAATCAAGATGCATCTTACAATTAACGTCATCTTAAAATCACTGTTCGCCGGATAGCAGCTGTGACTCTTGATGTTATTGTCTATTTGATGAACTTGGTTGTTATTCCTGGCCACATGAAAGGTCAACTAAGTCCTCAACTGGCTATCAGGAAAACATTTAAAGATCACTTGAGGAAGGAATATTATCCCTGAGTTGTGATCCGAAAACCTTCACTGGCACCTTCTGATGAAGTCAAAAAAGTGCCTGAATAAAAAACTGGCCAGGCAGTGGCTCATACCTGTCATCCCAGCACTTTGGGAGGCTGAGGTGGGCGGATCACCTGAGGTCAGGAGTTCAAGACCAGCCTGGCCAACATGGTGAAACCCCATCTCTACTAAAAATACAAAAATTAGCCGGACATGGTGGTGGGTCCCTGTAATCCCAGCTACTCAGGAGGCTGAGGTGGGAGAATTGCTTGAACCCGGGAGGTGGAGATGGCAGTGAGCTGAGACCACGCCATTGCACTCCAGCCTAGGAGACAAGAGACTCCATCTCAAGAAAAAAAAAAAAAAAAAAAAAAAAACTGGCTGAATGGGTTTCAGTAACTTGGAAGAAAACCCAAGAGACAATAATGGAACACTCTGTTAAGAAAGACTGCCACACAAATATTCTTGATGGCAAAGAGATTATTGTGCACAAAAACGTGGACACTGACAACCTTAAGTGGCAGTCACAAGAGTGATCTTCCAAAAGTGAAGGTTTACAACTATCCTAGAAAATATGTTTCTCTCATCTTGTCTTTTTATATATGTGCAAGGGTGATATGTAATTTTTAAAAATCTGTTATGTCTGAAGGAACTCTTTTAATAAGTATAAAAAATTCTAAATAATAGGAAAGTATTGTGCCACAATTTAATTGACAGCTTTGTTTTTCTTACTGTTATGTAAAAGAATTGTGTATTACAATTAATAGCATCTTAGATTTGATGAAATATGATATTAATACCTGTATCACATTATTTTATTGTACTGTTTTATCATTTAATTTCTCTGTTGTGACCTGCCATCCATGTTCAGCTCAGACAAGAAATTCTTTGTGACTGACTGACAAGAGGATGTTTTTTCTCAACCATTGCTGACCATATTGGAAATTTTAGACATTAAAGAAGAGCTGCTTAGAAATTAGAGTATATAAAGATGTTGTTAGAAACTTTAGAAACTCTAGCAAAGGGTCCATTAAAGAAATAAAATTCCCTGATAATTTTTTTAATAAAGTTAATTTTCTTTTTGACAGGTGAAAGAGGCCATTCCCGTATTAAACTCTGCTGTTAAATGAGTAGCTTATTTCTAACTAAGTTAAGCCAGGAGATGAGTCCCTTTGTTTAACACTTCTTAAAGTAAAAGTTAACATCCTGCCTTTATCTAATTGCTATCAAAGACATTAGTCTATTTGGCTCTAGCATGATTCAATTGCATGAGGTCATGCAGCCTAGCTGTAATAACTTAAAGTGCTTCACTTGGTGATAAGGAAATATATTAAAATGCTCTCAGGTTTATTACTGCCTAAGGTCATGCTTTATGGTCAGTCCATTTACTGAAGTTGTGTTGTAATAGCACTAACCTGAACTCACATTTTTAAGTCTTTCAATACAAGAAACACGCTAAGTTTTAAGAAATTATGCTTGTATTTTAATCCACTTAAAGTTTATTATTTTCATTTTACCACTTGGTAGTGGAGTTGGAAATAGTTTTGTTATCTCGTCACTAAAAGCATACATAAAAGGTTTTTTCCTTCAGCCTTAATTTTTGAAAACAAATTTTAAAACTTTAGAAAAACTCTGCTATGTGAATGGGAAGGCTTTGATTTAATTTCATTTTCACTTTGATTTCAAATCTTTCTTTATACTTTCATAAATAACCAAATGCAAGCAGGTTCTTCCAAGTCCACCCTTTGTATCCCACATGAGCATGTGCTGCTTCATTAGGCTGGCTCAACCACCTGGTGTGGAATCTTCAGCCTCAAGAGACTATCTTAACATCTGGCATTAGCTATGATCTTTGTGCATGTATGCTTAATCTTTTTATTGACATTTTATAAAGAAAAAATGTGGGACAAATTATGAATGGATATAGAACAATACAAAATAAAGTTGTAGTTTATTTTTATATAATTTATATATTTAGTTTATTTTATGTAAAACAAACCAGTAAAAAACATGGGTAGTATTTCAAATTAATTTATCTTCAAATTTAGTGTGATGTATGTTATATAAAAGATATTTATGTAAAATATTGTTGGTTGAGTTATTAACCTAGGGTCAAATGCAGTCATCCTTAAAAAAAATTATATACTTTGTTCTGTAATTGAATACATTGTTGTAGCTTTTTTAGTATCATTTCTAATAGAGTAAAATTTAGGATGATTTGATAGTAAAACAGGAAAAGGGATTAGTATCTTACTAACCTTCTGAAAGATAATATAGTTGAGTTTCTGAACTAGGAAATATTGAGATAATGTATGAAAGGAAATGTTTTCTTATCACAGAACAACTAAAGAATATTATCCATTATGTGGTGAAAAAACATAAAGGGAGTTATTGAATAAGTATAACTGAACTGGTTACAATGTAAACAAAAGTGCTGTAGCTTGTTTTTCTATGAAAACCTCTTTCTTTACTACCTTCAATTGTTTTTGGTTTTGTTTTGTTTTTGAGACAGAGTCTCACTCTGTCACCCAGGCTGGAGTGCAGTGGTGCCATCTCAGCTCACTGCAAGCTCCTCCTCCAGGGTTCACACCATTCTCCTGCCTCAGCCTCCCGAGTAGTTGGTACTACAGGCATCCGCCACCACACCCAGCTAATTTTTTGTGTTTTTAGTAGAGATGGGGTTTCACCACGTTAGCCAGGATGGTCTCAATCTCCTGACCTCATGATCCACCCACCTCACCCTTCCAAAGTGCTGGGATTACAGGCGTGAGCCACCACGCCGGGCCCCTTCAATTTTTTTAAAGGATTAAAAGAAGCTAAATTATTCTTAGTGCAATTCTTTAAATTATCCTGTGTATTTAAAATGGAGCAAAACTGGCACCGTGTGCAGAAAATAAAAGTAGTATGTAGTGATGTAAAGTATCATTATTTTATTTGTATATTTATAGATATAGTTATTCCATTTAGTAGTAGTTAAATTTTTAAAAGCAAATTAAGAATGAATTATCAAATAAGGTAGAGCTGTCATTTTTATCTATTTAATTTAGATAAAGTAGACATTACACTTCATAATGTATTTACTTGGATATGGGACTATGTTGAGAACATATGTGATAGATCTGTAGGTGAATGGAGAGAAATTTGTGCTTTGGAGCCCAAGAGATGGAAACTGATGCTAATCTTAATCTGCTGACCTGCTGAATGATCTTGATTAGTGTTCATATTATACACGTACTGCTGAGATTGGGAAGATTGTGCAGCTACTAAATGCATTGCTATGATAACTTAAAAGGACAAAGATTAACAGTGGTGTTGAACACTAATGTGATAGAACAGATTCACCAAGTGTAATTTTAGCAGTTGAAGACAAACTTCTCTAATAATTTGTGGAGGGAGTAGAGATGTCATTTATTATTCTGATATTTATGAGGTCAGTACATTAAACTCTATAAAACTTTTGCTTTTCAATAATTGTCTTTTGCTGCCCTATTTTGATATTAACTGAAACTGATAATTTTATCATAGTTTTCCCAGTTAATGTGGCTTATATGATAGCTATCTCATTTCCTCTTGTCTACTAGGAAATAGCCCAGAAGAAAGAGGTGTAAAATAAATAAAATCATAATTAAAGCAGTACATTCACTGAAAACCTCTTTGCCCATTTAAGATTTTTAATTTCACAAATGTAAAAATGAGAAGTGTTCTTCATGTGGATCCCTAGTGATCAGAAATGGTTTATGGTACCTTATGTATGGAATGATGTAAACTTGAACTGACTTTCACAGCCAGATCACTCAATCTATTACAAGATTATCCAGGAGTATTGGAGAGGCAGGATTTTGCTTTGTTTTGTTTTGGTTTGGTTTGGTTTTTTTGGTGTTTATTGCCTGAGTTAGGTATGGCTCTTTGGATCCCAAACGAAGAATGTTAAGGCTTTCGGTATAATTGGCTTTGTTATAATAAAATTGTATGTTTTAACTGATTGACAACTGGTAAAAGGGGACTTTAACTGAAAATTTTAGTTAAATTAAGTTAGCCATTTTGAATGTTTAACAATTTAATATTTATGGACATGTGTTTGATTATCTTTGATTATCAAATTATATGCTGAAGTAATGAAAATAAAGATAACTCAGTATAATTTTCATGTATGATTATAGAACATATCAACAGTGAAAAACTTTTACTTTTGACACCTCGTGCTATGGGTTGGAACATTCTGAGTGGAATGTCATTTATCCAGAGGTTTTGCCTTTTTATATAAAATATGAAAAGGAAGGTGATGTTTCAAGGAAAATATTTTAGATCTCAGTAGCATTTTTTATGAGTTTTTTAAACCTGTGTGTATTAGTCCATTTTCACACTGCTATAAAGAACTACCTGAGACTAGGTAATTAATAAAGAAAAAAGGTTTAATTGACTTACAGTTCCACATGGCTGGGGGAGGCCTCAGGAAACAATCATAGCAGAAGGCAAAGGCGAAGCAAGGCATGTTTTACATGGCAGCAAGAGAGAGAGAGTGGGCGAGCAAGGGGGAACTGTCAGACACTTTTAAACCATCAGATCTCATGAGAACTCACTCACTATTACAAGAACAGCATGGGGGAATCCACCCCTATGATTCAGTTACCTCCCACCAGGTCCCTCCCTTGAGATGTGAGGATTACAATTCAAAATGAGATTCAGGTGGGGACACAGAGCCAAACCATATCACTCTAAGTTGTATATATTTAATCTGAGCTTTTCCTAAGTGTTAAGTAATAACCTGACAGTTTTTAAAGCCATAATATATTTTCAAACAGTACTCCCATTATAAGATTAGACAATTTTGAACAAATCTGGTCAAAGCTACTATTTGACTGTTTTAGTTACAGAATGTTCTCTGGATAGCTGCAGATGATATAGGAAATTGTTCTAAACATCTTCTTCCCCCCAATATAGTCCAGAAATGGGCTGGGAGGTGGAGAAATTCTCTTTATTTTTCTCCCTCTGCCACTTCCCCAGAAGGAAAGTGCCAGTTGCTTCTGGTTAATTGAGCTTTATCCTGACTTCTGTTCTCACTCTTCAAGTTTACATTTTATTTATCTTCTCAGTGCCATTTTATTTCCTCTTTTTCCTATTTAAATTAAGTCATAAAATGTTAGAACTGTAAGGAATCGTCAAGATCATAATCTAGTTTAGCTTTCTCATTGCTGTCTTTACAACTAAGAATTTATTTTCTTTTATCTCCTTTCTATCCCCACCCTGCTCCCACTCCTCCCCCGCAACACACACAGACAACCTTTGCCAGAAGAAATGTAGTGAAGAGGAAAAAGCAAAACCAGATTAAGGGGAGAAATGTGTTTCTAAGACTGTGATGCAGAGAAAGAAGCTCTAAATGTCATCTTGCTTGGGAAAGTGGCCATTTCTGTCAGAGAAAAGTGCTCTATAACGACAGGCAATAAACCAAAAGAGGCAGTCATAGTATTTTAATTAACTCTACTGGAGGGGGAGTGGGAATCTTAAGTAGGGTCACAGAATTGGAGGAAGTAGATTGAAGTAAAGTGAGATTTGTTAAATCTCTTTTAACAAATGCTGTAAGAAGCCCTAATCATCATCTACTGAGTTGAAGCAGTAGGTCATTGTTCACAACTAAGCAGTTATTGAGTAGCTTGCATTGGAGGCACCAATAAACTTTTATTCTCCCCAGTAGAAGTCTTTGAAGCAGTTTTAATCAGGTCCTGTACTCATGTTTTAAAATTTAGACTTTTAGTTTGTTTTCTGTTATGGGGTGAGAAGGGAAAGGGGAGACTGGGTAGAGAATATTTAGGAAGCAGGAAAATAGGAAATATTTTGTGCCTCATACCTCTCATTTAGAGTTATTTCTAAAACAACTTTTTGTTTTTTAAAGAAATGCTCTATACCCGAGTCAAATTAGAGAAAATAGATTTTTTGATGTACTGTTAAAAAACAAAATTAGTCAAATTTAGCATACTTCAATTGAGCTAAGAATAATTCACATATCAAGCACCCCTCAAAACCAGAAGGGGGTCAGAGAGCTTCATTCCACAATATGGGCAGGCAGCATTTATGGACAGAAAATGGAAGTGAGGTACAGAAACAGCCTGATTGTTTGCAGCTCAGCATTTGACTCATTTGGACATGGAATGATCAGTTGGCCATCTGTGATTGACTGAAGCTCAGCTACTGTGATAGGCTGAGACTCAGCTGGTTGTCACATAAGTATATCCTTATATTAGGCTTTCAGTTACTTTACCTACTAAATTAGGTTCCAGTTAGTTACATAAGGACTCGAGTATGGAGGCATCCTTTAGGCCAAATTTAGTTTAATTTATAAATATCCAAGGAAGTAAAAACAAGAAAGATTTAAGACTAGAATAAACATACCTGAGATAGATTACAAAAATAAAAGTGGAGGAGGGGGTAGTTTAAAAGACTAAAGCAATGAAATTATTGAAATTATTTTATCACTTCAATATTAGTCACATGCTGCTTATTGACAGGGATACATTCTGAGAAATGTCATTAGGTGTCATTTTGCAAACATTGTAGAGTATACTCTCACAAACCTAGGTGGTATAGCCTACTACACACCTCAACTATATGGTATAGCCCGCTGCTCCTAGGCTACAGACCTTTACAGCAAGTTACTCTGTAGGCATTCATAATGCACTGGTAAATATTTGTGTCTCAAAACATAGAAAAGTTTGGTAAAAATATGATATAAAAGATTTTTTAAATGGTACATCTATATAGGGCACTTAACCATAAATGGAGTTGTAGAACTGGAAGTTGCTCTAGGCAAGTCAGTGAGTGGTGAGTGAATTTGAAGGCCGAGGACATTACTGTCCACTACTGTGGACTTTATAAACACTGTACGTTAGGCTATACTAAGTGTATAGAAAGCATTTTTTTCTTCAATAATAAATTAACCTTAGCTTACTGTAACTTTTTTACTTTATAAACTTTAAATTAAATTTAAATTTTAAAACTTTTTAGCTCTTCTGCAATAACACTTAAAACACAAATATTATACACTGTACAAAAATATTTTTCTTATACCTTTATTCTTTAAGCATTTCCTCTATTTGCAGTTTTTTTTAACTGTTTTAACTTTAAAACTTTTTCGTTAAAACTAGGACTCAAACACATACGTTAGCCTAAGCTTTCACAGGGTCAGAATTGTCAATATCAACGTCTTCCACCTCTATATCTTGTACCACCAGAAGGTGTTTAGGGGCAATAACATGCATGGAGCTGTCGTCTCTTATGGTAATGATATCTTCTTCTAGAATACCTCCAAAAGGCCCTGCCTGAGGCTGTTATGATAAAAAATATAGTATAGTAAACACATAAACCAGTAACATAGTCATTTATCAGCAAGTATTATGTGCTCTACATAATTGTATGTGCTATAGTTTTATAAGACTGGCAGCGCTGCTTTGTTTCCACCAGCATCACCACAGATGCATGAGTTATGTGTTGTGCCACAATGTTAGGGTAGCTATGACATCACTGGGCAATAGGAATTTTCAACCCCAGTATTATAATCTTGTGGAACCACCGTTGTGTATTTTATATGCAGCCTGTTATTGACCAACACATTTTTGCACATTACATAATTTTCTTCATATAAAGCAAGATCTCCAATATGAATTGTTTTTTGTTTTTGTTTTTTGGGTTTTTTGTTTGTTTGTTTGTTTGTTTTGACAGTGTCTGACTCTGTCACCCAGGCTGGAGTAGAGTGGCACGATCTTGGCTCACTGCAACTCCACCTCCTGGGTTCAAGCAATTCTCCCACCTCAGCCTCCTGAGTAGCTAGGACTACAGGCATGTGCCATCATGCCTGGCTAATTTTTGTACTTTTTGGTAGAGACAGGGTTTCACCATGTTGTCCAGGCTGGTCTCGAACTCCTGACCTCAAGTGATCCACCCACCTCAGCCTCCCAAAGTGCTGGGATTACAGGCATGAGCAACCATGCCCGGCCTCCACTGTGAATTGTTTATGCAACATTTAGTTTCTGATTATGCACACACTGCCCACAGTCACTCAGAAAACTTAAGTAATTGAAATGTGTTTTAGTGACAGCTTAAGTCAGAGGTCAGCAAACTAAGACCAATCAGCCAAATCCAGCCCACCACCAAGTTTTATAAAGTACTGTTGAAATAAAAGCCACTCTCATTTGTTTACATATTGTCAATGGCTGCGTTTGTGCTGCAACAGCAGAATTGAATAGTTGTGACAGAGACTTATGGCCTACAAAGCCTAAAATACTGTCTTGCCCTTTACGGCAAAAGTTTGCTGACGCCTGGCTTAAATAAGAAAGTAATTCTAATACCAAAATACAATTACAAATATAATGTGAAATATAATTATATATCTATATATACATACACACATATGTTATATAGGTACAAGTGTACATAAAAGAGAAATTATTGGGGAATGATCTCTTCTTTTGTGGTATTTGTGCCCCTCTACTACTCTTGCCTAGCTTTTTTTGCCCTGCATATTAAAAATTAGTATTACATTCTTTATAAAATATATCTAGCGGTGCAATTGGGGCACAAAATTTACTCTATGAATAGTTACTCTTCCTCTGAATAACTGAATTTTGATTTTATGTATTTGTCATATTTTTGCATACTTGGGAGATCGGATTTCTGTTTAAACAGGATAGACTAGTGGTTTTCAAGCTTTAGTGTGCCTCAAAATCACCTGGAGACTGATTGTTCCACTCCCAGAGTTTCTGATTCAGGGGGTCTGAGATAGGGACTAAGGATTGCAGTGCTAAGAAGTACACCCAGGTGATGCCGATACAATTGGTCTGGAGAGCACACTTCGAGAACCACTGGAATAGACCTTCATTATAGTAAAAGAGTAATAGGGACCCATGGAAAGACAGCATTCACTGAGATAGCCTGAGTCTTCTGAAAATTTACCACCCTTTCCCAGAGTTGGCCTTGTGGCATTATGGACATGAACACTGTTTTACAAAACATGCTGAAGACTGCCCTCATCCATGATGGCTTAACATGTGGAATTTGCAAAGCTGCCAAAGCCTTAGACAAGTTCCAAGCCCACCTTTACATGTTTGCATCCAGCTTTGGTCTGTGATGAGCCTGTGTATGTCATGTTGGTGGTGGCCCTTTGTGCTGAACACCAAATCTACCTAAGTAAGGTTGATGACCGTAAGAAACTAGGGGAAGAGATAGGCCTCAGAGAGGGAAAACCCTATAAAGTCATTGGTTGCAATTGTGTAGTAGTTAAGGACTATGGCAAAGAATCTCAGGCCAAGGATGTCATTGACGAGTACTTCAGATACAAAAAAAATAAGCAAATAAAAATTTTGGCTTATGGAAAAAAAGAGAGAGGGTTTAAGTAGAGATGAAAAGCAGAATATAAAATAGAATATATACTATGAAAAAATTTTTAATTTAAAATTTTTTAATTGTGGTAAAATAATACATAAGAAATCTTACCGTCTTAACCATTTTAAGTATACAGTTCAGTAGTGTTATGTATATTCACACTGTTGTACAACAGATCTCCAGAACTTTTTCATCTTGCAAAACTGAAACTCTATACCCATTAAACTATAACTCCCCCTTCCCCCTCCCCCCTAGCCCCTGGCAACCACCATTAGGAGTGTACCTACTTTTTTTTCCATAAGTTATTGGGGTACAGGTGGTATTTCGTTACATGAGTAAGTTCTTCAGTGGTGATTTGTGAGATTTTGGTGCACCCATCACCTGAGCAGTATACACTGCACCACATTTGTAGTCTTCTATCCCTTGCCCCCCTCCCACTCTTCCCCCCAAGTCCTCACAGTCCATTGTATCATTTTTTTTTTTTTGAGATGGAGTCTCATTCAGCCGCCCAGGTTGGAGTGCAGTGGCTCAATCTCGGCTCACTGCAACCTCTGCCCCCCGGGTTCAAGCAATTCTCCTGCCTCAGCCTCCCGAGTAGCTGGGACTACAGGCGCGTGCCACCATGCCTAACTAATTTTTGTATTTTTAGTAGAGATGTGGTTTCACCATGTTGGCCAGGATGACCTCGATCTCTTGACCTCGTGATCCGCCTGCCTCAGCCTCCCAAAGTGCTGGGATTACAGGTGTGAGCCACCACGCCCAGCCCATTGTATCATTCTTACGTCTTTGTGTCTTCACAGCTTAGCTCCCACATATCAGTGAGAAGATACAATGTTTGGTTTTCCATTCCTGAGTTGCTTCACTTAGAATAATAGTCTCCAGTATCATCCAGGTTGCTGCAAATGCTGTTAATTAATTCCTTTTTATGGCTGAGTAGTATTCCATCGTGTGTGTATATATATACACACATATCTCACAGTTTATTTATCCACTTGTTGATTGATGGGCATTTGAGTTGGTTTCACGATTTGCACTTATGAATTGTGCTGCTATAAACATGAGTGTGCAAGTATCTTTTTCATATAATGACTTCTTTTCCTTTGGGTAGATAGATACCCAGTAGTGGGATTGCTGGATCAAATGGTAGTTCTACCTTTAGTTCTTTAAGGAATCTCCATGCTGTTTTCCATAGCAGCTGTATTAGTTTACATTCCCACTAGCAGTGTAGAAGTGTTCCCTGATCATCGCATCCATGCCAACATCTTTTTTTTTTTTTTTATGGCCGTTCTTGCAGGAGTAAAGTAGTGTTGCACTGTGGTTTGGATTTGCATTTCCCTGATCATTGGTGATGTTGAGCATTTTTTCATTTATCTGTTGGCCATTTGTATATCTTCTTTTGAGAATTGTCTATTCATGTCCTTAGTCCACTTTTTGATGGCATTGTTTTGTTTTGTTTTGTTTTCTTACTGATTTGAGTTCTTTGTAGATTCTGGATATTAGTCCTTTGTCAGATGTGTAGATCGTGAATATTTTCTCCCACCCTGTGGGTTGTCTGTTTACTCTTCTGACTGTTCCTTTTGCCATGGAAAAGCTCTTTAGTTTAATTAAGTCCCAACTATTTATCTTTGTTTTTATTGCATTTGCTTTTGGGTTCTTGGTTGTGACATCCTTGCCTAAACCAACGTCTAGAAGGGTTTTTACAATGTTATCTTCTAGAATTTTTATAGTTTCAGGTCTTAGATTTAAGACCTTAATCCATCTTGAGTTGATTTTTGTACAAGGTAAGAGATGAGGATTCAGTTTCATTCTCCTACATGTGGCTAGCCAATTATCCCATCACCATTTATTGAAAAGGGTGTCCTTTCCCTACTTTATGTTTTTGTTTGCTTTGTCGAAGATCAGTTGGCTGGAAGTATTTGGGTTTATTTCCGTGTTCTCTATTCTGTTCCATTAGTCTATGTGCCTATTTTTATACCAGTACCACACTGTTTTGGTGACTATGGCCTTATAGTATAGTTTGAAATCAGGCCGTGTGATGCTTCCAGATTTGTTCTTTTTGCTTAATCTTGCATTGGCTATGCAGGCTCATTTTTGGTTCCATATGAATTTTAGAATTGTTTTTTTCTGGCTGGGCGCGGTGGCTCACACCTGTAATCCCAGCACTTTGGGAAGCCGAGGCGGACTGGTCATGAGGTCAGGAGATTGAGACCATCTTGGCTAGCATAGTGAAATCCTGTCTCTACTAAAAATACAAAAAATTAGCCAGGCGTGGTGGCACGCGCCTGTAATCCCAGCTACTCGGGAGGCTGAGGCAGGAGAATGGTGTGAACCCGGGAGGTGGAGCTTGCAGTGAGCCGAGATTGTGCCACTGCACTCCAGCCTGGGTGACAGAGCGAGACTGTCTCAAAAACAAAAAAACAGAGTTTTTTTTTTTCTAATTCTGTGAAGAATGATGGTGGTATTTTGATGGGGATTGCACTGAATTTGTAGATTGCTTTTGGCAGTATGGTCATTTTCACAATATTGATTCCACCCATCCATGGTATGGGATGTGTTTCCATTTGTTTGTGTCATCTATGATTTCTTTCAGCAGTGTTTTGTAGTTTTCCTTGTAGAGGTCTTTCAGCTCCTTCATTAGGTATATTCCTAAGTATTTTATTTATTTTTCAGCTATTGTAAAAGGGGCTGAGTTCTTGATTTGATTCTCCAGTTGGTCGCTGTTAGTGTATAGAAAAGCTACTGATTTGTATACGTTAATTTGCTGAATTATTTTATCGGTTCTAGGAGCTTTCTGGAGGAGCCTTTAGGGTTTTCAAGGTAATTGATCATATCGTCAGCAAACGGTGACAGTTTGACTCCCTCTTTACCTATTTGGATGCCCTTTATTTCCTTTTCTTGTCTGATTGCTCTGGCTATGACTTCGAGTACTATGTTGAAGAGGAGTGGTGAGAGTGGGCATCCTTGTCTTGTTCCAGCTCTCAGAGGGAATGCTTTCAACTCTTCCCCATTCAGTATTATGTTGGCTGTGAGTTTGTCATAAATGGCTTTTATTACATTGAGGTATGTCCCTTGTATGCCGATTTTGCTGAGAGTTTTAATCATAAAGTGATGCTGGATTTTGTTGAATGCTTTTTCTGCATCTATTGAGATGATCATGTGATTTTTGTTTTTAATTATGCTTATGTGGTGTATGACATTTATTGACTTGCATATGTTAAACTATCCCTGCATCCCTCATATGAAACCTACTTCATCATGGTGGGTTATCTTTTCAAAATGTTGTTGGATTCAGTGAGCTGGTATTTTGTTAAGCATTTTAGCATCTATGTTCATCAAGGATATCGGTCTGTAGTGTTCTTTTTTTGGTTATGTCCTTTCCTGGTTTTGGTATTAGGGTGATGCTGGCTTCATAGAATGAATTGGGGAGGGTTCCTACTTTCTCTGTCTTGAGGAATAGTGTCAAAAGGATTGGTACCAATTCTTTGAATATCGGTAGAATTCTGCTGAGTCCTTCTGGTCCTGGGCTTTTTTTTGTTGATAATTTTTTTAATTACCATTTCAATCTCACTGCTCATTATTGGTCTGTTCAGGATATCTAATTCTTGCTGATTTAAGCTAGGAGGGTTGTATTTTTCCAGGAATTTATCCATCTCTTCTAGGTTTTCTAGTTTATGTACATAAAGGTGTTCATAGTAGCCTTGAATGATCTACAAAAGATCATTCACTGGTGTGAGTTTAATATCTCCTGTTTCATTTCTTAATGAGGTTATTTGGATTTCCTCTCTTTTCTGGGTTAATCTTGTTAATTATCTATCAATTTTATTTATCTTTCAAAGAACCAGCTTTTTGTTTTGTTTATCTTTTGTATTTTTTTTGTTTCAATTTCATTTAGTTCTGCTCTGATCTTGGTTATGTCCTTTCTTCTGCTGAGTTTGGGTTTGTTTTTTTCTTGTTTCTCTAGTTCCTTGAGGTGTGACCTTAGAATGTCAGTTTGTGCTCTGTCAGTCTTTTTGATGTAGGTGTTTAGGGCTATGAACTTTCCTCTTAGCACTGCCTTTGCTGTAGCCCAGAGGTTTTGATTGATTGTGTCATTACTGTCATTCAGTTCGAAGAATTTTTAAATTCCTATCTTGATTTCATTTTAGATCCAATGCTCATTCAGGAGCAGGTTATTTAATTTCCATGTATTTTCATGGTTTTGAAGCTTCCTTTTGGAATTAATTTCCAGTTTTATTCCAGTGTGATCTGAGAGAATGCTTGATAAAATTTCAGTTTTCTTAAATGTATCAAGCCTCATTTTATGGCCTATCTTATGGTCTATCTTGGAGAAAGTTCCATGAGCTGTTGAATAGAATGTGTATTCTGGGGTTGTTGGTTGAAATGTTCCGTATATATCTGCTAAGTCCATTTGTTCCAAGGTATAGTTTAAATCCAGTTTCTTTGTTGACTTTCTGTCTTGATGACCTGTCTAATGCTGTCAGTGGAGTATTGAAGTCCCCTACTATTATTGTGTTGCTGTCTATCTCATTTCTTAGATCTATTAGTAATTGTTTTATAAATTTGGGAGCTCCAGTTTTAGGTGCATATATGTGATATTTTCCTGTTGGACAAGGCCTTTTGTCGTTATATAATGTCCCTCTTCGTCTTTTTTTAACTGCTGTTGCTTTAAAGTTTCTTTTGTCTGATATAAGAATAGCTACCCCTGCTCACTGTTGGTGTCCATTTGCATGAAATGCCTTTTCTGCCCCTTTACTTTAAATTTGTGTGAGTCCTTATGTGTTAGGTAAGTCTCCTGAAGGCAGCAAATAGTTGATTGGTAAGTTCTTATCCATTCTGCGGTTCTGTATCTTCTAAGTGGAGCATTTAGGCCATTTACATTCAATGTTAGTATTGAGATGTGAGGTACAGTTGCATTCATTGTGCTATTTGCTGCCTGTGTATTTTGTTTTTTGTTTTGTTTTTGCTTTTTAACTTGTATTTTTGTGTTATAGATCCTGTGTGATTTATGCTTTAGAGAGGTTTTGTTTTGATGTATTTCCAGGATTCATTTCAAGATTTAGAGTTCCTTTTAGCAGGTCTTGCAGTGGTGGCTAATGGCAAATTCTTCCAGCATTTTTGACTGAAAAAGACTGTATCTTTCCTTCATATATGAGGCTTAGTTTTGCTAGATACAAAATTCTTGGCTAATAATTGTTTTGTTTGAGAAGGCTGAAGATACGGCCCCAATCTCTGCTAGTTTGTAGGGTTTCTGCTGATAAATCTGCTGTTAATCTGATAGGTTTTCCTTTATAGGTTACCTGGTACTTCTGTCTCACAGCTCTTAAGATTCTTTCCTTCATCTTAACTTTGGATAACCTGATGACAATGTGCCTAGGTGATGATCTTTTTGCAGTGAATTTCCTGGGTGTTCTTTGTGCTTCTTGTATTTGCATGTCTAGTTCTCTAGCAAGGCTGGGGAAGTTTTCCTCAATTATTCCCCCAAATATGTTTTCCAAGCTTTTAGAATTCTCTTCTTCCTCAGAAACACCAATTATTCTTAGGTTTGGTCATTTAAAATAATCCTAGACTTCTTGGAGGCTTTGTTCTTTTTTCTTATTCTTTTTTCATTGTCTTTG
This sequence comes from Homo sapiens, assembly GCF_000001405.40. NCBI lineage: Eukaryota > Metazoa > Chordata > Mammalia > Primates > Hominidae > Homo > Homo sapiens. Next base: position 158,502,585 of record NC_000003.12, read on the forward strand.
TTGTATTGGGTTAATTTAAAGACCTTGTCTTTGAGCTCTGAATTTCTTTCTTCTCCTTGTTCAATTCTACTGCTGAGAATTTCCAGAGCATTTTGCATTTCTATAAGTGTGTCCCAAGTTTCCTGAATTTTTTATTGTTTTCTCTTTAAGCTATTTCCTTTAATATTTCTCCCTTCGTTTCTTGTATTGTTCTTTGGATTTCCTTGCATTGGGTTTGCCTTTCTCTGGTACCTCCCTGATTAGCTTAATAACTAACCTCCTGAATTCTTGTTAAGGTAAAAATGATTTCAGGGATTTCTTTTTGGTTTGGATCCATTGCTGGTAAAGTAGTGTGATTTTTGGGGGTTGTCAAAGAGCCTTGTTTTGTCATATTACCTGAGTTGGTTTTCTGGTTCCTTCTCATTTGGTTAGAGAGGGAACCAGAAAACCAGCTCTGTCAGAGGGAAGGTCTAGGGCTGAAGGCTGTTGTTGAGATTCTTTTATTCCATGGGGTGTTCCTAGATGTAGTACTCTCCCCCTTTTTCTATGGACGTGGCTTCCTGTGAGCCAAGCTGCAGTGATTGTTGTCTCTCTTCTGGGTCTAGCCCCTCAGCAAGTCTACCCAGCTCCGGGGTGGTACTGGGGGCTGTCTGCACAGAGTCCTATGATGTAAATCATCTATGGGTCCCTCAGCTGTGGATACCAGCATCTGTTCCAGTGGAGGTATTGGGGGAGTGCAATGGACTCCGTGAGGGTTCTTAGCTTTGGTGGTTTCATGTTCCATTTTTGTGAGGGTTGGCCTCCTGCTGGGAGGTGGCACTTTCCAGAGAGCATCAGCTGTGGTAGTATGGAGAGGAACCAGTGGTGGGCGGGGCCCTAGAACTCCCAAGATTATATGCCCTTTGTCTTCAGCTACCAAAGTGGGTAGGGAAGGACCATCAGGTAGGGGCAGGGCTAGGCATGTCTGAGCTCAGACTCTCTTTGGGTGGGTCTTGCTGCACCTGCTGTTGGAGATGGGGGTGAAGTTCCCAGGTCAATGAAGTTGAGTACCTAGGAGGATTATAGCTGCCTCTGCTGAGTCATGCAGGTTGTTACGGAAGTAGGGGAGGGCGGCAGTCACAGGCCTCATCCAGCTACCATGCAAACCGAAGGGCTGGTCTGACTCCCACCGTGCCCCCCCAACAGCCCTGAGTCTGTTTCCAGGTGTTGGGCGAGCCAGGCTTGAGAACTTGCCCCAGACTACCCGTCTCCCAGAAAAGGGCTTGGTTCTTCCCCCACCTGTGGAGTCTGCACACGGGATTTGTGCCCTCCGCTGAGTTCTGGCCAGGAGGCTTCCCATCCCATTCAAATTGTTACACAGTTCAGCTGGAAATTTCCTTCTCCCTGTGGTGTTTTTCCCCCCAGCTCCTCTAGACACCGTCCTGGTGGATTCCTGTGGTGTCAGGCAGGAATGTCCTTGGGCACCCAGTGAACTCCCAGGGCCTTTCTGCTGCTTCTTCTACCCCTGTATTTCACTCAGCTCTCTAAATTGACTCAGCTCCAGGTGAGGTCAGAAACTTCTCCCACAAACAGACCTTCAGTTTCTCCAGTGGGGGTGTGTGTTCGGGAGAGGAGGCTGTCCCATTCTCACTTCCACAGTTGGGGCACTCACAGTATTTGGGATGTCTCCCAGGTCCTGCAGGAGCAGTCAGCTTCCTTCATTAGCTCTGTGGGTCCTCTCCGGATTGCTGGTTTGTTCTTGCAGTCATTCTGGAGCTAAAATTCACAATGCAAGCCTCTGTGATGCTGTCTGTCCATCCAGGTCGGAGCTGCAGTCTAGTCCTGCTTCCCATCTGCCATGATCAGATCAGGCTACTATGAAAATATTTTAATGGTATAGCCAATGAATTTAAGGTAATATGCAGTGAAAATTTGTTAAGAGTAGGATAAAATGTTGCTTTGCTGTTTCATATTACTTTTTAAATTGTATGACCTAGATTTACACACTGGTCTTTCTACTCACTGGGTACTGAGTGGTCTACTTACTACTTACTGAGTGGCCTTTGGTCATATCATTTAACCTCACTGAACTTCAGTTCTTGAAATAAAAATGAAGAAAACAATGCTTATCTCACAGGGATTTTATAAGAATTAACTATATGAAAGCACTTTGGCAAGTGTATCCAAATGTTAGCTGGAGGCTATATAAATACAAAATCTTGATTATTGAAGGATATAGAAAGCATGCCTATTATGAAATAATCTCAACGGTAGGATAAAGGAAACCTTTTAAAGTCTATGAGAGGAAAGAGATGATCAAGACTGTCTTCACTAGTTATTAAGTGTATTAGATTCATTTGTTAGGTATTTCCTTTAGATCTGACGTTTGGCCTTCAAATTTTTATTAACTTGGACTGTTTAGGCTTTTGAGGTTTCATTTGTCAAAGTTGTTAGTTCTTGTGTATTACTAACACAAATATTTATGGGTAGCTTTGGCCTTTTATCAGTGGAAATCAGAAAATCAATAAACTTAACAGTTGTTCATTACACAGTTGATGCATTTGCAGGACTATGTTGAGTACTGTAAGTGAATAATCAATTCAGTCAAAATCTATTACCAGGTCACTGCCAGTTTTTTTATAGTGTACTCTTTTATTTATGACTTTCATAGGTACTGCAGCACTTTTTTATGAAGTAGTCTTCTGTGGGATTCATACTGCTTATAATTGTGATCCTTTCACCTAGTTGGAAGCACCTGTCACCCTGGAGGTGTTCCTAGATTAGCCCTCTCTTGGTATAAGCAGGGCTCTAACTCTTAGGCCAGCTTTCTTTCACCCTAGGATTAATTTCATCAAGTTCATTCACTGAGCCAGTTTATATTTACTGATTCCCCACTGTGGGCTGAATACTGTGGGAGTACATGTAAGAGCTCTTCTGTATTATATCATCTAGTGGGTGAAAAACTCTGTAAAACTATAATGTAAGGAGAATAAATGCTCAGTAGAGCTTTGGGAAGGTTTCACAAGGAGTGGCATTTGAGCTGAATTTTGCAGAAGTAAAATTCATTTTGAAAAACTAGATAATAGGTATTCCAAGCTGAAGGAAGAACCTGAAAGGAAGTTTTGCATGCTATAGAAGTTCATAGAAGGTTTCTAGTCAGACTTACATAGGTTCAAGGAAGAAAGTAGATTGTAAACTGAGGGTTAAGAATAAGTAAGAATTAGATAGATGAAAGGGAGAAAGGATAGGAATGTTCCAAGTAAAGGGAACAGCATTTGTGAAACCTGTAATCAAGAGAATATGGTTCTTCAAATAATTGAAAACTGAATGAAATTTAACATGGCTGAAACCAAGTGATTCATGTAGGAAAATGATGTGCACCAAGCATAGAGGTTTTATCATGCAGAGATTTACAAACATTTCTTTAAAAAGCAAATAAAAATCCCAAAGAAATTTGTTAGCACTACTGGGGAAATACTACAGGACAATGATGTGGGCAAGGATTTTTTGGGTAAGGCCTCAAAAACACAGACAACAGAAGCAAAAATAGACAAATGGGATTGCATCAACCTATAAAGCTTGTGCTCAGCAAAGGAAACAATCAACCAAGTGAAAGACAAGCTTACAGAATGGCAGAAAATATTTGTAAACTATCCATCTGAGAAGGGATTAATAACCAAAATATGTAAGGAACTCAAATCTTTAACTCAATAGCACATAATAATAATAATAATTCCATTAAAAATCAGCTAAAAGGCCAGGCTTATGCCTGTAATCTCAGTGTTTTGAGAGGCCGAGATGGGAGTATGTGTCACATGGAGCCAGGAATTTGAGGCCAGCATGGTCAATGTAGCGAAAAAATAATAATAATTATAATAAATTTAAAAAGGAGGGAGGTGGGTATTTAGAGACTCTTATTGTACAGCCTTTTTCAAAGCATGTAACTTAAAAAGGAAAAACAAGCAAAACACCAGAATAGACGTTCCTGAAAAGAAGACGACATATAAACGGCCAACAGTATATGAAAAAATGCTCACCATCACTAATTATCAGGGAAGTGCAAATTAAAACCACAGTGAGATATCATCTCACCTCGGTTAAAATGGCCGTTACTGAAAAGACAAAAATTAGTGGTTGCTGGCAAGGATGTAGACAAAAGGAAACCCACATACACTGTTGGTGGGAATGTAAAGTATATAGCCACTATGGAAACCAGTATGGAGGTTCCTTAAAAAACTAAAAGTAGAACTACCATATGATCCAGGAATCCCACTGGTGTGTGTGTGTATATATTTTATATATGTATATATTTATATATATTTTATATATGTATATGTTTATTTTATGTATATATCCCAAATAAAGGAAACAGTTTATGGAAAAATATCTGCACCCTTGTGTTTATTGCAGCACTAGTCCTAGTGGCAAAGATATGGAGTCAACCAAAGTGCCATTAATGGATGAATGGATTTTTAAAATGTGTTGTATATATACACAATGGAATATTATTCAGCCACAAATAAAAGAGTGAAATCCTGTTATTTGCAGCAACATGGATGGAACTGGAGGTCATTAAGTTAAATAAAATAAGCCAAACACAGAAAGACAAATATCATATGTTGTCAATCACATGTGGGAGCTAAAAGGGTAGATCTCATGGAGGTAGAAAGTAGAATCATGGTTACCAGAGGCTGAGAACAGTGGAGGATGAAGAGAAGTTGGTTAAAGAGTACAAAAATAACAGATGGAAGAAATAAGTTTTAGTATTTGATAGTACAGTAGGGAAACTATAATTAACTATAATATTTATTATATATTTCAGAATAGCTAGAAGAGAAGAATTCTAATGTTCCCAACACAAAGAAAAATGTTTGAGGTGATAAATATTGCAGTTACCCTAATTTGATAATTATACATTGTATACATGTATCAAAATAGCACAGGTACCCCAAAATATGTACAACTATTATATATCAGTATTTTAAAAAATTGTTCAGGGCTCACAGGGCAGGTTTTTATAGGTGATATTATAAATGTTGTTCTGAAAAAAAGCCTGAGTAGCAGCATCTTGAAAGTTGATGGCCTGTCTTATGTATGAAATAAAATGTGACAATTCTTGTTTTATATAACAGGATTAGGATTATTCTCTATTGTTTAAAAAAATACAAGAATGCTTGAGTGTCCAAATTTTCACCAAAACCTTTTAATAAGAATTCGAATAATGTACCAGTTTTTAATCCAGGGCATTGGCCAGGTATGATGGCTCACTCTTATAATCCCAGCACTTTGGGAGGCTGAGGCAGGAGGAATGCTTGAACTCAGGAGTTTGAGACCAGCCTAGGTAACATAGTGAGACCCCATTTCAACTAAAAAAATTAAAAGTAGCCCAGCATGGGGGCACACGCCTGCAATCCTAGCTACTCAGGAGGCTCAGATGGGAGTACCCCTAGAGCCCAGGAGATCAAGGCTGCAGTGAGCTATGATCATGCCACTGCACTCTAGCCTAGATAATAGAATGAGAGAGAGAGTCTGTCTACAAAAAAAAATTAAATTTTATAAATAATAATAATCTAGGGATTTTTGTGGGTTTTGGTTTTGCTTTAAAAAAATTTAGTCTTTCAATGAGGATAGTTTAAATGGTTTGGAATTTGCTTCTAAGAACTGTAGGCAATTTGAAGGCTATGATGATCAGTTGTCTGGCACCCAGTCACAAGACCAAAGATCTTCCTATTTCTGTTATTCGTTTTCCTTTTCCTCTGTTTCTCTTTTTTTCTTCTTATTTCTCCCTCCTGTTGTTTCATCCCTTTTGTGTGTGTGTCTCTGTATGTCACATTTGTGTCTCTACCCTCTCTCTATATCTATTTCCTAGCCCCCATTTTTCTTTCTTAACTATCCACAATATATAACTAAAGTCTGTGTCATACATGTCGTACCTAATGAGTGTCACCTTGTTTTTCTCTCTTTTTTTTTTTAAATGCATATGTAGTCGCCCCCCGCCCTTATCTGTTGTTTCTCTTTCTGTGGTTTCAGTTACAGTGAACTGTAGTCCAAAACTATGAAGTGAAAAATTCCAGAAATAAACAATTCATAAGTTTTAAATTGTGCTGAGTAGCGTGATGAAATCTCACACCATCACACATGAACCATCTCTTTGTCCAGTGTATTCACATTGTATACACTACCGCTCATTAGTCACTTCGTTGCCATCTCAATTATCAGATCAACTTTTGTAGTATCTCATCACGTAGGCATTTTATCATCTCACGTCATCACAAGAAGGATGTACAATAATATCTCTTGAGAGATGAGGTCTTGCTCTGTTGCCCAGGCTGACCTTGAACCCCTGGGCTCAAGCAATCCTCCCACCTCTGCTCCCTGATTTGCAGATATTTTCTCCTGTTGGTTGTCTTTTTTACTTTCTTGGTTGTATTCTTTGAGACACGAATGTTTTTAACTTTGATGAAGTTCAGTTTATCTGCTTATTTTTTGTTACATCAGCTTATGGCGTGATATTTAAGAGGGCTTTGCCTAACCTAAGATCACAAAGATTTACTACTGTCATTTCTTCTCAGAGTTGTATAGTTTTAGGTTTTATATTTAGATCCGTGATCCATTTTGAGTTCATTTTTGTGTAGGATGTGAAAGATCCAACCCTATTATTTTTGCATGTGGATTATTCCAGTAGTCTTAGACCCACTTGTTGACCTCATTCAGTTTTTAACTGTTTTTATTAAGTATGACATACATTCAAAAGCCTCTTTAGAAGATATGTAAAGGGCATAAAGAATAACAGTAATATAGACACCTGCACACAACTTCCAATTTGAGATACAGAAAAATGAAAACTCTTCTGCTGAATTCTTCAATCTTTTCTATTCTGAATTTTATGCGTATTCTTCTCTTGCAGAATTCTCTCTATGCTTTCACCACATCTGTATATATTACCAATAATATAACATTTACTTTTAGAAATGTTATATTTCTAATTTTACAAATTTAAGTAAGCTGAGGTGGGAGGATCGCTTGAGCCCAGAGGTTCAAGGCCAGCCTGGGCAACATAGCAAGGCCCCATCTCTTACAAGATATTATATTAATATTTTACAAATTAAAAAATTACAAGATGTTGTATTTTACAAAGTAAAAAATAGTATATAAATTTTTATGACTTGCTTTCTTTTTCTGTTCAACATTATGGTATACCATAGTGATAGTACTGTCTATAGTTGTAGTTTATTCATTTTCACTGTTGTATAATATTCTATTTTTAGACTGTACCAAAACTTACTGATTCTCTTGTTGATGCACGTTTGGTTATTTCAGATTTTTTGCTATTAAAACATAAACATTCTTATACCTCTCTCCTGGTACACATGTGCAAGTATTTCTCCAGGTTGCATATATGCCTAGGAGTAGAATTGCTGAGGTATAAAGTACACACATCTTCAGTTCAACCACATAGTGCCACATTGTTTCCAAAGTGATTGATGCCAGTCTTCACTCCCCTAACTATTGCATAACATTTCTGATTGCCCCACATCCTTGCCATGCTTGATCTTTCCAGACATTTTGATTGTTGCCAGTGTATGATTTCATTGCCATAGTGTGATGACTATAAAATGTTATCTGATTTTGATTTGCAAGGTCATTTCCAAGATTACTAATGGGCTTGAGCGTCTTCTCATGTATGTATTGGTCATTGGTATTCCTTTATCTGTGACATGTTTATTCAGGTTTTTAATTACATGTTTCTATTGGTTTATCTTTTACTAGTTCTTTGTAAATTAATATGTATTACAGATATCTTCTCTTAGTATGTCTTAATTTTTATGTATTCAAATTTATTAGTCCTTTTATGTTTTATATTTTTTATGTCCTGTATCAGAAAATTCTTCCCTAAGTCAAGGTCATAATCATATTCTCCAAAGAATTTCCCACTTAAACTCTTAATCCACCTGGAATTTTTTTTTAATGTTTAATTTTCGTGGTATATAGTAGGTGTATAAATTTATGGGGTACATGAAATGTTCTGATACAGGCATGCAATGCATAATAATCACATCACAGAAAATGGGGTACTCATCCCCTCAAGCATTTATCCTATGTGTTATAAACAATCCAATTATACTTTTTAAGCTATTTTTAAATGTACAATTAAGTTATTGACTATAGTTAGCCTGTTGTGCTATCAGATAGTAGGTTTTATTCATCCTTTCTAACTGTATTGGAATTGATTATTAAGTCTTCATATCTAGTAAGACAAATCCCACACTTGATTTTTCTTCTATGAATAATTGGTTATTTTTAATCTTTGTTCTTCCATATGAATCAGTTTTTCAGGTTTCATTAAATAGATTAAGTAAATAAATTGACCAACTACAATGGTGAGAGTTTTATTGAAATTACATTGACTCCATAGATTTATTTGGTGAGAATAATGTCTTTATGATATTGAGTATTTTTATCCTAGAGCATGGTATAGCTCTGCATATTTATTTAGGTTTTCTTTAGTATCTGTTAATAAACTTTCACAATTTACTCCCTAAAGAATTGGCACCTCATTTGTTGGTTTTTTTTTTATTATACCTTAAGTTCTAGGGTACATGTGCACAATGTGCAGGTTAGTTACATATGTATACATGTGCCATGCTGGTGCACTGCACCCACTAACTCGTCATCTAGCATTAGGTATATCTCCCAATGCTATCCCTTCCCCCTCCCCCTACCCCACAGCAGTCCCCAGAGTGTGATGTTCCCCTTCCTGTGTCCATGTGTTCTCTGTGTCCATGTGTTCTCATTGTTCAATTCCCACCTACGAGTGAGAATATGTGGTGTTTGCTTTTTGTTCTTGCGATAGTTTACTGAGAATGATGATTTCCAATTTCATCCATGTCCCTACAAAGGACATGAACTCATCATTTTTTATGGTTGCATAGTATTCCATGGTGTATATGTGCCACATTTTCTTACTCCAGTCTATCATTGTTGGACATTTGGGTTGGTTCCAAGTCTTTGCTATTGTGAATAGTGCCGCAATAAACATACATGTGCATGTGTCTTTATAGCAGCATGATTTATAGTCCTTTGGCTATATACCCAGTAATAGGATGGCTGGGTCAAATGGTATTTCTAGTTCTAGATCCCTGAGGAATCACCACACTGACTTCCACCATGGTTGAACTAGTTTACAGTCCCACCAACAGTGTAAAAGTGTTCCTATTTCTCCACATCCTCTCCAGCACCTGTTGTTTCCTAACTTTTTAATGATTGCCATTCTAAGTGGTGTGAGATGGTATCTCATTGTGGTTTTGATTTGCATTTCTCTGATGGCCAGTGATGGTGAGCATTTTTTCATGTGTCTTTTGGCTGCATAAATGTCCTCTTTTGAGAAGTGTCTGTTCATGTCCTTCGCCCACTTTTTGATGGGGTTGTTTTTTTCTTGTAAATTTGTTGGAGTTCATTGTAGATTCTGGATATTAGCCCTTTGTCAGATGAGTAGGTTGCGAAAATTTTCTCCCATTTTGTAGGTTGCCTGTTCACTCTGATGGTAGTTTCTTTTGCTGTGCAGAAGCTCTTTAATTAGATCCCATTTGTCAATTTTGGCTTTTGTTGCCATTGCTTTTGGTGTTTTAGACATGAAGTCCTTGCCCATGCCTATGTCCTGAATGGTAATGCCTAGGTTTTCTTCGAGGGTTTTTATGGTTTTAGGTCTAACGTTTAAGTCTTTAATCCATCTTGAATTGATTTTTGTATAAGGTGTAAGGAAGGGATCCAGTTTCAGCTTTCTACATATGGCTAGCCAGTTTTCCCAGCACCATTTATTAAATAGGGAATCCTTTCCCCATTGCTTGTTTTTCTCAGGTTTGTCAAAGATCAGATAGTTGTAGATATGCGGCGTTATTTCTGAGGGCTCTGTTCTGTTCCATTGATCTATATCTGTGTTTTGGTACCAGTACCATGCTGTTTTGTTTACTGTAGCCTTATAGTATAGTTTGAAGTCAGGTAGTGTGATGCCTCTGGCTTTGTTCTTTTGGCTTAGGATTGACTTGGCGATGCGGGCTCTTTTTTGGTTCCATATAAACTTTAAAGTAGTTTTTTCCAATTCTGTGAAGAAACTCATTGGTAGCTTGATGGGGATGGCATTGAATCTGTAAATTACCTTGGGCAGTATGGCCATTTTCACGATATTGATTCTTCCTACCCATGAGCATGGAATATTCTTCCATTTGTTTGTATCCTCTTTTATTTCATTGAGCAGTGGTTTGTAGTTCTCCTTGAAGAGGTCCTTCACATCCCTTGTAAGTTGGATTCCTAAGTATTTTATTCTCTTTGAAGCAATTGTGAATGGGAGTTCACTCATGATTTGGCTCTCTGTTTGTCTGTTGTTGGTGTATAAGAATGCTTGTGATTTTTGTACATTGATTTTGTATCCTGAGACTTTGCTGAAGTTGCTTATCAGCTTAAGGAGATTTTGGGCTGAGACAATGGGGTTTTCTAGATATACAATCATGTCGTCTGCAAACAGGGACAATTTGACTTCCTCTTTTCCTAATTGAATACCCTTTATTTCCTTCTCCTGCCTAATTGCCCTGGGCAGCACTTCCAACACTGTGTTGAATAGGAGTGGTGAGAGAGGGCATCCCTGTCTTGTGCCAGTTTTCAAAGGGAATGCTTCCAGTTTTTGCCCATTCAGTATGATATTGGCTGTGGGTTTGTCATAGATAGCTCTTATTATTTTGAAATACGTCCCATCAATACCCAATTTATTGAGAGTTTTTAGCATGAAGGGTTGTTGAATTTTGTCAAAGGCCTTTTCTGCATCTATTGAGATAATCATGTGGTTTTTGCCTTTGGTTCTGTTTATATGCTGGATTATATTTATTGATTTGTATATATTGAACCAGCCTTGCATTCCAGGGATGAAGCCCACTTGATCATGGTGGATAAGCTTTTTGATGTGCTGCTGGATTCAGTTTGCCAGTATTTTATTGAGGATTTTTGCATCAATGTTCATCAAGGATATTGGCCTAAAATTCTCTTTTTTGGTTGTGTCTCTGCCCAGCTTTGGTATCAGGATGATGCTGGCCTCATAAAATGAGTTAGGGAGGATTCCCTCTTTTTCTATTGATTGGAATAGTTTCAGAAGGAATGGTACCTGTTCCTCGTTGTACCTCTGGTAGAATTCATCTGGCTGTGAATCCATCTGGTCCTGGACTCTTTGGTTGGTAAGCTATTGATTATTGCCACAATTTCAGATCCTGTTATTGGTCTATTCAGAGATTCAACTTCTTCCTGGTTTACTCTTGGGAGAGTGTATGTGTCAAGGAATTTATCCATTTCTTCTAGATTTTCTAGTTTATTTGCGTAGAGGTGTTGGCAGTATTCTCTGATGGTAGTTTGTATTTCTGTGGGATCGGTGGTGATATCCCCTTTATCATTTTTTATTGCGTCTATTTGATTCTTCTCTTTTTTTCTTTATTAGTCTTGCTAGCGGTCTATCAATTTTGTTGATCCTTTCAGAAAACCAGCTCCTGGATTCATTAATTTTTTGAAGGGTTTTCTGTGTCTCTATTTCCTTCAGTTCTGCTCTGATTTTAGTTATTTCTTGCCTTCTGCTAGCTTTTGAATGTGTTTCCTCTTGCTTTTCTTGTTCTTTTAATTGTGATGTTAGGGTGTCAATTTTGGATCTTTCCTGCTTTCTCTTGTGGGCATTTAGTGCTGTAAATTTCCCTCTACACACTGCTTTGAATGTGTCCCAAAGATTGTGGTATGTTGTGTCTTTCTTCTCGTTGATTTCAAAGAACATCTTTATTTCTGCCTTCATTTCGTTATGTACCCAGCAGTCATTCAGGAGCAGTTTGTTCAGTTTCCATGTAGTTGAGCGGTTTTGAGTGAGATTCCTAATCCTGAGTTCTAGTTTGATTGCACTGTGGTCTGAGAGATAGTTTGTTATAATTTCTGGTCTTTTACATTTGCTGAGGAGAGCTTTACTTCCACGTATGTGGTCAATTTTGGAATAGGTGTGGTGTGGTGCTGAAAAAAATGTATATTCTGTTGATTTGGGATGGAGAGTTCTGTAGATGTCTATTATGTCCGCTTGGTGCAGAGCTGAGTTCAATTCCTCGGTATCCTTGTTGACTCTCTGTCTCGTTGATCTGTCTAATGTTGACAGTGGGGTGTTAAAGTCTCCCATTATTAATGTGTGGGAGTCTAAGTCTCTTTGTAGGTCACTCAGGACTTGCTTTATGAATCTGGGTGCTCCAGTATTGGGTGCATATATAATTAAGATAGTTATCTCTTCTTGTTGAATTGATCCCTTTACCATTATGTAATGGCCTTCTTTGTCTCTTTTGATCTTTGTTGGTTTAAAGTCTGTTTTATCAGAGAGTAGGATTGCAACCCCTACCTTTTTTTGTTTTCCATTTGCTTGGTAGATCTTCCTCCATCCTTTTATTTTGAGCCTATGTGTGTCTCTGCACTTGAGATGGGTTTCCTGAATACAGCACACTGATGGGTCTTGACTCTTTATCCAACTTGCCAGTCTGTGTCTTTTAATTGGAGCATTTAGTCCATTTACATTTAAAGTTAATATTGTTATGTGTGAATTTGATCCTGTCATTATGATGTTAGCTGGTTATTTTGCTCGTTAGTTGATGCAGTTTCTTCCTAGTTGGCATGATTTTGCAGCGGCTGATATTGGTTGTTCCTTTCCATGTTTAGCGCTTCCTTCAGGAGCTCTTTTAGGGCAGGCCTGGTGGTGACAAAATCTCTCAGCATTTGCTTGTCTGTAAAGTATTTTATTTCTCCTTCACCTATGAAGCTTAGTTTGGCTGGATATGAAATTCTGGGTTGAAAATTCTTTTCTTTAAGAATGTTGAATATTGGCCCCGACTCTCTTCTGGCTTGTAGCGTTTCTGCCGAGAGATCCGCTGTTAGTCTGATGGGCTTCCCTTTGAGGGTAACCCGACCTTTCTCTCTGGCTGCCCTTAACATTTTTTCCTTCATTTCAACTTTGGTGAATCTGACAATTATGTGTCTTGGAGTTGCTCTTCTCGAGGATTATCTTTGTGGCGTTCTCTGTATTTCCTGAATCTGAACGTTGGCCTGCCTTGCTAGATTGGGGAAGTTCTCCTGGATAATATCCTGCAGAGTGTTTTCCAACTTGGTTCCATTCTCCCCGTCACTTTCAGGTACACCAATCAGACGTAGATTTGGTCTTTTCACATAGTCCCATATTTCTTGGAGGCTTTGCTCGTTTCTTTTTATTCTTTTTTCTGTAAACTTCCCTTCTTACTTCATTTCATTCATTTCATCTTCCATCGCTGATACCCTTTCTTCCAGTTGATCACATCGGCTCCTGAGGCTTCTGCATTCTTCACGTAGTTCTCGAGCCTTGGTTTTCAGCTCCATCAGCTCCTTTAAGCACTTCTCTGTATTGGTTATTCTAGTTATACATTCTTCTAAATTTTTTTCAAAGTTTTCAACTTCTTTGCCTTTGGTTTGAATGTCCTCCGTAGCTTGGAGTAATTTGATCATCTGAAGCCTTCTTCTCTCAGCTCGTCAAAGTCATTCTCCGTCCAGCTTTGTTCCATTGCTGGTGAGGAACTGCGTTCCTTTGGAGGAGGAGAGGTGCTCGCTTTTTAGAGTTTCCAGTTTTTCTGCTCTGTTTTTTCCCCATCTTTGTGGTTTTATCTACTTTTGGTCTTTGATGATGGTGATGTACAGATGGGTTTTTGGTGTGGATGTCCTTTCTGTTTGTTAGTTTTCCTTCTAACAGACAGGACCCTCAGCTGCAGGTCTGTTGGAGTACCCGGCCGTGTGAGGTGTCAGTGTGCCCCTGCTGGGGGGTGCCTCCCAGTTAGGCTGCTCGGGGGTCAGGGGTCAGGGACCCACTTGAGGAGGCAGTCTGCCTGTTCTCAGATCTCCAGCTGGGTGCTGGGAGAACCACTGCTCTCTTCAAAGCTGTCAGACAGGGACATTTAAGTCTGCAGAGGTTACTGCTGTCTTTTTGTTGTCTGTGCCCTGCCCCCAGAGGTGGAGCCTACAGAGGCAGGCAGGCCTCCTTGAGCTGTGGTGGGCTCCACCCGGTTGGAGCTTCCCGGCTGCTTTGTTTACCTAAGCAAGCCTGGGCAATGGTGGGCGCCCCTTCCCCAGCCTCGTTGCCGCCTTGCAGTTTGATCTCAGACTGCTGTGCTAGCAATCAGCGAGACTCCGTGGGCGTAGGGCCCTCCGAGCCAGGTGCGGGATATAATCTCCTGGTGCGCTATTTTTTAAGCCCGTCGGAAAAGTGCGGTATTCAGGTGGGAGTGACCCGATTTTCCAGGTGCCGTCTGTCACCCCTTTCTTTGACTAGGAAACGGAACTCCCTGACCCCTTGTGCTTCCCAAGTGAGGCAGTGCCTCGCCCTGCTTTGGCTCGTGCACGGTGCACGCACCCACTGACCTATGCCCACTGTCTGGCACTCCCTAGTGAGATGAACCCGGTACCTCAGATGGAAATGCAGAAATCACCCGTCTTCTGCGTCGCTCACGCTGGGAGCCATAGACCAGAGCTGTTCCTATTCGGCCATCTTGGCTCCTCCCTCCATTTGTTGGATTTATTCCTAGTTGCCTTATATTTTTTGCTATTAATATTATTATCATTTTACAATTAATTTTCTGTTCAGGGCTGCTATATAGAAATGAAGTTGATTCTTGAGTATTGATTTTGTACCTAACAAATTATCTGTAAATACTTTTGGGTTTTCTATAAATACAATCATCTTATCTTTTTGTCTCTTTCCACTTGTTATATCATTTCTTTCTTTTTCTTTTCTCACTGCACTGACTGCAACCCCCACTAACCAGTACCTAATAGAAATGGTGATAGCTAGTATCGTCATCCTGTTTGTGATCATTAAGGTATTGCTTTTTAATATTTAACAAGTATGATACTTGCTTTATCTTTTTTATAGGGGGTGATGTTTGTTTTGGTGGATTCCCTTTGCTTCAGATCAGAGATGTTTCCTTCCTTTTTTATTTTGTTTCAACTTCAAGTAAATAGTAAGTTTTGTTAGACTTTTTTTTTTTTTAGAGACAGGGTCTTGCTGTGTTGCCCCAGGTAGAGTGCAGTGGCATGATCATGGCTCACTGAAGTTTTGAACTGCTGGACACAAGTGATCCACCTCAACTTCCCAAAGTGCTGAAACTATAGGTGTATACCACAACACCCAGCTAATTTTTTTTTTTTTTTTTTTTTTTTTTTTTTTTTTTTTTGTTGAGACAGGGTCTGACCAGGTTGGTCTTGAAATCGTGGACTCAGGCAGTCCTCCTGCCTCTGCTTCGCAAAGTGAGGATTATAGGCATGGGCCATCACACCCAGCTGACTTTAGTTTTTTTAGTTTAATTTTTCTCTTTTAATCCCAAAATGTTATTAATTATATTAATATATCTTCTGTGTTAAACTAAATTTGAGGTCCTAGAATAAACCAAACATGGTTATGGTGTATTATCTATTTTTATACAATTTGATTTCATTTATTTTTATATAAATTATGCATATGTACGTAAGTGCGTGCGTGTGTGTGTGTGTGTGTGTGTGTGTGTGTGTATATATATATATATATATATATTTTTTTTTTTTTTTTTTTTACTCCCATACCCTTTTTGCATCTGCATTCATGATTTGCTTCTGTGACCTTTTTTGGTACTGTTCTTGACTGGGTTTTAAAAAGCAAGATTGTGCTAGCCTAGTAAAATGAATTAGGAAGTCAGTTTGTGTAACATCAAAATTATTTTTTCCTTGAACGTTTGATAGAACTTTTCTGTAAATCTTCTGAGTATAGTGTTTATAAAAGATTTTTTTTTTTGTCAAATGATTCAATTTCTTTATGGGTTAAAGGACTACTATAACTCTTCATTTTGGGTCATAGATTTTCTTTTAACTTCCTGTGATCTCAACAATACATTTAATTTGATTTTTAAAAATATTTAATATTCTTGTTATGGAAGTATCATTTAGAAGTACCGGTAGAAGTATCATTTAATTTATCATATATCCATATCCTCCATAATCTGGGAAACAGAAGTCTTCATTTAACCACCATCCCTCTCCAATTTTACTTAACGTCATTCCATTAAAACTGCTTTTGTCAAAATCACCAATACTCTCTAATTTTCCAAATCTAGTATAATTTTTCTAATCACATGCAAACTCTGAGCAGCATTTAACTCAACCGACCACACTATTCTTCTGGAAACACCCTCTTTTTCAGTTTATATAACATAGTACTGAATCTGGTTTTTCTACCAGCGTGACCATTCTGTCTCCTTTTCTTCTTCTTGATTTCCAAGTGTTGTTTACAGGAACTCAGTCTTTTTCTTTTCTATCTCAGGTGAATTTATCATTTTTCACTAGTGTGAATATGTATACTTATTACTTCCAAATTTTTATCTGAAGTACAGGCTCTCTCTTCCGAACTCCAGACTTGAAGACTTTTTTTTTGTTTTAACATATAGTCATCTCAAAGTTATCATCTTCAAAACTGAACTCAACTACACCCATTCAGGTCTTTCTCGTTGTAATGAATGAACCATCATTTATCTGGTTGCTTGATCCAGAAAGTTGGAAATCAGCCTTTATTTTCATAATTCTTTTACCTTCCACAAATTTTTGTTAATTCTACATCCCAAATATCTTTATCTCCTGTGCTAACCCTGGTCTGGGTGTTCACCATTTCTTGCCCGGACTTCTGTAATAGCCTCACAAGTAACTGGTTTCTTTACTCTCTTACATTAGAGTGACCAGCGGTTTCTCTACTCTCTCGTATTAGAGAGTGACCAGTGTTTTCTTTACTATCTCTTGTGCTAGAAAGGGACCAGTGGCTAGTTCAGACTGAGTGCTCTGGGAAGGTCTCCCTAAGGAGCTGACATTTAAGCTAAAATCTGAATAACAAGGAGGGACTTGCCACCCAAAGAGCATTCTAGATGGAGGAAACACCTTCTGTAAAGATTATAAGCTAAAAAATAAATTTCAAATGCTTAAGAACCCTGAAGAAGGCCAGTTTGGCAAGGGGTAGAGATTTGGTTAAAGAGTTTAGCAGGAGCCAGATTATACCAGCCTTCGTAAGTAAGAGCATAAAATGTAAACTTTATTCTAAATGAGTTAAGAGGCCAATTAAAAGTGATGCTTTGAATTTAAGGGGTGAGAGAGAAGAATTGAAGATGTGGCATATGAGTCTAAAGTTTGGGAAAGATGTTAAGGCTAGAGCTAAAGATTTGAGGGTCACCAGCCTACAAATGGTGTTTATAACTATATGTTACCTAGAGAGAGAATATAGATAAAGAAGAGAAAGGAGCCTACATTGAGCCTTGGAGTACTCTAATGTTAGAGGTGCCAGTAGAGAAAAATGAGGAATTGTGACCAGTGAGGAAAAGGAAAACCAGAAGTGTATGATGTCATGGAAGCCAAATGAAAAAAAAGTTTCAGGAATGAAGAAGTGGTCACTTCTGTTGAATGACGGACTGGAGAAGAAATAGAAATAGAATCCTTCTATTAAGGTCAGCCTTGAGTAGTTTCAAGGACAGTCAAAGGTAGTTTTTAAATACTCTCTAGAAATTCTTATGAGAGGTAAACAAGTATCTTCCACTTTTCCAAATTTAATTTGGAAAATTAAATTGGCCCATTCTATTTTGTAGCAGAATTTCAGAGTGGTTGATAACCTTTTGGACAAGATCAGGTTTTCTTAAAGCTTACAGCTTCACAGTGTCTCTGACTAGACAGACACAAAGAAATAAATATGTTCTCCTAGCAATCAGCACATGGAGGAACAATTAAACTTGTCTTATTTAGAAGAATCCTTCTTGTAGTCATCACTTTTGAACAGACTATTTGCAGTCAGAGATTATTTAAGGTAGTACTTGGCTTTTTGAATGTGTTTACTATAGAAGACTTTGAGAAATGGGCAGCAAAGAGACACTGAAAATTATCTTTTAAATCCATTTCCTGAGTATTTGGGTCAAATGACTTTCTGATGTGTTGGACAGTAATTGATTCCAGGGAATTGTTTTTACTGTCTGCCTAATCACTGTCTTATTGCTTCTGGAATATTGACCTCCTATGTCCATCTGGCTGACAGGATCAAGCCCTGAGTCAGCCTGTAAAAACTCTTCTTGAAATGTTTCAAATTAATTGTGGATTTGCAGTGGTTTCATTTTCAAAGGTTTATGTTTATTGCTAACATTGTTATGTGATAGTTTTGTGATTATTAAATGAGTTTAAGTAGACCTAGAAGTGTGTTATGCATGTCTATGTATGTGGGTATATATAAAATTTTTATTTATAATCAGTCTTAGTCTTCATGGGTTGGAATTTTATTCCCATATTTTTTGCTTGGATTGAAATGGCATGCTTATCTAACATAACTAGAATTCCCTGGTTATTCCCTGGTTATGTAGTTACAGATACTACAAACTGGTAAACATACCTAAGAGGTTTGCAGATTTCTCCATCTGTATGGATTAATACATTTTCTGCCCAAATTTTGAGACATAACAGAATGATTGCCACTACCATCTCTCCATTCCCGAAGATCACATATTTTTAGAAGACTAGTCACCTATTGGTGGTAGTTAATGTTATGACTCCATAAGAATTAAAATAAGTGAAATATTAATAGATTGCTTAGAAATTATGTTGTTATGGTTAGAGATTATGCCCTAGAGCCACTGTCATCCCACGCTAGTCACCAGCAGATCTCCATGTGAAGTTCAAGACTGTTGTACATGTTCTATTTGTTGTCTCTTTACTCTCCTTCCTTCTACTGCCCACATCTTCGGAACCCCTTGTCCTGCCTTATCCCCAGGGTTTAGCACCCACACAATCCTGATCTTTCCATTAGTTCCTCATCCTCTGGATTTTTCATTTGTCCAAGTTTTTCAATGTTGCAGGGCCCTGTTTTCTTCTATGAAATAACAAACTCACCTCTGCTGAAATGCCACCTCTGCCCAGAGATCATATTTGCACTTTAGTATACACCATATCTTTACTCAAAAAAAGGATGTAAATTTAATGGGAAGACTTGCCTAAGATTATATCATTAGTTGTGAAGCTAGAACTTAGAGCACTAATATTCACAGTCACTTACTTCACTTGTAAATAGAGCTGGAGTTGCCTTATTATATTGCAATTTTATGACTTAAAGCATTGTATTTGTCATGAAAAAACACTTAGTAAAAACAAATTAATGGTTAATAATAATATTGTTCCTATAGCTGATTTCCTTCAAAGGTGCTGAGGAATGGGCTAAAATATATAATCTCACTTCCCATTTGTTAATTCCTTTATTTATTTGTTTATGCTATGCTTCCTATATCTGAATGGCTCTATATATGTCTCAGTTTAATCTAGCAAATGTGGGGACTAGAATGATTTGCTTTATTGATATGATAATGTATTAGAATTACATTAAAATATAGAAACTTTTCTCTGTTTTTATAAAGGGTAGGATCGTTATTGATTGAGATTTCCAGCTGAAAAGTTTGCTACTCTTTTTTTTCTTGAAGTAGAATTTTTTAAATGAAATAATTAAGCTGTCTCACCAGAATATTTTAATTGAAAAAATTAGCTTTGCATAGAATTCATAGGTCTTATTATCATATAATTTTCATAACATTGTGAAGATTTCAGTCTTCTCCAAAATAAGCAGCAATAAATAATAATCATATATATTCCTTGATACAGCTTGGCCAACTGTATTTCAACATACAAAAACACACAAGGCCTACTTTACTTTTTTTTTCTCCCCTTTGAGACAGGTTTCACTCTGTCATCCTGGCTAGAATGCAGTGGCACAATCACGGCTCACTGCAGCCTTGAATTCCTGGGCTCAAGTGATTCTTCCACCACAGCCTTCCAAACACTAAGATTACAGGCATGAGCCGCTGCATCCAGCTGTACCCTACTTTCATGATAAAGATAATATGGCATTTAGGGCTTGTCTTGATTAAAAGCCAAGAATATTATTTGCATTTCTTTGAAAGAAAAAGCTGAATTGAGGATAAAGTAGCGTCAAAATGACGACCAAATGGAAAGGAGATTATAATTGCAGATTTCAGAACACAGTTTAGTATACTTATGTATATTACTTCTTAAATAATGGTTTGAGGAGTGCAGATTATTCATCCATTTGATTTGAGATCTCTCCATGCTTCATTTTTTTTCCCTGGACAGTTAGAATTTTCCCTCATGGTTCAGACTCTTAAATATATATGCTCACCCTAAGTTCTTTAAAGTCCCTGAAAAGTTGCCTTCTCTATTAGTCATTCATTCTTTATTCTCCTTTTTGATTTTTCTGTCATCAGTGACACCTGAATACATTTTCCAGCCTACACTCATTGACCAAAAAAGAAAAAACTTGGCATCAACATTGTTTTTAGTCATTTAGACCATTATGTCCTTATGTGGCAACTACTTTATAAAGTAACATGAACATGACTCAACTTTTGGCTCTAAAATCAGAAGAAATAAAGATTTGCAATAGCAGTATCTATTTGTGAGCAATAACATTTTTATAAATTGATCCATTTCCAGACACTATTTTTAAAGTTGGTTTAAGTGATAGGCATTTTTTAAGTGTTGTACCTAGCAAACTATGAAAAGTCTCTTATTAATCATTTGTATTTCAACTTATTTCTGAACTTAAATCTTATTATATATAATACTTTGCATCCTAATGCTAAATCTCAACATAAAGTAGTAGGAGCAGAGTTTCTACTCAGAATCAGTTTTACATGAAATGAAAACAACCTTGAATAATTAAAGCAATTTTTAAAAAGAAAAGTTAGATGTCTATACTCCCTGTTTTAAGACTTACTGTATAAAATTACAGTAATCAAGACTATATATTACTATAGGGATAGACATATGAGGGAACTTTTAAAAGTTCATGGAAATTGAATTAAAAGATAAAAAATATAAACCTTATCTCTCAATGGAAGCTCCATCAAGGTCTAGACACTTTTGTAAGCAATGATACCAGCCATTTAGTTCAACCCTAAAACACTGAGGGTCCTAGGAATTTAACTATGTTAATGAAGTCTTTTTTACATTATTAACTGAAGACGAATGGGTGCCTTTTAAGATTTTTTATGATTAGGAAACAAAAAGAAGTCAGAAGGAGCCAAATCAGGGCAGTAATGTGGATGCCTAATGATTTCCCATCAAAACTCTCACAAAATTGCCCATGTTTGATGAGAGGAATGAGCAGGAGCATGGTCATAGTGGGGAAGGACTCTCTGGTGAAGCTTTCCCAGACATTTTCCTGCTAAAGCTTTGGCCAATTTTCTTAAAGTATTCTCAATAAGTATTGTTCTTTGGCCCTCCAGAAAGCTAACAAGAAAATGCCTTGAGCATCCCAAAAACGTGTTGCCATGACCTTTGCTCTTCACCAGTCTGCTTTTGATTAGACTGGACCACTTCCTCCTGGTTGCCATTGCTTTGATTGTGCTTTGTCTTCAGCATCATACTGGCAAAGCCATGTTTCACCTCTGTTACAATTCTTTGAAGAATTTCATCTCACCTGTTAGTAATTTTCATTGAAATCTCTGCTCTTGTCTGCAGCTCATCTGGGCACAACATTTTTGGCACCCATCAATTGGAAAGTTTGCTTAACTTTAATTTTTCAGTCAGAATTACATAAGCTAAACCAATTGAATTGTGGTTTAGGCTGTGGTGTTGGCTATTTGTGTTGTTAATTATCAGTCCTCTTCAATTAGGGCACAATTAAGATGAATTTTTTCCTTGCGAATTTATGTGCCTGGTCTGCTGCTGCAGGCTTCACCTTCAATATCATCTCATCCCTTCTTAAAACGATTTGTAAGCTGCTGATTTC
This sequence comes from Homo sapiens, assembly GCF_000001405.40. Taxonomy (NCBI): domain Eukaryota; kingdom Metazoa; phylum Chordata; class Mammalia; order Primates; family Hominidae; genus Homo; species Homo sapiens. The sequence continues at coordinate 158,524,408 of NC_000003.12, forward strand.
TTTGGGGCATTGTCCACATAAACTTATCATAAGGCATCAATGATTTCACCATTCTTTCACCCAAGCTTCATTATAAATTTAATGTTTGTTCTTGCTTCAATCTTTGCAGAATTCATATTCTGATAAGGATTCTTTTCAAACTGATGTCTTACCCTTCTTAGTCCCTCAAACTAGATCCTGTTCAGACATGTTATGACGAGTTAATTCAAGTTTATTTTGGTGCAGACAAAATTGAAATCCATACCGTTTTTCTATAATGTACATTTTCCATGAACTTTTTAAGACCCCTTATATAGAACAATGGAGCAGGGTAGAGAGACCTTGCTCAACCCTCATGTATATGATCAATTAATTTTCAACAAAACTACCAAGGCAATTCAATTGGGAAAGGAAAGTCTTTCAACAAATGCGACTGAAAAAACTGGATATTCTTACTGAGGAAAAGAAACATTGACCCTTACCTCACATCATACATAAGAATTAGCTTTAGTTTCACAGCAGAAAAATGCGGGACCCATAAGAATTAGCTTGAAATGTATTATAAACCTAATTATAAAAGCTAAAACTATAGAACTTCTAGAAGAAAATTTTTGCAGCCTTGAGTATGCAAAGATTTTTTGGATAAGACACAAAAAGCACAAACCATTTTTTAAAATGATAGATTATACTTCCTTAAACTTAAAAAGTTTTATTCTTTGAAAGATACCATTAAGAAACAAAAAGGCAAGTCATAGAATGGAAGCAAATATTAGCAATATGTATTAACAAAGGACTTCAATTCCGTATATATAAAGAACTCATAACTCAATAAGACAAACAACCAATTAAACAATGAAGAAAAGATTTCAACAGATCATTCAGAAAAGAAAGGATGGCCAATAATCTTATGAAGAAAATGCTGAATATCATTAGTCATCAGAGAAATGCAAATTAAAACAGCAGTGAAATACATTACACCAATTAGAATGGCTGTGAGTTAAAAATCTGATAACGCCAACTGTTGATGAAGATGTAGAGCACCAGTACTCTTCTACACTGCTGTTGGGAACATAAAATGGTATAACCACTTTGGAAATCAGTTTGGCAGTGTCTTACAAAGTTAAACATATGTCTACCATACAACCCAACTATTTCAGTACTAGGGCAGTATTTACTATCCAAGAGAAATAAAAACATGTTCACACAAAGAGTTGTACATGAATGTTATAGCAACCTTATTCTCAAAAGCCAGAACCTGGAAACAACCCAAATGTTCATCTGCAGGTGAATAGATTTTAAAAATTGCAGATATTCATATAATAGAATTCTACTAGCATTACCACAGATGTACCCAACAACATGGATTTATCTCAGAAACGTTATGCTGAGTGAAAGACATCAGATATAAAAGAGTATGCAATTTATATGGAAGTCTAGAAAATGCAGACTAATCTAAAGTGGCAGGAAGCAGATCTGTGGTTGTCTGGGGGTCAGGGTAGAGATAGAAATTGACTACAGAGAGACACAAGAAAATTCTTGGTAACAATGGACATGTTCTATATATTGATTGTTGTAGTGGTAACACAGAATTAACATGTACCAAAACTCACCAAATTGTATGCTTTGATAGGCACAGTTATAGATAAATTATACTTCAGTAAAGCTAATATTGTAAGTGCAATTTGAAGTATTTGGTGGTTTCTTTAAACCTTATGATTTTATATGATGCACTTCATTATTGATATAGCAAAATACTCTGCTTTTAGAAAAGAGAAATTAACATCATCTCACATCTTCTACCATCCTCCCTACCCCACCTCTGTTTAAAGGATCAAAGTTGTACATAAAATTGATAAAATAAGCACGTAAAATCATAACTATTAATCATGTAAGGTTATCAAAGATTGAAAGGCTACAGAGCAGCCTAGTGCAATGGGAAGCGTAGAGGATGTTTGAAGTACTAAGACTTGGTTTCATATCCAAAATCTAGCTCTAATAGTATATCTTAAACTTAGAAATGAGTATATTACGTATTACCAAAAATTAGGATCAAGTGAAACATGCTAAGGCACTTGCAAACACAACAAATCCCTGTTCCTACCCACTGTATAGTCAGATCTTAACTGCTTGCAGATAAAAGTTCTAAATAAGAATTAGTTTGATTTGCCAATGAACTCTGAGAGAGCAACTGGAAATCTCAACCAGAAATCTCCAACACCTAGCCTAGCACCTGGCATAAATACATGTTAACTAAATTAATTTCCTATTTCTGAACCCCAGTGTTTTTATTGGCTCTGTTCAGAGAAATTAAGGCACATGGGGCCATAGACTATTTTCTCTAAGCTTATGAGCCGAAACATAATATGCTTACAAGAAGAGACATTAGAACTCATAACTTTATACTGACTAATGTTCAAATACAATTATGTTAGGTATCCATTTGCTTCTGACATCACAAAAGAACAGATCACAAAAGACTTGGACTTAAGCTGTCTGCTTTTCCTTGCATAATAAGTCCCCTGGTTCAGGGAATCCAGTCATTATAGAATTTAGCCTAACTGCTTCTAATCCATGTAGGACTTTTTATTAAAGATGAAAACTAGTAAAGAATTAACCATGAGAGGAAATAAAAGATTAATTCAAGTCAGTCATCACCGTATCTATATCTTAAGAAGTTAATAGTTCAAAATCTTTTTTTTTTTTTTTTTTTTTTTACTGGTAGAAGACTTCTGAATATACTCGCCGCTTCTGAATATACTCCCAGCCCCATGGTGTTAGGGGTAGGTTGCAACTATGTAACTCCAAGCTGACTGGGCTGGCACCAACATCATCAGCACTGCTAACATCTTCCAGCAAGTTTTAGTTCATTAATCTTAATGCCATACATGTACCCTTTCTCTAGCTAGTGGGTGGCCAGACATAAAAACTTGCAAACAGAGGCAAAGACATTAATGGGATGATGCAAGAAGAGAGTTGGAGATTTTTTTTTAAATCTCCTTTGCACATAGGAGTGACCCTAATCAATGCTTTTTGGTGAATATAAGCAGAATACATCTTGTTGCCTTCTCTAGAATAGAGAACTAAGTAGATATGTTGCCTCTGGGTTCAATATTTATTTCTGGAAACTCTTTTCATTTTACTACCATCCTCTAATAAACCAATACATCCACTTTGTAAAATATAAGACTCTGGAGTTATTATATGTGCTTATAAAAACACACCTTTAGATAAGTGGTTTTTCCAATCTTCTGATACTCCTCATTTCCTTCTCATTGATTTTCAAGTTTCAACACAATTTTTTAAAAATAAGGATTTAAACATGAGACAGTAAACCTGGGTAAAGAACTAAGGGGTTTTGAAATTCAAAGTTATTATTTCTGTTTTTAGTAGCTGTTCCACCCTTGCAAATATGTATAATAATTAGCCACAATTAATATTCCTCTTTTCCCTAATTCATTATAAAAAGTATAACTTCTATACAATAATGCATTACATTTTTATCATGAGAAATCATAACAATATCTTTATATTTGAACCTGAACTTCAATATGAATTTGTGAGATTTTTTATATTAATGTGTGTATTTTGTAATGTATGTGGTATGTGTATATATATGTTTATTTTAGACACATTTGACTACATTTATATATTCATAGAGATTTACATAGAGGCATTAAAAAAACAGGCATAGTCAGTCATGGATGTTCATTATATATAAAGGTTATTGGGGATGCAAAGATATAAAAGATAGAAGAACCTAGTAATTGCCTTTAAGATCAGAGCACAAAGCATTAGTTTGGATTTTACAAGGCCAGCCAGCAACAAAAGAGCAGTAATTTATGAGCTCAGCGTAAAAGAATAGCATAATTGCATTAAAAATTAATGCTAATGAACACTAAAATGGGGAAGGTGGTTATGATGAAAGTTTGTATTCATCTTTCCTGGTTTGAATGATGGCTAGTGGCTTGATTAATGGCTTAATTTCTATCAATTAGCGGGGAAAAATCTCCTGCGAGACAAGGGTAAATTGAGCATTGAATTACATATCTTGCTTTTGTGTGCTAAGAAAAAAGAGCTGCGTATCTCTGATATTAGCCACAGTGACAAATGTGGTGTGCCCTGCGATGTCTGCATTAGCTCTCCTGACAGGCGAGTTGTGTGTGGTTATGGGGTGTTTAGAGATGGCTGGCAGACAGCATTCACTGCAAGTTCCTTAGAAACATACAACTCTTCCATCTACAGAATTTTAATTAGAGTCGATAAGGATTCTAGAATTAAAATGGACAGCAAACAGCAACTGCAGAATCTGTATTCTGACCTATTAATCTGGTATACATCAAATTATATTCCTTTTTCCTACCCTATTAAAATAAGAAAACTTCCAGTAGCTTTAGTTTTGTTGGGATTATGAATTCTTACCACTCTATTAAAGTGGATTTGACTATCAATGTTGATTACATTTGCAATAAGCATAAGGCAGTAGTCTATATTTTGGGACTATGTAGTGGTTGTTGGTTTAACCAAATTCATGGAAACCATTCTTGTTTTTTGTAACAATTGCTGAACAGTAAATAAAGAGCAGCTTAAAGTGACAATTTCCTACTTAGGTTGTTTGCAGGCTTAAGGGAAAAAAATGCTAGGTTTTTAGAAACTTTTTAAATTCATTTACAAAGGTTTTCTAGATGTGATATATATATATATCCCTTTAAAAATTTCAAATGTGAAAGATTCTGAAAATGCACATCTGTAATCTAGTTCAAGATAATGCCAGAAGAGTAAGATATTATATAAAATATATATATTTTATGTATATATGTATGTGTGTGTGTATATATATATATATATATATCCTACAAATAAAGCTACACTGTATTTTACTGAATGAGTAAGCATTAAAATGCAGAATAAGGACAATATCAAGAATATTTATTACTTATTATAAATGGATGGAGTGGGGAAAAAATAAATTGTTGCTTGGCAGGAGTGGGTAAAGAATTCATTTGACTGGAAGATGACTAGTCACAATTCAGGGGTTGAATCCCAGTTGTACCACCAACTAGCCATGTGGCTGTCACCAAGTTATTTATTAGCCTCAGTTTCTCATCTTTACAATGAGGGTAACAGTATTATTCCTCATGGTCATGATATTTAAATGAGGTAATCCATGTGAAGTGCTCAGCGCAGAGTGCCTTAAATTTCTATTGCTGTTACTATTACTTACTTCTGCTACCAGAACAGCTCATCTGGCCTTCTAAACAATGACTTAAATGAAAAATTCATTTCTATGACTTTCCCCACTGGAAAGGTATTACATATATCGATGATGAAAACAAAAATTTCCGTGGACATATATACACCAGAACAAAATATGTTTGCTTTAAAACATGGTTTCTACCGCCTAACTGTCATTTTGGGTAGTTTGTGTTATAAGACATCCATTAGGAAGTGACAAGATCTCCCATCTCTTTAGTCACTGAAGCCTGGGTAACCATATGTCAGCAAAATACCACTTTCCTATTCAACCCAGAGCATTCAGTGAATCATGGTAGACTCCAGTGCCTTGGTGGGTGGTAAAATTCAGCTGGGCCTTTTGTGCCTTCTCATAGATGTGCACAGGCCTGTCCTCCACTGCTTCCACTCCTTCTCTCCTCCTCCTATCATTTCCACATCCTGGCACACCACAGGTTTACCAGAAGATGTATGAGCTAAAGCCATTTTCTACTTGCCTGAACTCAAGAATATTGCCAGCTTATTATAAACCATACTGTCAGAAATATACAGATTTATATAAGAATTGTTTAGCCAACTTCCGTGTCTTTAGTACTGTTACTAAATTAGCACTTTTGTTTATGCTGTGCTTCCTGTATCTGCTACCATTTCTTAAGTGCTTTTAATGCTTCCCTATCGCTGTGTGGAGCACAGGTTATCATCTCCCAGATTTTTGTGGCTTGCTTTTTCACATCATTTTTGCCTTCTGAAATACCACCATGTCAGAGAGTTCTTCTCTGGTTACCCCATCTGAAATAGTTTCCTTTCCTCCTTTCTAGCCCTCTAGCCTGCTCTATTTTCCTTGATATTATATTATTTACTTGTTTATTATTTGTCTCCCTCATTAAAACATAAGCTCATGAAGGAAGAAACTCTCATTCATTTCCAAGTCCTACTATGTGGAACAATGCCTGGTACATTGAATGTGCTCACTTATTTGAAAAGAGAGGGATGGAGGGAGGGAGGGAAGATGTGGGGGGGAAATCTCTCAACCACCCTATGATGTTTAGGCTATTACTATCTCCATGCCATAGATGAGAAAATGGAGACCAACACTCTTGAACCACTTGCCCAAAGCCACACAGCTGGTACATAGCAGAGACAGGGTTTAACCCAGATAGCCCAAACCCAGAGCCCTTAAAACTCACCACTGAGGGTGCAGCGCACCAGCATGGCACGTGTATACATATGTAACTAACCTGCACAATGTGCACATGTACCCTAAAACTTAGAGTATAATAAAAAAAAAAATAATAAATAAAAAAAAAAAGAAACTTAAAAAAAAAAAAAAAACTCACCACTGAAAGACATTTAATTTTTTAAGTTACAAAAACTTTTTATAATTTGACATTTTCTTCCATGAAGTTTTATTTTTTAATGGTAACTTTACTGCCCTTTAAATTTCAGTTATTCAACAAATGTTTATTGACTGCTTACTAGATAATAAAGCACACTCCACTAAGTTCTGGAGGTGACACAAAGAGGTATGTCCCCTCTAGCTGGGGAGAAGAAGCTTTCACTCAAGAAGAGATTTGCAAGGCAGCATATGCTAAAAGCCAAATGAATTATGCAAGAGGCCCTTTTACTCACAGGTGGCAAGGTGTGGCATCATCACAAAGTGGACATCAGGCATGGCCTTAAATGACAGGGAGGATTAAGAGAAGGTGAGAGCATTCCAGGTGAGAAGAGTTGAATGAGACATTTAGTGTGGATTTTGTTTTTAATAAAGCTTAGCCTGATGCCCAGTTCACTTTCACTTATTGAAATATTTAACAAATTCTTCTTCATTGATACAGTCACATTAACATTATTCCTATTACTTAATCTGATATAGTAAGCAGTTTAAGGTGAGTTTGTCTTGGATCCCGTCCAAAGTGGAGTTCCTTTCAGACACTTCAGGAGCCTCGTCCGCATATGTAACATGGTCCTGTAGCATAAGCTTCCCAGAAGACTAATAGAAAAGCCCTATTCCACTTAAGGAGTTTTCTCATCTTTTAAATTATTTGTGTATATCAGTTCTGGAAATTTGTTCTCGGTGATATTGGTCTCGAACAACCTCAAAATGTTGGAGTTGGATAGATTTATAATGCTTGCCTTGTATGTGTTTTAAAAGAAACATTTAAAATGTACTGTTTTGAAAGGGAAAACAATTGGATGTGCTCACTTATTTGAAACCTGTGTTCATGAGAAATTTAAAACTTTAGAATTCCAATTAAGCTTTATGAGATGTTTTGTCCACAAATTTTATTGAATAGCCAGCTTTACCATACAAACATATTGTTGTTTGCTTTTTTGTTGTTCTTGTAAAGCACTTAAAAATACTTTACATTTCAAAGTTTTTTATTATCTGTCTTGTAACATAAGAAGGAATTTTTTTAATGTTTTTATTGTTGACTATAATTTGAGCTAATTTAATATGAAAATAAGATAATCTTTTGTATTATTTATGTATTTGTAGCAATATTATTAGTATATATTTTTTTCCTGGAATAGTAACATAAGTAACTCAGTAACTGTGGGGCCAACTGACCCAAATTTTTTGTAACATAAAATGCATCTTTGGGAAAATTCATAAAATATTAGTATTTAAAAGGAGTCAGTTGAAGTTGCTGGTTGTTACTTGTCATGATCACATCTGGGGCAATAGTGCCATCTTCAGTTCTCAGCCTGGCATTGTTATTAGAGGAGATTGGTTTATGTTTGTAATCTACAAATGCAGTATGAAAAGACTAAAATTTTCTTTTCAAATGAAAGATTGATATGGACCTTGTCATCTTTATTTACTAGTTTTAAAATTTGTATAACATTTGGTATTTTAAAAGAAAACTCTGTGTTATAAAATGTGAAATTGTCAAATATAACTTGAAGAAGCAGGAGAGCCTAATTTTTATACTATAAACATCAACAGTAACTAATACAATTTTTTAAAAATTTTTCATCACAAAAGGAAAGTGATTTTCTATACTTTGAGTTAAGTATTGATTATTGTGGTCTGTAATGACTTGGCTTTCTGAGTCTATTATTTTTTATTTTACTATGAAGTATATATCCCTTCCATTAACATCTAGCAGAAAACATTTTATTTACAAATAATATGTTTATTAAAAAATCATCAAGTACTAATGGTGTGTTTCCTTCATGTTTACCATGTAAATGTTTTAAAACATCCCATATTAATTCTCCCAGTAACTTTGTTACTTGTCTTTAATTTTACTTCATGGCTAATGAATACAAGATACTGTGTGTGTTGGGCATTTATGCAGCACATATAAACCATAACTCATTTTAAATCACATTTTCCCAATCTTAAAATTGGCACAAAATTGTTAAATGACAAATTGACATGAAAAACTTAAGAAACTGAATTTAAAACAACGTAATATATATTATTGATATGTTTTATTCTGCTTCCCAAAGTGACAGGGTTATACTCAAGACATACATTTGTGGTCACTGACATGAGAATTTTGAGTAAGAAGCAATTTAAAACATTTTTATGTCTATTTTCATACAATAGAGCTGAGGTACTGTAAAGCTGAAAATGTAAATCTCCTGTGAATCTTTCAAATTTTAATTTAACATGCGTTTACAACCAGTAAAATGATTCCCACATTGAAACAAAAAAGCTATGTTGGTGTATTTTCATATTGTGAGTAAGGCAAACTGGCTTTCTCCTATCTGCTCTGTCACTTTGTTAGTTCTGAAGTGATCTTTAAAGAAACACAAAGATAATGATGTTTTTCTGTAATCTTTCTCCTTCTTTCCTTTATAATTTTTCCAATGCTATTTTGTTAAGCATTGGTTTTGGCAAGCCTCTATGATAACACTTTTATTTGTATTAGGAGCTGGTTGTATGTCCAAATTTAAAGCTACAAACACTGCAAGCTTTAGACATCAAGTACTGTTTGTGAGGTCACCTCTGACATTTAATACTAATGATTTCCTTTACAACTCCAAATAGAGAATATGTTTAGAGAAAAAATTCAAGTGGTCCAACATTTCATTCATATGAGACATCATCCTGAAGTCAGAAATAATGTCTTTTGGTTGGGAATTAGTGACTGTGAAATAATTCTAGTGAAATTAACTAAGACCTATACAGACAAATGTAGTTTTCATATTGACATTGAAGTTGGATTACACAGACTAGTACCCATTATGACTTTCCTTTGCCATATTAACATTATTATATATGTAATTAATAAAAAATTTATCTACTTGTATGGGATGTGTTAATATTAATAAATTAGCTGGGCAAAGAATCTTCTCTCATTTCACATGCTCAATTAGTACATTGCATAATTAAAATCTAGAGGAGCTTTCATTGTATAAAGCATGTGGGACTATTTACTCTTACATGGCACTCTGACAGTGCTTGGTTTTATTATGTGGGAAGATATATTCTTCCAAAGGTGGGAGTATTGGCTGTGGTGGCTGCTACTTGCAAGCATTTCATTCTCATCTGATTATTTCTCACAAGAGAAAAGACTGGTTTCAGCTGTCAGGGACACATCTTCATAAGAGCCATCTTTCCCACAAATAGACTAGAACTTGCACAAGACTATAATCATTATAAATTGTGATTGGTCAAAAATTGAGACAAAGATTTTTTCAGATAACATTTTTGTTGAATGTATGAAACCAAATTTCCTTTAATACTCTTTATATTTATCTCTGTAACAACATTAAACCTTTCAAGGATAAAGCTGCTATAAAAATTAGTTTGCTGCAAAAAACTCCACCTTCGTGTCAAACCACTTATTACTATTGTTAAGTAAATGTGACTATTATCCATGAACCCTAAATCCCAAAATTTTTAAGTGCCTTAGCTGAGTATACAATCAATCCTAATTCAACTATGTCTTCATATCAGCTTAAAATGAATTTAAACAGCAAGGGTGTAAGTCATTATGTTACATTTTTTCTGCCCAGCTAGCATGTGAAAAAACTGAAATATAAAAATATGAAAATACAAAAATACGAAATTACACATGCACGTGGCTATTTATTAAAGCTGTAACTGTGAAAGCAGAAGACTAGAAACAACTAACCATCCATAGGCCATTCGTGGAAAAACCTATCATCAAACTATAAAATAGAATGCTATGCAATTATAAAATAGAATGCAGAACTCTCTTAGCTGCTATGGAGTGAGAGTGAAGAAATATTAAGTGAAAAAGGTAAGATACATAGTAGTATGTAGTATGCTAATTTTATGTAAGCAAGAAAAGAATATACTTATATTCTCAAAAATAAACAATGGAGGGGTAAACACAAACTTAGTAAAAATGGTTACCTCTAGATTGGAGTAAGAACTAGGGACATTCTAGACTTGTGAATGATGTTTTAAATTTTGACCTTAGAATCATGTAAATATTTTTTGCAACTAAAAAATGAATATTAATCACAAAGTAAGACCTAAAATATTTTTTCAATTAACTGAAACAAATAAACCTAATTGTATATCAAATTGATAGCATAATTATGCAGAGAATTATTTCATGACTTTAGAGCGTAGTATTTTAGCATTTCAGCAGTAGAATAAATCTTAAGGTCAAAGACCATAACAAAATTTTAAACTGTGTTAATACATCTTGTTATTAATAGTAATGTTTGTCCTGTTATTTTGAAAGTAATACATATACATATTAAGAAAAACAAATACACTTGGTCATATCATTAGAGCCTAAGATTTTTAGAGTAAGAAAAAAGATGTACAAATATAAAATAAAAGACTTTCAAAATCCTAAAATCTTTAATTTGATTGGTAGTATCAGCATGAACTCATATTAACTGTTTCCTTCTAAAAGTATGTACTTCATATCTCACGTACTGAAGAGGTTCAGAAGCATTGACAATTCAGTAACAATACCCCTAGTACCCAGATTGTTGTCTATAAATATTATTCTCCATTATAAAGAGCCTGGATTCTTTGGAGAAATGGCTAATTTCAGGTCTGGGACAGAAACTGTTCAAGATGATCCTACAACTATTATTAAGCCATAACTACTGGGGATTATATTGAAAGGATATAGGAATCAACTTCAAGAGGATCCTACTACCCAAAAATGAAGCAATTGAAGCATCAAAATAAGAAAATGACTACCATGGACTAAAGTACATTAAATAAACAAATATTCATGAACTCATAATGATCATCTTTGGTCACCTTTGGACCAAAATTGATAAATAAAGAGAAAGAATCAAACATTTATTGGGACTTTTCTATATAGGCTGTATTTCACAGTCACTGAATAGTTAATGAGGAAATGTTCATTATAGAAAAATCACAGCTGATAAATGTGGGAAGAATGATAGAGTATCACCATTTTACAACCTCTGATGAAATAATGGCTCAAAGCAACAAACAATGTTGCTAATTTGCTAAGTGAGAGATTAATGGAGAACTTTCTAAGGGGTCAGACTGACTCACCTTGTCCCCAATGATCAATCTTAACCACTAAAAGTAGGAAACGTGCATCCTGATATGATGTAGTAGGAATGACACAGCGTCACCTATGACATACTCTTCACCAAAAGAAATTGAACCTTAATGTAATTAAACCTATAGGTTTCACTAGTGGTTTACACAAAACATGGGAAATAGAGGAACATGTTAAAGAATATCATTAGAATAAAATCAGCCAGATCCAGAATCTAGAAACTTTATAAGATACATGATTCAGATTCTTCAGTAAATAAATGGCAATGAAAGGGAAAGGCAGTGGACTGTAAGTGATAGAAAGAGACTTAAGGTACTTACCAACCCAGTGCAATGTGTGGACCTTGTTTGGTTCCTATTTCAAACCAACTATAAAAAGACTTTTTTACAATTAGTGAAAATTAAATATGGAATATTTATATATGTAATCAAATTAAGGAATTATTGATAATATTTTTAGTTGTGAAAATGATATTGTCAAGTTACTGTTTGTCTTATTTAAGTTCTTATCTGTTGGAGATGCCTACTAAAATATTTAGGGATAAAATGGTGTGATGCCTGGGATTTATTTTTAAATATATCAGATCCACCCAAAAAAATTGAGGTGGATTTAGATAGATAGATTAAATAAGAATAACAGAAAGTTAATGGTTATAGAAGCTGAGCATTGAGTACAGGTGGATTCACTGTGCCCTTATTCCTTTTATATGTATTTCCATGATAAAATGCTAAAGTTTAAGAAAAAGTCCTCCCACCAGATTAGCTGAGATCATTAAGGCAGTGCCTTCTTAGCAGTGTTTTAGGTTTTGAGTATAAGTCTTAGTTCATAGGAATGTTATATTTGTGGATCTCAGAACAAAAGAGTTTCTTGTTATAGCTTAATTTATAATGTCTTTTTATCCAATTAAATTTCTTCATAGAAAGAACATTGCTTAGGTGTAGTGTTATTAACATGCTTACACCAAAATACGCTGACATTATACCCTCTTTTTCAGACCAAGCCACCCTGGTAGAACAAGTAAAAAGAGTAAAAGAAATTGAAGCTATTGAAAGTGATTCTTTTGTTCAGCAGACATTCAGATCAAGTAAAGAAGTCAAAAAGGTAAGTTTTTATCCACCCATTATGAGTAAACCTTTGGATTCTACCTGAAGAGATGCTTTATTAATGGATTTTACTTAAATGTGTTTCTTCTAATAGATGAAGTGAAGCAAGAGAGTGTCAGCCATGTTGCTGAGAGAGAGAAAACAAATCAGGGAGACTCAGTCACTTTAATACAAGTTTAATTTGTATAAAAAATGCTATAAAATGTGTCAGATGTCATTTTTATTTTTAAATTCACCAAGAATACTAAGTAATATGTCAACAAGATAGTTCTATAACAGTAATGCACATTTCTTAACATACATGGTTTTCTTTTCAAATGTGTACATCTACTTTTTGAATTGACATTGCTAGAGAAAAGTTAGAAAAGGGCTTTAATAATAAAAACTAATACCCATATTGTCACATATATCTTCATTCTTTGCCCAGATGATTATCACTTATTTGGCTGTGGTAAAGGAGCTTTGATTGACATTTTACTTCCATTGAATATTTTATTCTTTCATTCATTAGTAGGACTGCTTTTAGGAATTAGGTTTCTATAGTAGGAAAAGGCATTCTAGGAAATACATGTATTCTTTAATAACATTCATATAATGAAAATATGGTTATAATTAACACTCTAAAATATTCTACATCCATAAATTGTATTAATGGCTGTATAATATCCTGTTGATGTCTCCTGATGGTTATTTTTCCTCTGTTATCAAATAAGTAGTTTTAACTTCAGAGATTTTAAGTACATGTTTATTATCTTTTTAAAATAAAATTTTAAGATGGAATTACTTGTTAAAGGCTAACATTGTTTTAATACATGTTTCCAAGTCACCCTCTGAAAATATTCTACCAATTCAAATTCCACCCAAAAGTTCAAAGAGATATCTGCCTCCCACAGATATCTTGGTTAACACCAAATCCTATCGGGTTTCTCATGTTTACTGACCTAATAGGTAAAAATTGGCCTGTTTCCATTAGCACTTCTTTTGTTATTAGTGAGATTAAAGTCTTTTCAATTACCATATACTTTTTAAAATAATTTATTCAGGAGAGATATATTGAGCATATACTACATGTTAGGCATAGGACCAGATAGCCCTGGATAATCTGTGGTCCTTGCGTTGCCATTTTGTTGATTTCCTTTGAACTTTTGATAGTTTGCCACCACAACTCCTAAAAAAATGGGGCTGTGAAATAGACATTCATAAATGTAGTTGCCCATTTTATTTAATCTTATTCTTACATATTATCAGGCCATTCATATATCCTAATGGAATTACTATGATTTATTTTAAAACTTGCTTTCCTAATATTTGTTTGTGAAGTTTACCCTGACATCCCAGTTTTTATTGGACTCTCTTATGATAAACTAGCATTTTCATTCTGTAGAAATGCTTATTCTTCCACAGTCAATACACTGGGTTTTCTACTAAACAACTCTTTCTCACTTGGTACTAATTGTTAATTTTTCCCTTTAAACTTATTTTCAAGTCAACGCCTCCAAGAAAGCATGCATTGAAAGGTAGGAAGTGGTGCTAACAGGAGAATATGCTATAAAGCTTCATAAGGTGGCATTTATCTTGGTGAATATACAGTAGTCTGAAGTCTTACTGGACTTTTATTAGTCACTACACTTCAAAATGATCAGAAGATCAGTGATAGTCTAACAATGAATAAATTCACACTTGACTGAAATATAGAACAAAGGGACAGTTTATTACTTTAGAAAGTGATATCCCTTCCTAGATTCTAAAATATCTATATCTGCAATATAAGGCAAGGATTCAGGATGCCCAAGAAGCTGAATTATTAATGAGGAGATTACTTAGCAAAAGGAGGTAAATTATCTTGTGGACCCTTTTATCCAGATCATGGAAGGATATGATGGACTATCCCTAATGCATAGCAAGGATTTAACTCTCTTGAGGACTGAGTTACCCATGATCCTAGTTTCAACATATTTTTCTCCTGGACAGTTTTATACACTTTGATATAAAGTTTGTATCCCTAAAAAAAGGCTTTTGTATGCTGGCCACCCCTTCAGTTGGTACCGTATTTGTTTAGCTGTGTTAATTCCACTAATTAAGCTAGGGAGCTTTTACCAGAAAAGTGGCTATTACCAGTGACATGCTAGACATTGTGTCTCCTGCAACACATATTGATTTAACTAGTTTTACTCTCTGAAATCGTATTTCTTTTGTCTGAGTAAATAGAGAATCTGATAGTCCCTGATATATCATTGAGGAACCAAGATGCAGCTTGTTTTCAAACTTAGTATGAGTTATTCAACCCTAATGTTGTTGTATCTGGCAGATACCCACCTGTGTTCAAAAGAAGGGTAAATACCCCTATGCAGCATGGTCTTTTGGCCTACTTGGAAGTAGATTTTAGTACTAATTTTTACAAACTAAACCACCAGGTGGCAGCGCTACTCAAAGCCATATATTTCATAGTAGCCATTTTGAGGTTTTGTTTTATAGTCAAGGGAAAATTTTATCTTACAGTTTTTCTCACTTAAATAAAGAAGCAATTAGTGGTTCTCTCTACAAATTTTTAATTGCCCGTTATTAAACAATAACTTCCATGCTCTGATCTAACCTCTGAGAGCTTCACCTTCTATTATGTGTAAGTACTTCTCAAAGAAATCTTAATGTACTGTGTACGTAAAAACAAGATGAGATTGCTTGGTTTATATGGTAGAATCTTATCTCTGCTACCTGAAGAGGTGGTATCCACATCTTTGATAACTAGAATAATAGCACTGCACATATTTTTAAGGCAGTTTAACATGAAAAGTGTCTCCTAGCTAAGCCCTATCATGCCATGGCTAAGATACGCAGAATGATATGCTCTTACAGTCCCCGTAAGGCAGTATAGACTACCAAAAATCAATGTCTTGAACCTCTTGGATTAGCGTATTTCCCACTTGCACTTGTGCAGAATATTGGGCTTTTTAAATGTTCTCAGTTGTGTAAAGGGTCAGTATAATATCACTTAGGGCCACAAACCATCTAGGCACAGTGTGTTGGAGACATACAAATGTTTGAGACTTGGCAAAAAAAATTGCTGACACCAAAATATGAGAATAAAGCTGCCAAAACAAATTGAATAAATATTTATTTAAATGTCTATAAAAGTTAATATTATCATTAACACTGGCATCATTGTTAGATTTAGTAGTCATAAGCATCTTAACATTTGAAAATAATTTATAGATTTCTCTTACTTTGTAAGAATTCCTAAACATACATGACTGCCCAGATATCTATCCCTCAGATATCTACCCCTTTTGTCCATGAGGGAATAAATCTGTCCTATGAATGCTGATCAGCTTCCATTAGAATAAAAATTAGAGTATTTTAATTGAATAAAACACATGCCTTAAAAAAAAAAAGTGGATCTTGATATCATCATCCCCAAAATAGCTCATAACTTGTCTCCTCTTCACAATCCACAGCCACCATTTAAATCCACATCATCATCTCATTCTTTAACTTTTATAGTAGCCCTCTGGTTGTTCTTCCTGATTTTCCTTTTGCATTTATCTAGTCCAGGACCCATTCAGCAGCCAAAACAATATTTTTCAAGAATAATTAGACTTTACTGACCATCTGACCATTACAGAATAACTGGTACCAAATTTGCCCTCCCACCATAAACAGCTATAGAACTTGACAAGATGTGTAAGACATTGTTTTCAGGAATGTAACAATAGGCAGCTCAGGAGGGTGATCCTTTGGAGAAGGGAAATAAAAGGTGAGCCCCACAGTTACCCAGCTTTCTGTATGAGGGCACTTTCCTGCTGTGGTGCTGGGAAGTGATACCCATGCAGAGTGGTGATGTGGCTGTGTTAAGGAAGAAATACCCCAAGTTCTGGCCTGCAGTGTCTCACTGTCTTTTTGCTCACTATACACCAGCCCCTCTGGCCTTTTTTCTGATCTTCAAAGACACCAAGCCCTTCTCTCTCAGGATCTTTGTCTTTTCCCTCTGGCCAGAGAACCATTCTTCCTTTTCACCTGCCTGGCTCCTTCTAAGTCTTCAGGGCTTAAATTTCACCTCCTAGAGAAGCCATCTCTAGCCACCCAATCTAAAGTAGATGTTTTTCCCTTCCTGATCCCCATCATTCTTTGTCAGCACCTTGTATAGTCCTTTATAGCACATACTACAATTTGTGATTATGCATTATTTTGGAATTTATTTGTTTATAATCTGTCAACTCCATTAGCAACATATAATTGCCACTTGGGACAGGAACCATATCTATTTGATTCTGCCTGTGTACCCAGTGCTTAGCAATTAGTAGTGCTCAATAAATACTGGTTAAATAAATGGATCTCCAACTCTAAAACAAATTAACCTAAGAACAGTTTAATTCATGCATATTTTATCCTCTGTATATTTTTCTTAGTGACATCTGTTTTTGGCTTTGTTCAGAGAAGTGAAATGTTCAGAATTATAGATAAGTTAAAATAAATGGAAATTGAAAAACAATAGGTGTGGAACAAATGGGTATAAAAAAGGCTACATAACAATCTCCTATTCATCTTGTTTTTTTTTAATTTTACTTTTTAATTTCAGCTTCTGATCTAATCCATTTCATATTATCCCTGTAACCTTACTGCTAATCAGTCACTCCTTGGCCTTCTTTCTTAGGGAAGAAGCTACTGAAATGTAACTAAGTAAGCACTACTCTGCTGGCTCCTTCAAGGCAGAAACAATGATTTATTAGTTGTATCCCCAGCACTTGGTACAGTGTATCGCACCTGGTGAATACTCAGTAAAGGTGGAATAAATTGGGAGTCTATGGTTTGCATGATGGTATAAGAAATCCTAGAGTTTTATTTTTTGCCAAAGATACATCGTACCTTTTTTTCAAACTTTTATATATATATTTTAATATTTTAAGTAGCTCCGAGACAACCTTTGAGTTCATCAACTGATGAATGGATAAATAAAATGTGGTAGATCCATACAATGGGACATTATTTAGCAATAAAGAATAATGAAGTACTGATACATGCTGCAACATGGATGAACCTTAAAAACATTATGTGGCTGGGCACGGTGGCTCACGCCTGTAATCCTAGCACTTTGGGAGGCCAAGGCGGGCTGATCACTTGAGGACAGGAGTTCGAGATCACCCTGGCCAACATGGCAAGACACCGTCTCTACTGAAAATACAAAAATTAGCCGAGTGTGCATGGTGGTGTGCACCTGTAATCCCAGATACTCGGGAGGCTGAAGCAGGAGAATCACTTGAACCTAGGAGGTAGAGGTTGCAGTGAGCCAAGATTGTGCCACTGCACTCCCACCTGGGTGACAGAGTAAGACTCT
Source organism: Homo sapiens (assembly GCF_000001405.40). Taxonomy (NCBI): domain Eukaryota; kingdom Metazoa; phylum Chordata; class Mammalia; order Primates; family Hominidae; genus Homo; species Homo sapiens. The sequence goes on from NC_000003.12 coordinate 158,542,530, forward strand.
GTCTCAAAAGAAAAAATTATGCTAAATGAAAGAACCAGTCATGAAAGACCACATATTGTATGATTCCTTTTATCTGAAATGTCTAGAATAGGCAAATCCATAGAGAAAGAAGATTAATTGTTACCTAGGATGGAAAGGTTGGAAGGAATGGGGAATGATTGCTAATGGTATGAGGTTTTGTGGGGGATGATGAAAATGTTCTAAAGTTGATTCTGGTAATAATTGCACAACTCCATGGATATGTGAAAAGCCATTGAATTATGTACTTTAAAAGGGTAAATTGTATGGTATATGAATTCTATAACTCAATAAGGCTATTTTTCTAAAGATAACCTTTGAATTTACTTTTCATACCTAAATTGGCCAACTAAATGTTGGATATTTGTTGTAAGCTTGTTTTGATTAATAGAATTTAGATATATGAAATATATGTATATTTCAATAGTATAGGCACGTAAGTACCAATTTCTTAAGAAAAATGTGCTTATCATAAGAAATGATTGACATTTTCTCAGCATTTTTCTATTTGTTATTCCTAAAACAAATACAATATAGTTATTCCTATATTCTATTTCTATATATCTATAACTATATTCCTAAATATAGTTATTCCTAAACAAACAAATATAAAAATAAAATAACTGTATTTCTAAAACAAACAAATACAAAAAGTAGGGCCTTTTTGGAGATGGGTATCATCTCAAAGGAGACTAATTGAACAGTTGTTATTCAAAATCAGAAATATTTTTGAAGTAAAACTCTAATTGTGTATTGTGTTGAAATTAATATGTGTTGTTTCTTTCAGTCAGTGGAACCTAGTGAAGTGAAACAAGCAACTTCAACATCAGGACCAGCATCAGCAGTTGCTGATCCACCCAGTACTGAAAAAGAAATAGATCCTACCAGCATCCCTACTGCTATCAAGTACCAAGATGACAATTCCCTGGCCCATCCAAATGTAATATCCTTAAACTTTACGAATGTCAGTTGAAGTCTAATTTACTGAAATTATTTCAATCTGTTATCCTTTTGTGCTAACACCAAGGAGACCATTGGAGGAAACAGGTTCATATTCCCTTGCTAAAAATAGGCATCTGGCCCCCAGGCCTTTAGAACTGTTATCTATATTTGAATACAGTAGGGTCCAACTCATGTTGCCTAACCTGTAGAAGTATTCTGTCTATGGTTAAGAAAAATAGACAAAGAGAAGCATTTTTTCCTTTTTTTTTTTTTTAGCTGAATTGATCAGCACCATGAGAAGTGTTTGTTTAAAAATCTAGCACTAAAAGTTCCATTTCTGAGCTCTACTTTGTTCATTATCAGTGAGCACATCACTAACATCATACTTTGCTGTCTTCCATGAAATGTTGTAATTCTGCTGTTTTGGAAAAGTTATAGGAAATAAACTTCACAAATATAAGGTACAAAATTGTTAAGCAATGATGTTGATACTAGTAGTTCTTTTACTCCAAGAATTTCTGAGCATTACTAATTCCAAATAGATAGTCATCAATTAAGAGGTCATCAAGAGTTAAACAGTATCCAAATCTTGTGTTGAGAGATATATTCTACAAAGGTGAGTTCTGTCATTTTAGGTCAAATTCAAGTTATTGGGAGACAGTAACATTTTTTCTTTTTCTTTTCTTATTTCAGTTATTTATCGAGAAAGCTGATGCTGAGGAAAAATGGTTCAAGAGATTAATTGCTCTCCGACAAGAAAGACTAATGGGCAGTCCTGTGGCCTAAGTAATATACATATAGTTGGATTGGATTGTCAGCAGTAACATTGGAAATTTAGGTTTTTAAATCCCAATATTAACTTTTTACTCTTAAAAAGAATTTTGCTGATTATATATAAAGGTAGTCTCATTTCATTTGTCTCTCATGTAGGCTTGAATATTTGTTAATTTGAATTAAATCAAACATTGTAAAAATTAAAACAAAATTTAAGATTGCATGAAAATGTTATACTGTTAATAAAGCTAAACATAAATAAGTCTGTTAAAATGAATGGTAGACACTAGTGTTTCTTAGTGCAATTCAAAAAATGTCAAGATGTCATTTAAAGACACAATTTTGATTAATTATGCATACATGAGAATTGAATTACATGCTATAAATATGAGATTTCATCTTCCGTATGGTATTCAACCATTTTTAAATATTTTATTTCACCATATTGCAAATTTTTAGGCACAATAAAAAGCACCCTAAACAATGTAAGCAGAATGTGCATGTTAAAGAACATATTTATGGAAAAAAAATTTTTGAAACTTAAATAAATTGGTGATTTTGCTTAGAGATCAGCTTCTACTAGATGCTCCTTTACAACATGTTAGCAGATCTCAGCTCATTGTTTTAGAAATCACATGTTCATGCTAGACCTAACCAGTTGGCCAAATACCTATGATGGAGAAATCATTTCTGAGAAAACTGATAAGAGCTCTCACTTCAGTCTTACTTACCCCACTGCTATTCCCTGTGGAGAAAGCCGGCTAATTGTTTTGATAAGGCTATCTGCCATTGTAGAATACCTTTCTCTAGTAGCTGAATGACAATCAACTATACGTTCCATACTAAACATGCCAGAGATAGGACTTTTAGGCCTTGCTTTACAAAACTGGTTTTTAACAGCTGACATGAATATTTCCCGTTTCTATTTTCTTTTTTTTTTTTTTTTTTTTTTTTTTGAGACGGAGTCTCGCTCTATCCCCCATGCTGGAGTGCAGTGGCGCGATCTCAGCTCACTGCAAGCTCCGCCTCCCAGGTTCACGCCATTTTCTTGCCTCAGCCTCCCGAGTAGCTGGGACTACAGGCACCCGCTAACATGCCCAGCTAATTTTTTGTGTTTTTAGTAGAGATGGGGTTTCACCATTTTAGCCAGGATGGTCTATTTTCTTCTGTTGTCCAGTCACTAATTTAGTCTCTGCGAAGACTGTAGCTCAGAACAAAAGATAAGCAAAAAAAGTCTTCAGGGTAGGACTGCCAACATATAGGACATTTTAATGCCATCTTCTTTATATTTCTGGGACATTAAAATTCAAATCTCTGTTGAAAATGAAAAATGTAAAACTTAGTTGCAAACAGTATAGAAAATAAGTGATGATGAAATATTTGTTTTCATACAAACATGCTTTCCCATTCTAAATAGATGCTAGTTTTCTTTTTTCCTTGGCTGTAAATAAAAGTGCCCCAAATGAACCGAGATTTGTGTGGTTTTTAACATAGATGTATACAATTTTAGTGACTTAAAAAGGGGTTACAGTTTATGAAATATTTTTATTTCATACTTTGTATAACTTATAAACTATAGAAGTACTATCACCCTATTGGAAAGTATATGTTAGTGGTCTGGGCAAGAATATGGGTTATCATTTGGGCCACTAATGATTCTCCAGAGGACCTGGGCTAGGCAGTTTTCTCAATATCCCTGATCTTCCTTATCTATAAAACAGTGAAAATCTGGTCTACTTCAATTATATTTAATACCAGTGTTCCTCTGTGGCAAGTACCCCAAATACAGAAGCTTGAACTGTGACAGAATTGTTTTTTGGGGTTTTTTTTGGGGGGGAGGGCGGTGGTTTGAGACAGAGTCTTACTCTGTCATCCAGGCTGGAGTGCATTGGTGCGATCTCGGCTCACTGCAAGCTCCGCCTCCCAGGTTCATGCCATTCTCCTGCCTCAGCCTCCTGAGTAGCTGGGACTACAGGCGCCTGCCACCATGCCCAGCTAATTTTTTGTGTGTGTATTTTTAGTAGAGACGGGGTTTCACCGTGTTAGCCCGGATGGTCTCGATCTCTTGACCTCATGATCCACCCACCTCGGCCTCCCAAAGTGCTGGGATTACAGGCATGAGCCACCATGCCTGGCCGAAAATCAAATTTTTTTAATGAACTAAACTATGGTCCCTACAGGAATTCGGTAACTACTTCCTTCCTCCCTAGTTTTCAACATGATTCATTTTTATATATTATTAACTTCGTTTACCTGCATTCCTATCAAAGACCACAATATTACCACACAAGCCAAATCAAATTTAATAAAAAGGACTGCATAGAACATGATCAAACATATTGCCTAATTCAAGCTAGCCTTCTTTAATATCCTTATATGGTGAGTCTATAAAACAGAATAATTCCTTTCATGTCACTTGATTAATGATAATAATTTGGACATACATGAGACCTTAAGTGTTTTACGAAACATTGATTTCTTACAAAATGATGGGTACTGATAATACAGGTTGAGTTTTCATTTCTGACAAGTAAGTATATTCTCAAGGAAAATGAAATAAGAGCATTTTTCCTGGCACTCTCTAGTTATGAGGAGTCAAAGAGCTAAAGATATGAGCACAGAATACTTTGAATCATTCACCTCCTTTGCTTCAGCATCCTAACATGTGAAATGAGGATACTAATTGCAGACCTGCCTACTTTGATTTTTCAGTAAAATGACATAAAAGAAAGCCCTTCATAGAAACTTCTGCTATTTATGCCAAGGGAACATTTGACATGATAGACATCTTAGTGAAATGTGGAACAAATAGTTGCTACACTCCAACTTGAATGTGTTTATGTGTGTGCTTGAGCTGCCATGGTCAATAGTTGCCGTTCCAGCGATTTCCTCAGCCTTCCCTGCTCTTCTTCCCTGCCAAGGTCGTAAGAAACCTTACTTACTCTGCAATTAGTGACCTACCATCTACTTATTTGAGAAATCTCAGTTCTTCTTTACAGTCAGATTTACCCATTTATTCATGAATATCATTTTGAGTACCTAGTTCATGCTGGGCACAGTAAGATGTGCTTGGGGGATGCATACCTGAATCCAGTAGAGATCCTGCCCTCAAGAGGCTTAGTTGTGAAGCCCAGACATGTAAATGATGTCAGAGATATAGTACTTAGTGGCAGAGGAGAGGACTTGGTTGCAAAGAAGAGAGAAATTACTGTAAGTTAGAAAATTAAGGAAGTCTTCATGGAAGAAATCAATCAAACTGAGTCTTGAAGGACAAGAAAGCTGGAGCCATAGGAACTCTCAGTCACCCACTTATATCTTCCTGATAGCTATTCTAGAAGGCTGGGAACTACTGCAGTTTTAACCTAGGACAGAGTACCTCTCATGAAATACCCAAGTGGCCCTGCTCAGTCAATCTTATCAAAAATCTAGGCAAAATTTCAGGTTCCTAGTACCCCTCTGACTCTCTATTTCTTTCTTTTTGTGGAGAATAAGCTGAATAAGATAAGTCTTCATTTGGCCACAAGCATCAACAATCTTGCCTACTGCCATTTGTCAGCCAAGACGACAGATTCTGCAATGGAGCTGAAAAGAGACTTTCAATGCCGCTAAAAAAGAACTGCATCTGCCAGTAAGGGTTTGCACAACCATGTAGACCACTGTGTGTTCCATTACTCTCTGTTTTTCTACTCTGTACTGTTATAGAAAGCATCATTTGGGAACTAAAAGACACAATTCATTTGCCTGTGGTTAGGTCCCTCCCCAGATTTTCCTTTGATTTGTGCATCAAGTGAAAATCTTTAAGCAAATAAGATAGTAAAAAAAAAACTAGAAATGAAATAAGACATAGGACATTTTCAGCCACTAAACTCTAGATGAGTTTATATCAAAGGCTTGCACCCATGTTACTCTTTGCTTTCCTCCTTTCCCTACCCCAAAATTCCTTGTGAGTATTACAAGAGATTTTAAATAAACTCTTGGCCATTACTCAACTGATAAAATGCTTGGATTATTTGCACAATTTTTTAATGTCCTCCTGTAAGCCTTACTCTTTGGAACTCCTTTATAGAATAATGGAAAAGTAAGTACTCTTCATAAGAAAACATTTGAGTCAGTAGAGCACAGCAGGAATACAAATGGATATAAGAAAGAACACTGTAAATTCTGTAATTATCTTAACCTTTTATCATAGGGATGGACATTGATTAATATATTCAACTCTATTTGGTGAGTTTTTTCTAAAAGAAAATGCTGTCATGATATATTTCCAAGTTATTTTGGCTATCATTGTTTCTCCAGAATCTGGCCTAATGCCTGACATACAGAAGGTCTCAATAAATATGTTTTAATGAAGAATTAATTAGCCCATCTTAAATAAGAAATCTATTTAGCAGCCTGTTTATTTACATTGCTCAAGCTATTTGGAGCCAGTGCAAAAATAAATGTTATAACCAAATTATTTTGGTTTCTCTGATCTATATCTCCAAATGGCCCTGAGCTGACAGAGGCTTTCGGATGTCAGGGAAGTACACTGTACGTGGTGCCTTCTCTGTTGCATTAGGAACTAAATGGTGGGACTAGAATTTAAGTAGGGATCTTATTAGTCCTACTCTTGCCCAGAATTTTCTAGTCTGACTCTTTCTTTGTATAAATATTTCAAAATGTATTGATGTAATCATTCTGGGTCCACCAGCTGGCACCTATCATCTCTCCTTCCAAAGCTATAGGTCAGCTTTCAAGAAATAAAGACTACGAATAGAGTAAGACAACACTTTAAAATCAACAATGTAATCGTTTTATTTTTAGGTCTTGAGAAGGAATGGCAAAATGATCCCAGTGCAGTTCTGAAAGAGTGATGAACTGAACTGACCCTCTCTCCTTAGATCTTGTATTGTTGTTCAGGCTTGTTATCTCACAGTGTAAAAAACATAGCATAGTTCAGGCTCCCTTTTTATCTTTTAAAATATTAGCTAGGTGCCGGGCACGGTAGCTCACGCCTGTAATCCCAACACTTTGGGAGGCCAAGGCAGGCGGATCACCTGAGGTCAGGAGTTCGAGACCAGCCTGACCAATATGGTGAAACCCCGTCTCTACTAAAATTACAAAAATTAGCTGGGCATGGTGGCAGGTGCCTGTAATCCCAGCTACTTGGGAGGCTGAGACAGGAGAATTGCTTGAACCCGAGAGGCGGAGGTTGCAGTGAGCCAAGATCATGCCACTTCAGCCTGGGCAACAGAGCAAGACTCTGTCTCAAAAAAAAAAAAAAAATTATATATATATATATATATATATATATATATATGAACTAGGCCTAGCATGGTAACTCACACCTGTAATCCCAGCACTTTGAAAGGCTGAGGCAGGAGGTTTGCTTGAGGCCAGGAGTTCCAGACCAGTCTGGGCAACATAGCAATGTGTCCGGAATTTATTCCTTCTGGTGGGTTCTTGGTCTCGCTGACTTCAATAACGAAGCCGCAGACCCTCGCGGTGAGTGTTACAGCTCTTAAAGATGGTGTGTCCAGAGTTTGTCCTTCAGATGTTCTGATGTGTCCGGAGTTTCTTCCTTCCAGTGGGTTCATGGTCTCGCTGACTTCAGGAGTGAAACCACAGACCTTCACAGCAAGTGTTACAGCTCTTAAAGGTAGTGCGGACCCAAAGAATGAGCAGCAGCAAGATTTATTGTGAAGAGCAAAAGAACAAAGCTTCCACAGCATGGAAGGGGACCCGAGAGGGTTGCCGCTGCTGGCTCGGATGGCCAGCTTTTATTCCCTTATTTGGCCTCACCCACATCCTGCTGATTGGTCCATTTTACAGAGCGCTGGTTGGTCCATTTTACAGAGGGCTGATTGGTGCATTTACAATCCTTTAGCTAGACACAGAGCACTGATTGGTGCGTTTTTACAGAGTGCTGATTGGTGCATTTATGATCTTTTAGCTAGACACAGAGCACTGATTGGTGCGTTTACAATCCTCTAGCTAGACACAGAAAAGTTCTCCAAGTCCCCGCTCGACCCAAGAAGTCCAGCTGGCTTCACCTCTCAGCGAGACCTCATCTCCAAAAAATAAAAAGAAAATGAACAAGGTGCAATGGTGCATGGCTGTAGTACCACCTACTTTGGAGGCTGAGGCAGGAGGATTGTTTCAGCCTAGGAATTCAAGGCTGCAATGAACTGTGATTACACCACTGCCCTCCAGCCTGGGTGACAGAGCAAGACCCTCTCTCTAAACAATAAATAAATGAAAATGAACTGCTAAAATCCCACGTCTTGAGTAAAATCCATAGCTGCAGTCTGTGATTCTGTAAATGTTCTATGAAAATTGTGTTATAAACTTGAATTGAAAATCATAAGTAATTGAAAAATCTTTTTTAAAATAGCACAATGGATTGAATGACTATATTAAAGATTGGGTAGATTTTTTAAACAAATTCTATAACTAGATTGTTTATGTAGCCATATTATAGCTTTTCTCTTCGCTTTTTCTGCTATAGTAAGTCTAATTGATCTGGAGAAGATAAGGCAGATGACTGATTTATTAGCAACTTGAAAAAAATGCTTTTTCTCAAAATGCTGTAAACTTGAATCATCTGCAGTCTAATTACATGAGGTGAAAATGGAAGATCATCCAAAATTATAATGTCTGATATTTCATTTCATACTTGAAATGTTTTTTTAAAAAACAAATTTTTGTTTGTTTTTTTTTTTTTTTTTGAGATGGAGTCTCGCTCTGTTGCCCAGGCTGGAGTGCAGTGGCCTGATCTCAGCTCACTGCAAGCTCCACCTCCTGGGCTGACACCATTCTCCTGCCTCAGCCTCCCGAGTAGCTGGGACTACAGGTGCCTGCCACCACGCCCGGCTAATTTTTTTTTTTTTTTGTATTTTTAATAGAAACGGGGTTTCACCGTGTTAGCCAGGATGGTCTCGATCTCCTGACCTCGCGATCTGCCCGCCTCAGCCTCCCAAAGTGCTGGGATTACAGGCATGAGCCACTACGCCTGGCCAAAAAACAAAAATTTGTATATGCCTATCATAGAGCATAAGTAGTAGCTCAAGCCCTGTATTACGTAATAGCTACTCCATCAAAAACACTTGAACCTTTAAAAAAAATTTTATTTTCACATTAATACTTGTTATCCCATAATCATACTTGTGTTTCAAAGGTCATGTGACCCATTTTCAGCAACGTGCTCAGAATTTTAATGTATCTTATTTATAATTAACAATATGAGAAGGTGACAAGTGATTGATAACAGGTTATGGTTCACCATAGCCTAGAGAATGCCAGAGACTCTGTTTCTTTTGGAGGTCTTTAACTTGAAGTTCCAATTTTTAAGTATTTTTACCTTACTATAATAACTGCAATGTAATTATCCAGAGAATTGTTCAATTAATTTCTTACTTCCTTGGAAAGATATTTACACAGAACTTGGAGATCTTTGAAAGTAAGGATTATAAAAATATATGCTGCTTCTCTTATTTTTTGAAATAACTATTTTGGAATTACCATGATCTGTGGCAAAAATTTCTGTTCTTTTACTAACAAAGGCAACATAGATTTGAAATGTATTTTTACTTTGGGAATTTTTTTTAAATCTAATGTTTAAATGTCTTCAATTGGGATTTAAATATTGGATTCCAGTTTTAATATGGAATTTGTAAATTAAATATGATTGACCAACATTTTACTAAAGTAATTATCTTTCTGCTAAGTACTAAAAAATTTTCTCAATATTTATATTTTTTCTGTAAATTATATAATGTAAGTATCCAAGCTACTAAATGGCCACATATGATTTAGTAAATCTGCGGATTTGCTAAACTCATATAGAGGAAACAGCCTGATAAAAGGATACACAAAATGAAAATTATATCCCGATTTAAGCTTTTTCTTAAGTGAGATATTCCATATTTTTATGATTGGGTTTTTTTATTGGAAAATGCTAAAAAACATAAAAGGAAAGGAAAGTCATCCATAGGCAACGAACTGTGGAATGTAAAGAAAGTCTGCCCCTCCTATTCTGCTGCTGCTTTTTTTTCTCCTGACCAGGTGACCATTCTGAACAGTTCATCTCAACTTTGCCCTGTGCCTAAACAAATACATCTGTATAGAGATATTTACACATGGGCTTGCTTTTCAGACCATAACAACATACTGAGGACCATGAGAAACATACTGGTCCCCAGTTAACTTTTTTCCCTGGTTATATACATTGGATAACTTTCCAAAGCAGTATAGCTATATGCCTCATTTTTTTTAGTGGCTGCATAGATTCCTAAAAGTGGAATTGCTGAGCCATAGGGTATGTACCTTTCACATCTAAACTAGTAAACAATCAATGAACAGCAGCAATAAACTTCCAAATTATATGATTTCATGCAAATTAAGATTATATTAGTCTCCTTCAAGCCACTTAAAAACTAAAAAGTCAGCTGGGTGTGGTGGCTCACGCCTGTAATCCTAGTGCTTTGGGAGGCCAAGGCAGGCAGATCACCTGAGGTCAGGAGTTCGAGACCAGCCTGGTCAACATGGCGAAAACCTGTCTCTACTAAAAATACAAAAATTAGCCTCTAATCCCAGCTACTCGGGAGGCTGAGGCAGGAGGATCGTTTCAACCCAGGAGGTGGAGGTTGCAGTGAGCCAAGATCACGCCATTGCACTCCAGCCTGGGCAACAAGAGTGAAACTCCGTCTCCAAAAAAAAAATAAAAAAAAAAAAAGAACTAAAAAGTCAATTTGTAATTAGGATAAATTGCATGTATGCTAGTACTCTCCATCATCCCTTCACAATCATTCTGGACTCCTCTTTCCCTGCAGTGCCTCAAGAGGCTGACTTTCACAGACTGCATCACCCAGTTTCCCTTGCCCTCTGGCTTCTGGTTGCATTTGGCCAACGGGAGGGACTGTCAGGAAATTAAAAAGAAGGAGAAAGAATTGGGTATCTGTACCCCTGGAGGCCATGTTTCAGTGTGGCTGCCCTTTTTTTTTTTTTTCTTTGAGATGGAGTCTCATTCTGTCCCCCAGGCTGGAGTACAGTGGCACAATCTCAGCTCACTGCAACCTCTGCCTCCTGGGTTCAAGTGATTCTCCTGCTTCAGCCTCCCGGAGTAGCTGGGACTACAGGTGTGCACCACCATGCCCAGCTAATATTTGTATTTTTAGTAGAGATGGGGTTTCACCATATTGGCCAGGCTGGTCTCAATCTTCTGACCTCAAATGATCCGCCTGCCTCAGCCTCCCAAAGTGCTGGGATTATAGGCATGAGCCACCGTGCTGGGCCGGTGTGGCTGCTCTTCTGACCTTTGTAGGCTAGTCTCTCTCTCAAGGATACAGCTCTCACCATGTTAAATCAACAGCTCCCTCCTTATACCTCTTCAGACCTAGGTGCTGAAATTGTTTCTTGTAGCTACTACTCCCAAATTGGTTCCTTTAACCCTGCCCACATCTCTGTATATAATGACTTCATTAAGGTTTTGAGTATGTCATCTTTTCCTGCTGGGACCAAAGCTGATAAGATTATCTTCAAAGGCATTGTATCATTTAGGATTAATTAAGTATATCGATTCGTTCTGATAACACAACAGAAACGATGAACAGTGGCTTACCTAAGAAAGATGTATTTTTCCCTCAAGTGAAAGACACTTTAAGGTAGGTATGGTGGCTTCATATGTCAGGGACCCAGGCTCTTGTTTCACAGTTCTCAGTAAGTGGCTTCCACCATATGGTTCTAGATAGCTGCTGAAGCTCTAGCCATGAAGAATGCACTGCCTCCCTTTAAGGAGATTCTGAAATTAAAAGAGTA